>NC_000011.10:63312952-63615983 GCF_000001405.40 Homo sapiens | reverse complement strand
ATTAAAAAGTAAAAAATGGGCCGAGTGGTGGCTCACGCCTGTAATCCCAGCCCTTTCGGAGGCTGAGGCAGGTGGGTCATTTGGGGCCAGGAGTTCGTGACCAGCATGGTCAACATGCTGAAACCCTGTCTCTACTAAAAATACAAAAATTAGCTGGGCGCGGTGGTGCACGTCTGTAATCCCAACTACTCCGGAGGCTGAGGCAGGAGAATCGCTTGCCCGGAAGGCAGAGGTTGCAGTGAGCTGAGATAGAGCCACTGCACTCCAGCCTGGGTGACAGAGTGAGACTGTCTCAAAAAAAAAAAAACAAAAAACCCCAAAAAGTAAAAAATGAAAAAAGTTATTTCAACAAGGTCTGTACAGAATTCTTTCCGTCTCAACATCTCCTCTTTGAGGATAAGGATGTTGCTTTTTCTTCTAGTATAAGGAAGGTGTCCTTCAACATGGAAATTTCATCTGCTTTTAAGACACAGAAAAGGGGTCTTCTTGCACCTGCTGAGTTTTAAATGCCTTTAATTCAAAACAGCCAATATGCCATGGTGGTGTGTATATACACACACACACACACACACACACATATACACACATATATACACATATATATACACACATATATATGCACACATATATATACACACATATATACACACATATATACACACATATATACACACATATATACACACATATATATACACATATATACACATATATACACACATATATATACACACACATATATACACATATATACACATATATACACATATATATACACACATATATACACACATATATATACACACATATACACACATATATACACATATATACACACATATACACATATACATATATACACACATATATACACACATATATACACATATATACACATATATACACACATATATACACACATATATATACACATATATATACATATATATACACACATATATATATTTTGAGACTGAGTTTCGCTTTGTTGCACAGGCTAGAGTGCAGTGGCGCGATCTTGGCTCACTGCAACCCCCACCTCCCGGGCTCAAGTGATTCTCCTGCCTCAGCCTCCCGAGTAGCTGGGACTACAGGCGCATGCCTCCACGCCCGGCTAATTTTTTGCATTTTTAGTAGAGACGGGGTTTCATCGTGTTAGCCAGCATGGTCTCGATCTCTTGACCTCGTGATCTGCCCGCCTCGGCCTCCCAAAGTGCTGAGATTACAGGCGTGAGCCACCGCGCCCGGCCCTTGGTGGTATATTTTTAACTCCTTCAGTTTTTAAACTATAAGCCCATTCTTGAGTGAAGGCGAAAGTAAACCCATCATGGCCCTGCAGTGTGATGTGTGTGCAGAGGTCGAGTGTGTGCGACTCCTGGATGCTGGGCGCGCAGGGCATGGGTGAGGCGGGAAGAGGCGGTGCCGGGGGCGCGGGCGTCCTGCAGTCGCCGGGCTCGGGACCGGGGCCGGGCGCTCTGCGAGGCTCTCATTAGCCGGCGGCGCGGGGAGGGGCCGGGTGACCTCACGCCGGCCCGGCCACCGCGGCCATTAGACCCGGTCCAATTGCTGGGGCTGCAGCGCTGCCTCCGAGACCGCGAGGTGGGTGGATCGGGTCTTCCTGGAAGGGTGCGATAAGGCCGGGCGAGGTGCCTGGGATGCTTCTCCCCTTCCGCGAGGAAGAGATCTAATTGGGTAGGGCGGGTGTAGACTAGCCTGCCGAGCCGCCCGCTGGCACCTGCAGCCTCCTGGGCGCCCGCCGGGCCCCGGCGAGAAAGTTGTTAAAGGGAGCGAGGTGGTTGTTCCTGGGGTCCGAGGCGCGCCTCTCACGCCCTGCCCAACAGAAGCCGCAGTCCCGTGGGGTCTGGAGACGCAGTTTCCTGTTAATGACAATAAATCCCTGCTCCCCCTGCCTCAGACATCTACGCAGCGAAATCGAGCCTGGCCTTGAGGGTCCACACCGCGAGGGAAGATGCGTGCGCCCATTGTAAGTGCGGGGCGAGGCGGGGCTGGGCGGGGCTGGGAGCCCCCTGTTAGTGGGGACTCGTTGTCTCGGAGCCTGAATTACTGCTTCCGAGAGAGGAGCCTCGAGGATGTGGGGCCCGCACCTCTGTCAGCTGCGAGGCATCGGTGTCAGCTGCGGGTCGGCGCGCACCTGTTGGGAGTTGTCTCGGCGCGTCCTTCCGGGGGCCGGTGTGGGGGCGCCCTGCCTGAAACGCGCCCAGCGGAAGGCGGGACCCTCAGGAGGGAGGTGGCCAGGGCAGGTCTGTCCGCAGAAATCTGGCGCTGCCCTCCGGAGCCACACCCGGACAGCGGGACAGGCCTTGGGGGCTATGTCAGCTGACTCATCCCATGACCAGCCCTGCCAGCGGAGTCCCAGCGTTAACTGTGCTTGGCGACTGCCCCCCTTCCGCCTGGCCGGACCGCAGCAGAGGGATTCAGAGGATGGGATTTGGAGGTGGACCCTCCTAGTGTTGAGCATCTGGTTGTGAGACTCTCATCAAGTTCAAATCCACTGTTTCCCAGAGTGAAGGTTTTGTTTTATTTATTTATTTTTATTTTTATTTTTATTTTTTGAGACGGAGTCTCGCTCTGTCACCCAGGCTGGAGTGCAGTGGCATGATCTCGGCTCACTGCGACCTCCGCCTCTCGGGTTCAAGCGATTCTCCTGCCTCAGCCTACCGAGTAGCTGGGAGTACAGGCGCCCGCCACTACGCCTGGCTAATTTTTTGTATTTTTAGTGGAGACGGGGTTTCACCGTGTTAGCCAGGATGGTCTCGACTTCCTGACCTCGTGCTCCGCCCGCCTCGGTCTCGCAAAGTGCTGGGATTACAGGCGTGAGCCACCGAGCCCTGCCGCAGAGTGAAGATTATATCACTTAATACTCAGAAAGTGCCCAGAACAATGCCTAGCACACATTTTGAGTGCTCAACCATAATTCACTGTTGTTATTATCTCAGTCCATATAAAGAGTTTTGCCTGGTGTCAGGGTGTATCTGGCATGTTTGTTTGACACCTGGAGTGGTCACTTTTTAATATCATTCTCTATCTGATAACATTATTTTTAGCAATAATCATGCAATGAATAGTAATAATGTCCAGAAAGAAACACAGTGAGCATTTTCTTTTATTGAACCTCGTATATGTAATCATGACAGTAAAAACCTTATATATGTAATCATGAGAGTAAAAAAATTAAAAATGAAAAAGTAAATGTGAGTGCAAAAGCAGGAAAAAAAATGGATTAGTAGGTTTTAATCACATTAATGTATTTTTGAAAAAAGGAAAAACTTAGATGTAGGATGGTATCAGAGATGAATAATAGTAACACTACAACTTCTGTTTTTGAAACTTCTGAAAAGTTGTCCATGACATTGTCAAAATCAATCTTTGCATATTCATGGTCAGTATTCAGGGGAGCTATATCTACTAGTCCATCTTTGCTCCCAGTTGATTGAAGAACACTTTTTATTAATTTTAATTTCAAAAGCTGCTTTCATATAAAACTAGAGAGACAAAGGAAAAGCCTTAACCATCAGGATTAGTTTGGCAGAGATTTATAAAAATCCCATTTCATAATAAATTCCAGACATTGCAATACTGCCTAAATCTTTTTTTCTTTAATCAGTTCTACAGCTTAAATATCTCCTTTTTAGAGACATTTTCACTAAGACAGGCTGGGTGCAGTGATTCATTACTGTAATTCCAGCACTTGGGGAGGCCAAGGTGGGAGGATCACTTGAGCCTAGGAGTTTGAAACTACCCTGGGTAATATAGCAAGACCCCATCTCTAAAAACAAAACAACAACAAAATCTTCACCAGACAGTTCATCATACTTTTTTTTTTTGAGATGGAGTTTCACTCTTGTTGTCCAGGCTGGAGTGCAATGGCGTGATCTCGGCTCGCTGCAACCTCCGCCTCCTGGGTTCAAGCGAGTCTCCTGCTTCAGCCTCCCAAGTAGCTGGGATTACAGGCATGCGCCACCGCGCCTGGCTAATTTTGTATTTTTAGTAGAGACAGGGTTTCTCCATGTTGGTCAGGTTGGTCTCGAACCCCTGACCTCAGGTGATGTGCCCGCCTCGGCCTCCCAAAGTGCTGGGATTACAGGCGTGAGCCACCGCGCCCGGCCCATCATACATTTCAATTATATTTGGCAAAATTCCCCAAGTTTTTCTTCTGCAAAAATCAGAGAAAATGGCTGAGTGATAGTGAACCTTGACATTTATTTAATCCATTGCTTTAGAAATGATGAAAATCACCCAGGCTTTCAAACATCATTCTTTTAGTTTCTTTTGGCACTGGGAGACAGGCTGTTTTATGTTTAAACACAGGAAAATGCAGGACCACAGAGATTGGCTACATAAACTGTATAAATGGAGTTCAAATTATTCTGAGCCTTTAGGAACTGATTGTTGAAACAGAACTTATGGCTGAGTCTGTGTGTTTCAGGAACTGATAACTGCGTGTTCTCTGATTTAACTTGTAGAAGACAAAAGTTTTAGAAGGATAAGAAATAAAAATGTGCTAATTGGTGGCTCACATGTATATGATTAAATCTCAATGGTAACTGCAGCAATTAGAATTTAGGTGAATAAGACATTTTTTGGGGGAGTGGTATTTTATCACTGACATTGTTTAAAATGGCCAGCACATGGTAGTAATAAAAGGCAGACCGACTTTTGATAGGTTTTATTATTGTTTTAAAATTCCCTTTGGGCCAGACGTGTGGTTCATGTCTGTAATTGCAGCACTTCGAGAGGCCAAGGTGGTAGATCACTTGAGCCCGGGAGGTCGAGGCTGCAGTGAGCCGAGATTGCGCCAGTGCACTCCAGCCTGGGTGACAGAGCGAGAGCCTGCAGAAAAAAACAAAACACAATAAAACAAAAAACTCCAAACAAAACTATCCTCTACAGCAATCTTGCTCCTATTTGTCTACAGTGGGGAAGGACATCCTGCCTCCCCACTGTGGGCTTTTGCGGCTTTTATGTTAGTTGTTGTAGCCGCCCCCAGGAGCCTCCTGGGGGATCGAAGAGGGTGTGTCCACAGTTTCCTGAGCCCTTTAGTTCAGCCTGTGATGCCTCCTGCTGTGATTATTTCTCTCCTCTCTGTGTTCCAAATTTGCTAGAATGAGTGGGCGGGGAGCCTTTCCCTTCCCTCCTCCACCTGCGCCATCCTTGAATCTGTGGCTTGTTGAGCAGCTGCTGCCAAGGAAATGAAACCCCAAAGTGAAACTGAGGCTCCATAATATGAGGAAATTGATAGGCCTTCCCTGTTCTCTGAGTCTAGACTCCGTCATTGACTGCTCTGTGATCTGAGTTTGCTTGATTTTCTGATGGATCTGTGTGGAACTAGTTAAGGTGCAAAGGGGAGGGGAGAGAAGAAGAGAAGAGGACCCTTCTTAAATAGCAGTTGGGGCTTCAGGCCTTCCAGGGTTTCATCCCTATTCAGCCACGGGCTGAGAGGGGCTGGAGGAGGAAGCCGTGCATCCCTCCACCATACACCTCTGCTGAGAACATTGTCAGTGCCAGGCTGGATAATGGTGAATTAGACGGAATTCTGGTCCTTGGAATGCTGGCAGGCTGGGCAAGGAAATTGATCGCTTCTTCCCACAGGCTAGGCTTAACAATGAATCATCCAATAATAGGGCTATGGCTTGGCTGTGGAGGCAGCAGCAACTCGCTTTGCTGAGGCATCAGGGGATGCATTGAGGAGTGGACATGTTGAGCCCATCTCGAGGGATGAGTAGGAATCTTCCAGGTGAACGGCAAAAGGGCATTTCAGGCCGAGAGTGCGGTGAGGCAGAGGCCAGTTTTGCCATGGGAGCACAGTTGTTGAACGTCAGTACCTTGGAGTGAATTACTTGGTGTGGTGGGAAGAACCTCACCTTTAAGCTCAGGCAGATCTGCTGCGGAATCCTGGTGCTACTTTTCGGGGAGCTCCGAGACCTTAGGGAAGTTAATTCCCATCTCTGAGCTCAGTTTCCCGATTGGTAACATGGGGCTCTTATAAGGATTCCAGGTAACAGGTGAAAACCCCCAGTAGTGCTTGGTGGTAGTGGTGGGGGTGAGTAGAGGGGCAGTTCTGACTCACCAGAAGGTGAGGTTTGCCCTGTAGGAGAATAGGCCTGGGCCTGGTGGTCAAAGTCTGGGAGGGTGGATGAGTTTTGCTTCCTTTTCCAGGATGTTTATGACCTTTGGGCTGCTGAGGCTGGGCCTGGTGCCTGCCAGAGCTGCCAGTATCTTTCCCCCACTTGCTAAGAGGCCTGGGCACAGGGTGGCAATAAGGGAAAGTGTAATGTGTCAGGCCAGCTGCTGTTCATCCCTCCTCCTCCTTCTCTCTCTGCCCGAGGCTGGGAATCTGGGCAGCCAGGCCTCCTTCTCCTCCCTGTCCTCACCCAGCCTGCGTGCGGCATGGGGTCTCAACCCTCTCGTAGGCATAAGTGCTTTTACAGCTTTCACTTCCATTATTTCAATGATTCTTTACACAAACCCTGCCAGATGGGTCTTAGCCCTGTTTACCAGAGAAGTTCAGAGAGGTGAAGTGATCCTTGGAGATCACACAGCAATAGAGTACAGAGGGGCTCAGTTGAGGCCCCCGGAGGTGGGCTGGGCCCTGTTTCTGGGAATGCAGCCTCAGAAAATAGAGACCTAGCTTCTTATGGGTTTTTCTTTTCCTAAAACCTTGGCACCAAAACTCCCAACTGGGAAGTCTTTTCTCAGTACCCACCTTGGACTTTAGCCTTTCCATTTATCACAGGCTTTCCCCCCAGGGCGTCAGAAGTGAAGGGGGTGAGTTTAGGGGTTTCCACACTCACCACAGAATGTGGTTTTGGGACATGGAGAATTCGTTTCATTCTGGGTTTCACAGCCTCCACAGTGTCTCCACCTGGTCCGAGAGCGGTCTGTGACCTTTCCAAATCAAAAATAATGACAACATCCTGGGGAACGGTGGCAGTAAAAGCTGCCAGTTAGTGAATGGCTCCTACGTTATCAAGCCCTATTTACTGAGTGTTTTTTAGATATTAACTCTGTTCATCCTCAGGATAATCCCACAAATCAGGTGCTGTACCTATCCCCATTTTGCAGCTGAGGAAACTGAGGTTAGGAGTAATTAGGTAACTTGGCCAAGACTATATAGTTAGTAAGTAGTAGAGCTCAGATTTGAACACAGGGCCCCCAAGTGTGTAATCGCTATGCTGTTTCTGAAAATTAAATTCATCTTGATTTAAAAACAGAGCACTCATGCTCTTTATCCCACTTTCTGTATTTTTTGTAGTCCTGAAATATGTCATAAACAACCCCAAACCCTCAAACTCTGATGAGACAAATGGCACGTAGGTGGATTGGAATGCTTCCTGCATAGCCTTGAGTGAAAGAAAAACATTCTTTTTGTTTTGTTTCAACCCTTGGGTTAAAAAGTATTCTGAAAGCATCCTCACTGTCCTCCCTGGTCCCGCACAGTGCCAGAGCCGGGGGTCTTGGACTGAGTCAGAGTTGCATGGGTGCATCTGGAGGGACCTTGATTGGAGAGAGGTAAAGTCCGCTGTAGGGTGGGGCTGTCTTCTTTTTCTTTGCAGGGGTGAGGAAGAGGCTGGTTGCCACTTTCAGGCTGCCCTGGGCAGGTGATGTTACCTCCCTTAGCTCCAGTTTCCCCACCTGTGAAATGAGGCATGACTGCCATCTTAACCCAACTCTTCAGTCTCCCCACCTCTCCCTTTTAGACAACCCTTCTCCTGTGGCCTTGCTCCAGGCTACACAGTAGAATCACCTGGGAACTTTGTTTTAATTAATTAATTAATTAATTTGAGATGGAGTCTTGCTCTGTCGCCCAGGCTGGAGTGCAGTGGCACGATCTCGGCTCACTGCGACCTCTGCCTCCCGGGTTCAAGCAATTCTCCTGCCTCAGCCTCCCGAGTAGCTGGGACTACAGGCACGTGCCACTACGCCTAATTTTTTATATTTTTAGTAGAGACGGGGTTTCACTGTGTTAGCCAGGATGGTCTCGATCTCCTGACCTCGTGATCTGCCTGCCTCGGCCTCCCAAAGTGCTGGGATTACAGGCGTGAGCCACTGTGCCCGGCCCACCTGGGAACTTTAAAAAAAATTCCAGGCTTGGGCTCCACCCCAAGAACCCTGCTTCTGACCAAACCCCAAAAGCACCTTGAGATTCCCACTCACCACAGTGGAAGCCCCTGCCCTGCCTGCCCTCTCCTTCCGCCTCCTCCTTATCTCCTGCTTGCCTCTCTCCGTACATCTCCATAAAGGCTACTTCCTCCCCACCAGCTTCTATGATTGCAGCACGGTGTGTAGGATTTGGATGTCCTTAGATCTGGGTTTAAATTATGTCTCTACCACATACAAGTTTCCCTCATCTTTCAAGACCGAAACAAAAATCTCAGGTGCTCAGGTGCTCTCTTTGACATCACCTCCAGTTCATCTTCTCCCATTCTCTCTCTTTTCTTTATTATTATTATTATTATTTTTTAAATTTTAGAGATGGGGTCTCACATGTTTCCCAGGCTGGCCTTGAACTCTTGGCTCAAGTGATCCTCCAGCCTCAGCCTCCTGAGTAGCTGGGACTACAGGCACATGCCACTGTGTCCCCATTCTCTCAAACACATTTCAGCCAGGCTTTTGCCTCCAACTCTCAGGAGGAGCTGATCTCATAAGGAACACGGATGATCCTCATTCTAAACCATGACCCCTAGCTCCATACTGATGTGTGCGCTGTGTCCCCGCCTCTCGTTGGGATACCCGCTGCCCAGCGTGAGTGCCTGGTTCTCCCCCAGCCTACTCTGTCTCTAAACAGCCCCATCCCGCCTCCCAGTTGCTCTGTCCAGACACCTTGGAGTCATCTGACTCCTCTTTCCTTCACACCCCACCTCATTCCATCAGCACAGTCGGTGGGCTGCAGCTTCAAAGGAGATCCAGCATCCATTACTACTCATGCCCAGATCCCCCCTCTCTGCAGTTGCCTCCTAGCAGGCTCCCGCCTCCTCCTTGCACCCTACATCTCATCTCTTCTCAACGGAGCAGCCAGAGGGACCCTTTTAAAACCCAAGTTGGATCCTGAGTCTCCTGGGTTCTAAACTTGGCAGTGGCCCCTGCCAGTGACAGAGGCAAAGGTGTAGCGCTGTCAGGTGCTGCGTTGCCTTCCGGACCGGCTGCTTTTCTTGGACCCTCCGTTCTACCCCCGCTTCCCACCCTCTGCCCTCCCCGCACGCCTACTCCGGCCTCGTTGGCCTCCTTGCTGTTGCTCAGACACGCGCCCCGCTGGGGCCTTTGCTCGGCTGCTCCCCCTGCCGGAGGTGTTAGCCATCTGCAAGGCTCATCTCCGGCCTCCAGGCGAGGCCGCCTCCAGCTCGCTGCTCTGGGAGTCTCCCTGACTCTCTAATTCCTATTGCACCCCGTGCCCCCACCCCACCAGCGCTCAGCTCCCGACCCTGCTCCGCTCTGCTTTTTGTTTCTTTCTGTTGGTTTCGGATCTCTTCTCATATTCTAGATTATTTACTTATTTACTAAGGTGTGTGTGTGTGTGTGTGTGTGTGTGTGTGTGTGTGTTTTATAGTAGAGACGGGGTTTTGCCATGTTGGCGAGGCTGGTCTTGAACTCCTGACAGGTGATCCACCCGCCTCGGCCTCCCAGCGTGCTGGGATTACAGGCGTGAGCCACCGCGCCGGCCTACTAAGGTATTTTTTTAAAAACCTTTTGTCTCCTGTTACTGAACAAAAAGCTCCACGCCCTGATCACAGAGCCCAGGTGCCTAGATTGGTGCCGGGCGCACAGCTCAGCCAGTGTATGGGTTTCTAGGCCCTCCAAAGCAGAGGTGGGCATCCTCCCAAGGTGAAGGGGTTCTCCAGGGGTGTCGTTGGCCGCTTACACCGCGCTCTTGATGGCGGAAGAGGGGAATTGCCAAAAAGCTATAGTGATCCTGCATGTCAGCAACCCCCTCTTCTGTAATTGGTGCAGGCTCAGGTCTGAGAACCACAGCTGCGGATCAAGACTGCAGGCTTGGAGTCAGGAACCCCGTGAACTTGAGCACAGAGCGCGGGTCGGCTGTGTTGTCATTGCCCTGACATCGCTTGGGACTCCCTCAGTGCGTTAGTTCTTAAATTAAACAAACAAACAAACAAAGGGCCAGGCGCGGTGGCTCATGTCTGTAATCTTAGCACCTTGGGAGTCTGAGGCGGGTGGATCACGAGGTCAGGAGATCGAGACCATCCTGGCTAACATGGTGAAACGCTGTCTCTACTAAAAATACAAAAAATTAGCCCGGCATGGTGGCGGGCGCCTGTAGTCCCAGCTACTCGGGAGGCTGAGGCAGGAGAATGGCGTGAACCCGGGAGGCGGAGCTTGCAGGGAGCCGAGATCGCGCCACTGCACTCCAGCCTGGGCGACAGTGCGAGACTCCGTCTCAAAAACAAAAACAAAAACAAAAACAAAGAACAAAAAAGACACTGGACAGAGGGAATGAATAGATGGACATGTTTGTGATGAAGCAAATACAGTCACATAATTGCACAATCTGTGTGGCAGGTATACAGACGTTCATTAAAAAACTTCCTTTAACTTTGTTTTGTTTTGTTTTTTGAGACAGTCTCGCTCTTGTCGCCCAGGCTGGAGTACAATGGCGTGATCTTGGCTCACTGCAACCTCTGCCTCCTGAGTTTAAGCGATTCTCTTGCCTCAGCCTCCCGAGTAGCTGAGATTACAGGCGTGCTCCACCATGCCCAGCTCATTTTTTTTGTATTTTTAATAGAGATGGAGTTTCACCATGTTGGCCAGGCTGGTCTCGCACTCTTGACCTCAGGTGATCCACCCACCTTGGCTTCCCAAAGTGCTAGGATTACAAGGCGTGAGCCACTGCGCCCGGCCTCAATTTTGAACGTTTGAAAATTTTTCGTGATAAAATGTTGAGAAGCATGCTGTAAACTTAAAAGATACTCATTGCAGAAGACCTGGAATATATAGAAAAATAGAAGGAAGCAAAAATTATCACAAAAACCACGCTTAGCCCCAGCACCCAGAAACCAGAGGGAATGTCCATTAGGATATTGTTATAGAGCTTTCTAGTCTTTTTGCTTGTGTCTGTTTTGCTATTTTTACATGATAGTGATTGTATGGATTACCACTGATTCTGTCAAGTCTTAGCTCAATTTCTGGTTCTAAAATGAACACATGCTTATTTAAACATTTTGGAAAACTAGAAAATACTTTTTTTTTTTTGAGGCAGTCTTGCTCTGTCGCCTAGATTGGAGTGCAATGGCATCATCTGGGCTCACTGCAAGCTCCACTTCTCAGGTTCAAGCGATTCTCCAGCCTCAGCCTCCTGAGTAGCTGGGACTACAGGCATGTACCACCATGCCTGGCTAATTTTTGTATTTTTTGTAGAGACAGGGTTTCACCATGTTGGCCAGGCTGGTCTCAAACTCCTGACTTCAAGTGATCCACCTTCCTTGGCCTCCCAAAGTGCTGGGATTACAGGTGTGAGCCCCCGCGCCCGGCCTAGAATATAATTAAAAAGAAAATTAATACCTTCAATTGAGAGGCAGTTTCATGAGGTTTGGCAACAGACAATATCTACATTTCCCAACTTAAAAACTGCAAGTCCATCAACATGAGTATTTTTTCCCTTTAAATACTTTTTAACATTTTTATTGTCAAAGTAATTCATATTAATAAAATTCAAACAATAAAATAATATAACATGAAATATAAAAGTTCTGAATCCCAACCACGCACTGTTGCGTATGTAATATATAACAGCTTGGTTATTTTCCTTAGCTCATATGTAGTGTATAATACGTTTTCTGTATAAATGTATAAAAAAGTCTATTATATGTATATATATTATTGAAAAAGGCTGGAGTGCAGTGGCGTGATCTCAGCTCACTGCAACCTCCACCTCCCAGGTTCAAGTGATTCTCTTGCCTCAGCTTCTCGAGTGGCTGGGACTCCAGGCATGTGCCACTATGCCCAGCTAATTTTTGTATTTTCAGTACAGACAGGGTTTTGCCATGTTGGCCAGGCTGGTCTCAAACTCCTAACCCCAAGTGATCCACCCACCTTGGCCTCCCAAAGTGCTGGGATTACAGGCATGAGCCACTGTGCCCGGCCTAAAAATGTATTTTAAGCAACAATGGAATAATAATGTCTTTCAACTTGCTTTTCTCAATTAATATTTCCATGCCTGCTCATGTAAATTCACCTTACTCTCTCTAATATCTCTGTCTGTGTGTGTGTGTGTGTGTGTGTGTGTGTGTGTGTGTGTGTGTGTGTGTGTAGGATAATTTACTTAACTAGCCCTTTTTGATGGTTGTTAGGGTTTTTTTTTCTTTTCTTTTTTTTCCTTCAACTTTTATTTTAAGTTCCAGGGTACATGTGCAGGATGTGCAGGTTTGTCACAAAGGTAAAAGTGTGCCATGGTGGTTTGCTGCACAGATCAACCCCATTACCTGGGTATTAAGCCCGGCATCCAAGCTGTTTTTTTCAATGTGAATTTCAGAGACCAGAAATTGCTCCTCAGTTTGCTTGCTAAGGAAAATGGTTGCTATGCAGCTCTTGGTAACACTGCTTTTGTGGAAAGATAAAGGCTTTTTGTTCTGAAATCCCGTGGGTGCAGAGTCTCAACTCTGCCATTGTTGTTGCGTGAGCTGTGTGGGAGAGCCTTGGTCACTGTGTGGGCTGGGGTTCTCCTGAACTTTGCCATGGAGGAGGCAGTTCTCTTCTCAGGCACTCTGCTGGCCCTGACCTTGATCCTGGAACAGAGAACTACCTGACAAGGCAGTGCAGTAGCATTCCTGGAATCAATGTAGGTTCTTTTACAATAGGGGTTGGCAAACTTTTCCTGTAAATGGACAGATAGTAAACATTTTATTATTTTATTTATTTTTTGAGATAGAGTCTTGCTCTGTTGCCCAGGCTGGAGTGCAATGGCGTGATCTCAGCTCACTGCAACCTCCGCCTCTGGGTTCAAGCGATTCTCCCTGCCTCAGCCTCCTGAGTAGCTGGGACTACGGGAGCCTGCCAACAGGCGTGGCTAATTTTTGTATTTTTAGTAGAGACAGTGTTTCACCAAGTTGGCCAGGCTGATCTCGAACTCCTGACCTCAAGTGATCTGCCTGCCTTGGCCTCCCAAAGTTCTGGGATTACAGGCATGAGCCGCTGCGCCTGGCCATCATAGTAAGCATTTTAGATCTTGCAGGCTATATGGTCTCTGTCACAACTATTCAACCCTGCTGTTGTAGAGAGGAGCCAGGGTAGACACAATGTAAATGTATGAGCCTGGCGATGTTCCACTAAAGCATTATGGACACTGAAATTTGAATTTCATATAATTTTCATGTGTCACAAAATACTATTCCTCCTTTGACTTTTCCCCCAAGCATTAAAAAAAAAAAAGTACAAACCATTCTTAGCTTGCAGGCAGACCTCTTGCAGGCAGAGGTCCAAATTTGGCCCATGAACTGCAGTTTTCATACTTCTAAATTTAGAACATGAGTTTTTGGATTCTTAGTTTTGATTCAGCTGAGATGGGTGACGTGTATAATGATAAGTACTTGTTTTTCTAGGTGGATCTTAGTGGTAGAGGTGAATTATTCATATCTTCATTTCATAGCGCCCTGTCCTTGCTGGTCCCTACAAGACTCCCCTGTCTTCTGTGTTTATTTGTTCCCTTTAATCATCATTTTTTTTTTTTTTGAGACAGTTTCACTGTCACCCAGGCTGGAGGGCAGTGGTGCGATCTTGGCTCACTGCAACCTCCGCCTCCTGGGTTCAAGTGATTCTCCTGCCTCAGCCTCCCAAGTAGCTGGTATTACAGATGTGCACCACCACGCCTGGCTAATTTTTGTATTTTTAGTAGAGACGGGGGGTTTCACCATATTGGCCAGGCTCGTCTCAAACTTCTGACTTCACGTGATCTGCCTGCCTCGGCCTCCCAAAGTGCTGAGATTACAGGTATGAGCCACTGTGCCTGGCCTCCTTTTGTTTTTTTTTTTTTTTTTGAGACAGAGTTTCGCTCTTGTCACCCAGGCTGGAATGCAATGGTGCAATCTCTGCTCACTGCAACCCCCACCACCTCCTGGGTTCAAGCAATTCTCCAGCCTCAGCCTCTCGAGTAGCTGGGATTACTGGCGTACGCCACCACGTCTGGCTAATTTTTTTTATTTTTGGTAGAGGCAGGGCTTCACCATGTTGGCCAGCCTGGTCTTGAACTCCTGACCTCGGGTGATCCGCCCACCTTGGCCTCCCAAAGTGTTGGGATTACAGGCGTGAGCCACTGCATCCGGCCATGTATCTTTAATTTATATAAGTGGCATTTTGTTACAGAGCTCATCCCCATTTTTCCACTTCGCAGTGTCTTTTAAAGATATCCAACTTGCCAAGTGACCATCAAACCCTTGCTCCTAACTAGTGTGTAGGGCTCCATAGGTGAGCCCACTGTCTTTTACTTCATTTTCAAAAAGAAGTTGTCTTGAGTGAGATTATGTGTTGAGCTTGAGCGTAATTATGTGTTGAGCTTGGGAATATGTATCTCTTGCCCTTACAAAGAATAGGCAGATTGGCTGAATGTCAAAAAAAAAAAAAAATTACAGCTTTTTTCCCTTCTAAACTGTAAATAAATATTTAAAATTTATTTATTATTATTATTTTTTGAGATGGAGTCTCACTCTGTCACCCAGGCTGGCGGATCACAAGGTCAGGAGATCGCGACCATCATGGCTAACATGGTGAAACCCCATCTCTACTAAAAATACAAAAAAATAGCCGGATGTGGTGGCAGGCGCCTGTAGTCCCAGCTACTTGGGAGGCTGAGGTGGGAGAATGACATGAACCCGGGAAGCGGAGCTTGCAGTGAGCCGAGATCGTGCCACTGTACTCCAGCCTGGGTGACAGAGAGAGACTCTGCCTCAAAAAAAAAAAAAAAAATTTTTTTTTTTGTTTAATTTTTATTTATTTTTAAAATTTAGTTTCTTAAAAAAAATTAAGTTATAACTTACCCTTTCAGTGTTTACTTCTGTGAGTCTTAATAAACACATGTAATTGCAGAATGGTTGCCACATTCAGGATGTAGAAGAGTAGGCCGGGCGTGGTGGCTCACGCCTGTAATCCCAGAACTTTGGGAGGCTGAGACGGGTGGATCACCTGAGGTTGGGAGTTCAAGACCAGCCTGGCCAACATGGTGAAACCCCATCTCTACTAAAAATACAAAAAATTAGCCAGGCGTGGTGGCATACGCCTGTAGTCCCAGCTGCTTGGGAGGCTGAGGCAGGAGAATCGCTTGAACCCGGGAGGTGGAGGTTGCAGTGAGCCGAGATCGCACCACTGCACTCCAGCCTGGGAGACAGAGCGAGAGTCTGTCTCAAACAAAACAAAACAAAACAAAACAAAACAAAAAAAACAAAAAAACCATGAAGATGTAGAAGAGTATAGAAATTTTACCCCTGAAATTCCCTCACGCCTCTTGCTAGTCAGTCCCTCTCCTCAACCCCTGTGACAATCACAGATCACTTTTCCGTGCTGTAGTTATGCCTGCTCTGGAATGACATATAGATGGAATCATACAGTATGTGGCTTTTTGGGTATGACTTTTTCACTCTTCCTTTTTAGATAACGGAATACTTTTTCTGTCTGAACCATTATAATATTTTAAATTATTTTTTGTCATCGTAATAACTTCTGTTTTAAAAAATGCAGCATGGGGCTGGGCGCGATGGCACGTGCCTGTAATCCCAGCACTTTGGGAGGCCGAAGTGGGAGGTTCCCTTGAGCCCAGGAGTTTGACACCAGCTGGGCAACAAGGCAAAACCCTGTGTTTACTAAAAATATGTAAAAATTAGCCAGGCATGGTGGTGTGCACCTGTGCTCCCAACTATTTGGGAGGCTGAGGTGGGAAGATGACCTGAGCCTGGGGAGGTTGAGGCTGCAGTGAGCCACGATCATGCCACTACACTCCAGCCTGGGCAACAGAGTGAGATCCTGTCTTAAAAAGAAAAAATAAAGGCAGCATGTTCTATGTGAGGGCTCCTCTCATTGGTGTTTATGTGGAGCAGGTGAGCTCTTTGGCTCTGCACACTGCCAGCTGCTTATTACTCAACATGGTCTTACTGATGTCCACACCATCTCTTTCCAACCTGCAGCCTCCCTCAGGGATGGGTACCCACCCAGTCTTTATGTCCTTGTCTGTTTGAGGAGATCCCTGTTTAAATTCCTTTTTGGGGATTCTTGAATCCCCAAACTCTGACCAAACAATTAATACTCTTTTTTTTTTCCTGGAAAACAATGGGATTCATAAATTGTGACCATTGTCCATTGTTCTGAAATAGGTTCTCAGTAAGAACTGAGTGCCCTCTATTTTGGAAAAGAAATTATATTTACTGCAACAAAAGAACATGATTTATCTGTAAAATTCCCTGCCACACATGCTACCTGTTTGTAGTTTTAATGTTTCTGTGAAATAATAAGCAAACTGGCCTTTGACCCGCCTTCATAGGCGTTGTAGAGTTGTGATTGGCTGTTAACCACTGCCCATCATTTGCGCCCAGGGGAGGTCAGCCGAGGATGAGTCCTCCCCATGCCTCATCCTTGATGGAATGTCTCTGGTAGGGCCACCAAGCTTGCTGGCGAGATGTGGGAAAACCCCTATGGATCTGACTCAAGGTGCAAGCAAGCCGGAGTCCTCACCCCATATCTTCACTGTGCTGAGGGCAGTTTAGCCCTGACTGTGGCTGAAGACTCCAGCAAAGGATGAAGGGGCCAGAACCAGCCTCTGATGGGCTCTGTCTCTAGGTGTTCTGAAAGGTTGATTTCTTTGCTCATTAAAGGGGTTTAAAGGTTGGCCTGGAGAAGTTCTTTACCCCTGATTCTAGTGAGAGTCGGAACTTCCCCTCCCCCAGCACTCAGTGCAGGGTCTGATTCTGGGATGTGGTTAATGCTGAATGGACGTGGATAATGTTGAATGGATGGGATCTTGAACCTCTCTGAAGTTTTCTCAAACTCTGCCCCATGCTCCCCTAACAGGGTGAGAGCATTTACTGCACCCTCCCTACCTTCCCCTTCTCACATACGCACACTCACTCTCACACGTAGTCTCACACTCATGCATCCACCCTCACACACATACTCACTCAATGTGAACATGCACACCTTAGCATCAGGCTGAGCAGCCGGGGGACATTACTGCTGGAGACTGATGCCAGTTCTCCATTAGGCCCAGGCCAGGTGTTGGGGAGTGTCTGTGGAATGCCCTCCAGATCTGGCAGCCTCTGGCATGGACCCCAGGTGGGCAGCTCTAGTCACATAACTGGTGGTGTTTCCTGATGGTCAGACTGGGCTGGGAATCAGCCAACTGGGCGTTCAGTCCTGGCCAAGTCACTCATGAGTTATATGTCTTTGCACAAATTCTTTTACATTTCTAGGCCTTGATTTCCTCATCCATAAAATGGGGTTCATCATTGGATGGTTGTGTGGATTTATTGAGCCATCTTGTAAAACATGGAGAGTGGAGTGCTTGGCTCAGAGTAAGAGTTCAATAAATAATATTCCTAGAAATAATAAGGCAGAGACTCCAGCTCATGAAGAAACCTTTTAGGTTTGCACTTGGCAATTTGTATTGACAGAAGGGCAGGCCCATGGTGCCTGCAGGTCTGGGTCACAAGCTTGTGAAGTTGGACTGGCATTGGACCTGGCAGAGCAGGGCTCAGGACATATGTTCTGCTGAGCTGATAGCTGGGGACCACTCAGCTGCACCTTCCTCACTGAGCCCTGTCCTGGTTCCACGATCTCATGCTCCCTCTAACAGCCCTGTTCTTGGTTTTGCAGCCAGAGCCTAAGCCTGGAGACCTGATTGAGATTTTTCGCCCTTTCTACAGACACTGGGCCATCTATGTTGGCGATGGATATGTGGTTCATCTGGCCCCTCCAAGTAAGAACACATGGGACCTCCACTGTGATGGGCCCCAGGGGCTGGGAAGAGAGGGGATGGGGAACTGTGGGTAACAGGTGACCCCAACATTCTTCTTGCTTCCCAACTGGCAGTTGTCTCTGAATGTTACAAGAAGTTTGATATGGGGCAGTTTGGTGTGGGGCACTGGTTTTCAAGGTCTGCTCCTGGGAACCTCAGGGGGTTCTTTAGAGCAGGGGTCCCCAACCTCCAGGCCATGGACTGGTACTGGGTAGGAACTGGGCTCCAGAGCAGGAGGTGAGTGGTGGGCAAGTGAGCGAAACTTCATCTGTATTTGCAGCTGCTCCCCATCGCTTGTATTACCGCCTGAGCTCCACCTCCTGTCAGATCAGCAGCGGCATTAGATTCTCATAGGAGCATGAACCCTACTGTGAACTGCACACGCAAGGGATCTAGGTTGCACACTCCTTGTATTAGTCTGTTTTCACACTGCTATAAAGAACTACCCGAGACTGGGTAATTTATAAAGAAAAGAGTTTTGTTTTTTGTTTTTTTTGAGACAGAGTCTTGCTCTGTCACTCAGGCTGGAGTGCAGTGGCGCAATCTCGGCTTACTGCAAGCTCCGCCTCCTGGGTTTACGCCATTCTCCTGCCTCAGCCTCCTGAGTAGCTGGGACTACTCAGGTGCCTGCCACCACACCTGGCTAATTTTTTGTATTTTTAGTAGAGACGGGGTTTCACCGTGTTAGCCAGGATGGTCTCGATCTCCTGACCTCGTGATCCACCTGCCTCAGCCTCCCAAAATGCTGGGATTGCAGGCGTGAGCCACCGCGCCCGGCCCTTCAGAAAGAGGTTTAATTGACTCACAGTTCTGCATGGCTGGGGACGCCTCAGGAAACTTACCATCATGGCAGAAGGTGAAGGGGAAGCAAGGCAGGTCTTATATGGTGGCAGGAGGCGGGGGAGTGCCACACTTTTTTTTTTTTTAGATGGAGTTTCGCTTTTCTTGCCCAGGGTAGAGTGCCATGGCACAATCTCGGCTCACTGGAAACTCCACCTCCCAGGTTCAAGTGATTCTCCTATTTCAGCCTCCCGAGTAGCTGGGATTACAGGCACCTGCCACCACGCCCGACTAATTTTTCTATTTTTAGTAGAGATGGATTTTCATCATATTGGTCAGGCTGGTCTTGAACTCTGGACCTCGGGAGATCCACCTGCCTCAGCCTCCCAAAGTGCTGGGATTACAGACATGAGCCACCATGTCCGGAGTGCCACACTTCTAAACCATCAGATCTTGTGAGAACTCACTCATTATCATGAGAACAGCATGAGGGAAATCTCGCTCATGATTCAGTCACCTCCCATATAGTCCCTCCCCTGACACATGGGGATTACAGTTTGACATGAGATTTGGGTGGGGATACAGAGCCAAACCATATCACTCCTTATGAGAATCTAATGCCTGATGATCTGTCACTGTCACCCGTCACCCCAGAAGGGACCATCTAGTTGCAGGAAAACAAGCTCAGGGCTCCTACTGATTCTGCATTATCGTCAGTTGTATGATTATTTCATTATATATTACAATGTAATAATAATAGAAATAAAGTACACAATAAATGTCATGTGCTTGAATCATCCCGAAACCATCCCTCCCCACTGCCGAGTCCATGGAAAAATTGTCTTCCACAAAACCAGTCCCTGGTGCTAAAAAGGTTGGGGACCGCTGCTGTAGAGGGACCAAGGTGGCATCTGAGGACGAAGCTCTGTTTTGATGTGTTTTTTATGCCGTGACTTTGTATGCAACACACTCAACTCTTTTTTTTTTTTTTTTTTTTTTTTTTTGACAGAGTCTCGCTCTGTCGCCCAGGCTGGAGTGTAGTGGCGCGATCTCGGCTCACTGCAAGCTCTGCCTCCGGGTTCACGCCGTTCTCCTGCCTCAGGCTCCTGAGTAGCTGGGACTACAGGCACCTGGCACCACCCCTGGCTAATTTTTTGTATTTTTAGTAGAGACGGGGTTTCACTGTGTTAGCCAGGATGGTCTCGATCTCCTGACCTCGTGATCCGCCTTCCTTGGCCTCCCACAGTGCTGGGATTACAGGCGTGAGCCACTGTGCCCGGCCGCAACACACTCAACTCTTAAGCGTAAAGCTCCTGGGAAGAGTGCAGGTGTTTGGGCAGAGAGACTTGGTTATGAATCCAGTTTCCATTCTTCAGCCTTGATTTCCTTTTTTGCAAACTGAGGATATGAATACTTAACTTGGAGAACTCTTGTGAGAATTCCTCACCCTTCTCTTAAGCCTTTAACTTAAACTGGGGTATAACATAAGTATTGTAAAATGTACAAGCATAGTAAAGTATACAGTCAGTGAATTAAAAAAAACCATCCATGTAACAGTGCCCCAGATCCACATCTAGAACATTCCCACTGTGCCACTTACCCTGAAAGGCTCTCTCATGCTTCTACAATATGCCTCCCCACGCCTCGCCCAGGCAACCATCATTCTAGCTTTTCCTGCCATAGATGAGTTTTGCCTGTTCTAGAACTTCATGGAAGAGGTATCACACGGCCCGTGCTCTTTTGTGTCTGGCTTCTTTTAGCCAACATCATGCCCATGTGAGTCATCCATGCTGCTGTGAGTAGCAGGAATTCTTTTTCACTGCTGTGTATTTTCTGTTATATGAATATGCTACAATTTAGCATCCATTTTTCTGACATCAGACTCATTGCAGGTTTTGACTGCTATGAATAGAGCTGTTATAGACACTCTTTTTTTTTTTTTTTTTTTTCCGAGACGGAGTCTTGCTCTGTGGCCCAGGCTGGAGTGCAGGGGCATGATCTTGGCTCACTGCAACCTCCACCTCCTGCTTTTAAGCGAGTCTCCTGCCTCAGCCTCTGGAGTAGCTGGGATTACAGGCACGCACCACCATGCCCAGCTAATTTTTGTATTTTTAGTAGAGATGGGATTTCACCATGTTGGCCAGGCTGGTCTCAAACCCCTGACCTCAAGTGATCTGCCTGCCTCGGCCTCCCAAAGTGCTGAGATTACAGGCGTGAGCCACCGCGCACGGCCCTTGAACATGTCTTTTGCATATCGTTTTAATTCTAACTAGTGGCCTCACCCTATCAGTAGTAACCAGAGTAGATGTCATCTTCCCCACCCTGAGCCCCTTACCCATGTACCCCCACCCCCTCCTCTTCCTTTCATAAGCACTTTGCTCCTCAAATTCCCCACCTCCTTCTGTATTGTCATCTTCTCCCTTTCAACTGGATCATTCGTATTGACATAGAGACAGCTGTAATATATCCCGTTGATCAAACGCCCGGCCTCACATCCTTCTCTGCTTAACGCCCTACAGAGCAGATCTCATTACAGCTTTGTCTGCCTGGCCACCTCCGGTTCCTCGCTTCCCATTCTGCCTTCCATCCCCTATACCCACACTTTCTTTTTTCTTTTTCTTTTTTTCTTTTTTTTGAGATGGAGTTTTGCTCTCAGACTCTCTTTTTTTGCCCCCCTGACAGAGCAGTTCTCAAGGGTAGGGAAAAGCTTCCACATCTTGCCAAAGCTTAAAGCCAAGTCCCATCACAGCTGACTTGGCTTCTCTGCAGCATTTGATGTGAGTGACCTTCCTGCTCTCCACCTGGCACCTGACTTTCTTCCTCTCCCTCTGGGCCCTTCTTTTTTGGTCTCTTGTGTGGGCTCCTCCTCCTCTCTCATTTCCCTAAATCGAGCTCAGATGACCTCATTGGATTCCTTAGCTTCCAATACCTTCTATTTGTCAATATCTCCTAAGCCCAAACCCTCAATTTACATCCCCCTTCAGCTTCAGACTTGCATAACCTCTTGACTACTTGGTAACTCCACTTGGGTGTCTACCTGGCATCTTGAACTTGATCTGCCCCAAATGGGAGGCTCCAGTGGAAGACACCATTCAGCTGCTCAGGCCTAAAGCCTAGGAGTCATTCTCCGTTCCTTCCAACCCATGTCTAATCTATCAGGGAATCCTGTTGGCTTTATCTCTGAAACAGACCCCAGCTCTGACCACTTCTTACCATCCCCACTGCAGCGCCCTGGTATGAGCAACCACCCTCCCTCGCCTGGTGGCAGTGTCACTTCTGGCTGGTCTCTCTGCCTCTTGCCACTCACGGCCAGTTCCTCATTCATGGGCAGGTGGTGTGATTGTTTGAAAGCGTAAATCAAGGGCCAGGTGCGGTGGCTCATGCCTGTAATCCCAGTATTTTGGGAGGCTGAGGTGGGTGAATCACCTGAGATCAGGAGTTTGAGACCAGCCTGGCCAACATGGCGAAACCCCGTCTCTATTAAAAATACAAAAATTAGTCGGGCATGGTGACGCGCCACTGTAGTCCTATCTACTTGGAGGCTGAGGCACGAGCAGGAGGCGGAGGCTGAGGCACGAGCAGGAGGCGGAGGCTGCAGTGAACCAAGATTGCACCACTGCACTCCAGCCTGGGTGACAGAGTGAAACCCCGTCTCAAAAAAACAAACCAAAACCAAACCAAAACAAAGCATCAAAGTCTACACTGTGGCCTGTAGGGCCCGGCCTGGTCTGGCCTGGTCTGTGACTTTGGGCCTCGTCTTTCTCTTCTCCCCTCCTGGGTCTCTAGACTCCAGCAACGTTGGCCTCCTTGCTGCCTCTTGGCATGCCAAGCTCTCTCCTCCCTGCAGACTTCATTCCTGCTGTTCCTTCTGTTCTAGATGCTTCATCATTCAAGCTTCAGCAAAGATGCCTTTTCCTTGGGGTGGCCTCCCCAGCCTGAGCAACAGCAGCCTCTGCTGGTCATCCTTGCCATGTCACTCCACTCTGTCTTTCCATAGTGTCTGTTGGTACCTGCAAGTATCTTATTTTGTGTATTTGTTCATTGTCAGCGTCTTCTCAGTAGCATGGGAATTGCTTGAGGGCAGGCCTGCTGTCCAGATCACGTCACTGACTTCAGCACCTTGGACAAGGCCCGGCACCCAGTAGGGCCTCAGTATTGATTGGCTGCACTGAGCAGGTGTGTGTGGTAGATAGAGGGTTGGGGAAGGCATGACAAGCACCCGGGTGGACAGGTGGACAGGTGTGTCACAGACCATCAGGTCAGTGATACTCCTTCAAAGGAAAAGATGCTTCTACCTGCATCTCACTTGAGTTTCACAGGAGTCATGTGGGATAGATGAGGCAAGGAGGACTGACCTTCTGCTGCTGAGAAAACTGTAGAAATTAGAGCTGGAAGGAAGCTTATAAACTTGCTGAAGTGCCTGTCCTGTGCCAGACACTGGTGAAAGCATGTTTTCTGGCCAACCCCTTTAATCCTCACAGCTGCCTGTGCAGTAGGGACTATTTTTGTTTCTATCCTACAAGGAATGGGGGACTCAGAGAAGTTAAGAAACTTACCCAAGGTTGCATAATGGTAAGGGGTGCAGGCAGGACCCAAACCCAGGCAGTCTGACTTGATTCTGTGCACTTAACCACAATGCTGCACTGCCCAGTCCAAGCTATCCCAAAATTCAGTCGCTGATGGATTGCCACATCCACATGCTCTTTCTGTGATTGTTCACTTCATATTTTCTTCAGTAGACTCACTTTTTAAAAGAAGGAACTTTAGGCCAGGTGTGGTGGCTCACACCTGTAATCCCAGAACTTTGGGAGGCCGAGGTGGGTGGATTGCTTGAGCTCGGACCAGGCTTGAGTTCGAGACCAGCCTGGCCAACATGGTGAAACCCCATCTCTACTGAAAATATAAAAATTAGCTGGGCATGGTGGTGCACACCTGTAGTCCCAGCTACTCAGGAGGTTGAGGCATGAGAATCGCTTGAACTGAGGAGGAGGAGGTTGCAGCGAGCCAAGATCACACCACTGCATTTCAGCCTGGGCAATGGAGTGAGACTCTGTCTCAAAATAAGAAAAAAAAAAGAAGGAACTTTAAATTACTGTGTTGATATGTATTTGTGCATCAATTTTAGTGTGTATTTGGGGATTTCTGGAGCAAAGTGAAGTGACAGGTCCAGACCACTCAGCTGGTTGGTGATGTGCTGGGGTCGAACCCAGAGCTTCTCACCGCCAGCTTGAGCACAGGGTACCCCTGTCCTGGGTGGCATCTAGATATAAGTTTAAGGAAGTCCTCACTCTTGGTTGTTGACTCTGCACTTGCATGGCCCTGAGATTTGGTGCCTCCTTAAACTTTGGGCTCTAGGCAACTTGCTTGCCTCTTCCGAGTCCCTGCGCTGTCACCCACTTTGCCTGGGAGCTGAGGCTGGGTGGGCCCCAGGAGCTCATCCTCCCGACAAACGCAGGGCTCCAATAAGGCACCCTCTCTTTTATTTACTTCAATGAATCTTCCAAGCTTCACGTGCCCTTTTCCTATCAAGTCTGAATTCCCTAAATTTCTAATATCTTGGCATTGCATGTAGGCATTGCATGCAGGCTGAAAAGGTTTATTGGTCTTTGGAAAGCGGAGAAGAGCAGGACCTGAAATCTAATCGGCCTCTCCTGCTGTTGCTGTCACACGGATGTCATTGTTGAAGACTGGTCCTACCCAGTTTAACAGGGTGCTGCTGTGGCACCCTGGGGGCCTTGACCCTGACAGGGTCACAGTGGCTGTTTGAGGAGAGTGAGAGTGAACCTCCTTTGACATGCTCCCTGGGTGCGTAGGCCCATCCCTTGAGTGCATACCTACTTTTTCTTTTTCTTTTTTTCCTAAGGCAAGATCTCACTCTGTTGTCCAGGTCGGAGTGCAGCGGCGCAATCTCAGCTGACTGCAACCTAAACCTCCAGGGCTCAAGTGATCCTCCTGCCTCAGCCTCCTGAGTAGCTGGGATCACAGGTGCACACCACCATACACGGCTAGTTTTTGTATTTTTTGTAGAGACGGAGTTTTGCCATGTTGCCCAGGCTTGTCTGAAACTCCTGGGCTTAAGCGATCTGCCTGCCTTGGCCTCCCAAAGTGCTGGGATTACAGGTATGAGCCACTGTGCCCAGCCCATCCCCACTTTTTCAATCATCATACTCAGTGCCTGCCTCTCCCTGCGCCACACAGGTTGTTTGAGTTGGGAGGAATGCCCAGTCTGTGTTGGCATCAGCTTTCCCTGTCCACCATCCTGGTCTTCATGTTGAACCTGGACTCCTTGTCTTCAAGATCATTTCATTTCTGGAGCTTTGTGGCCCTTCCTTGCCCTGGGCCTTGGCCTGGGCTGTGCCCATGTACCCACTAAGCCTCCTTAGCATCCATCACAGCTAGGGGGACAGCTGTGCGTTTTGGTGGGTCTGTTTCCAGAAGGGCTGGGACTCTGGAAAACCCAGCCATGTTTTCTGCAGTAAGCAGCTTTGTGTGGTCAAGTAGGTGTAGCCCTGATGCCATCATAAAAGTCTCCCACCTTATCTTCCCAGGTGGATGAGTATGCTCTTGGCTCATATTTGCATAACCAAGGGGGCCACTTAAGTGTCATGAGGTATAGAAGACCACCTTCTCTAGAGTAAGAAAAAAATCACAGTAAATCATGGAACTTCACTCCCTTTCATTTTAGATAAGGAAACCAGGGCCCAGAGACCACACACACCTTCCCCAAGGCCCACAGCCATGCGTCTGACCCTTCCACTTGTTGCTTATCCTTTGTGGATGAGCCAAGGGCAGATGCCCGGCTGGGGGCCAGCTCTGAGCCTCCGTGGCCCTTCCCAGGACCAATCCCTCTGTTTCCTCTTTGTGGATCTGCAGGTGAGGTCGCAGGAGCTGGTGCAGCCAGTGTCATGTCCGCCCTGACTGACAAGGCCATCGTGAAGAAGGAATTGCTGTATGATGTGGCCGGGAGTGACAAGTACCAGGTCAACAACAAACATGATGACAAGTACTCGCCGCTGCCCTGCAGCAAAATCATCCAGCGGGCGGAGGAGCTGGTGGGGCAGGAGGTGCTCTACAAGCTGACCAGTGAGAACTGCGAGCACTTTGTGAATGAGCTGCGCTATGGAGTCGCCCGCAGTGACCAGGTGCGTCCTCTGCCTGTGTCGCCTTCCCCAGGAACCAGACCATTCCCTCTGCTGACGGAGGCTGGGCATGGCTATGGAGGCATGAACAAGACAAAATAGCAGAGACAGAATTACTGCCCTTGAGGATGTCACAGTTGGGACAAGGGTGGGGACAAGGGTGGGGAGAGAGGCAAGTTGGCAATGCAGATCAGTGTAGTCGGGGGCGGGGGTGGGTGGCCAAGGAAAGGAGTCACAGACATGATGATCATTCCCATTGCCAAGCCCTCCCTGGCCACCTGTCCCTGAGATGGCCCTCCCCAGCCCTAAAGGCAGGTTTTAGGACCCACTACCTTACAGATTGGGAAACTGAGCTTAAGTAACTTGTCTACAGCCATTCATTTCATCAAAAAAATCTTTGTTGAGTCTCCAGACCTGGTACCTGTCTTTTCCTGTGCAGATAATTAGCAGAGTTGGGATTTGAAGCCCAGGTCTGTGTGGCATAGCCTGATCGTGCTTATAAACAGCACTGTCTTCAGCCTGGCTGAACCCTAAGGGTGAATCTGGGAGACCCTAGGGGATGCAGTTTTGTTCATTTACTTGATTTTATTTTTGTCTTTCCTCTCCTTTCAATCTCTTTTTCTCTTCTCATTTCCTTGCACTTCTTCCCCCTCCCTTTCAGCCACTTCCATCTTTTTTTTTTTTTTTTTCTTTGCATAGGTGAAAAGAACATTGGGAAGGTTCTTACATGGCTGTTGATGCAAAAGAATACATATTTTTTTCAGTGAATGATTAGCTTAAGATCCATCAGGCTGTTCACTTTTATTATTATTTTTTTTGAGATCCAATTTCTTCTTCCCTGGTCAGTGTGGTGGTTAAGAGCCTGGGCTCCTGGAGTCAGGCCAACGTGGGCTGGACCTGGTCTCTGCCTTTTGCCGGCTGTCTGACCTCAGGAGAGTTAGTCCAGCTCCCTACACTTTGGTAAAGTACGAATGATAATACTCATCTTGGAGGATTACCTTGTGAATTAAATAAGAGCATGTTTATTCTTAGCACACTGAATACATTGTAGTAGTAAAAATAGTCATGATTATCCTCATTTTTTTTTTTTAAATTATCCTCCTCTTTTTTTTTTTTTTTTTTTTTGCTTGGCTCATCCATTGCCTGGTCCCCTGGCCTCTGTGGGCCACAGCCACTTGAATGGGAAGACACTGACTAACACCACCTATAGGAATCACTCTTACTCTCTTCATACTGCTGATAACCAGCTGTGCTTACTACACCAACCCTCATGTTTGTTAGGCGGTTCCTATACCTGTCTACAGTGGGATATTAGTTACCTTTGAATGGGTATCCTCTTATTTTTTTCTTCGATCAGTTGGGTTATTCATGTTCAACAACTATTTATATATGAATGTTAAAGGTGATCAACTTAGAAATTGAGTAGGTGGTACATAGCTAACTAGGTAAAGAAAGGGCAATATTGCCAATGTTTGTGAAGATTGCAGTCTGTTGGTCATGGTCTGGCTTCAACTTCCCTGAGAGTTGATAAGAGCTTTCTTCTGGGGAATCAGTGGGCAGGGCCATGAGAAGAACTTCATTAGTGCCTGAATATTGTCAGGTTAAAAAGGTGATGCAGTGAAAGAAAGCAGGAGACCAGGGGATGGTGGCACTTACTACATCTATCTCTTGGGGATAACAGCCTTCAAAACATTTGTGTCTTGTTTTTCTTTTCTTAAAACAATTTTATTTTAGGCCGGGCACAGTGGCTCGCACCTGTAATCCCAGCACTTTGGGAGACTAAGGCGGGCAGACCACTTGCGGTCAGGAGTTTGAGACCAGCCTGGCCAACATGGTGAAACCCCATCTCTACTAAAAATACAAAAATTAGCCGGGCATGGTGCTGGGCATCTGTAATCTCAGCTACTCAGGAGGCTGAGGCAAGAGAATCACTTGAATCCGGGAGGCAGAGGTTGCAGTGAGCCGAGATCACACCACTGCACTCCAGCCTAGGTGACAGAGCAAGACCCAGTCTCAAAAAAAATTTTTTTTATTTTATTGTTTTTTATTTTAATAGAGATGAGGTCTCACTCTGTTGCCAAGGCTGGTCTTGAACTCCTGAGCTCAAATGATCCTAACGCCTCAGCCTCCCAAAGTGCTAGGATTACAGGCATAAGCCACTGTGCCCGGCCACATTTGTCTCTTGTCACACTTGATGAGGCATTGCTGTCATCTTGGTATCTCTCTTTACTAGCATCCTAGAAATTTCTTTCAGTTCCCTGCTATATTAATGCTTTTATCCTCTGTAGTTCACATCCTTCTCTTTTTTGGTTTATGCCCTTGTTTTGGTAGACTACTTCCCCTAATAGTTTACTGAGAAATGGTACATTTTAAAAAGATCCCTAGGCAGGCATGGTGACATGCGCCTGTAATCCCAGCTACTGGTGAGGCTGAGGCACGAGAATTGCTTGGACCCAGGAGGCAGAGGTTGCAGTGAGCCGAGATCACGCCACTGTACTCCAGCCTGGGTGACAGAGTGAGACTTGGTCAGAAAAAAAAAAAAAAAGACCCAAGAAACAAAAAACAAACAAAAAAAGATCTTGCATGCCTGAAAATATCTTTATTTTATCCTCACATTTGATTAATCATTTGGCTGGGTATAGAATTCTAGGTTAGAAATAATATTTTTTTTTTCAGAATTTTGAAGGCATTGGTTTATTGTCATCTAGCTTTTGTTATTGTGGTAGAGAAGTCTGAAGCTGTTCTGATTTTTTATTGTTTGTATGTGATCTATTTTTTCTTTTCAGAACTGTATAGAATCTTCTCTTCATCCTCAGTGTTCTGAAATTTATTACCTTGCACGGGTCTATTTTCATGTATTGTGCCAGGTACTTGGAAACTCACTTTCTTTAGTTCTTGGAAATTTTCCAGTTTGTATTCTCTGGCACTCCTATTATTAGGCTATTGGATCCCTAGACTGCTTTGCTGATTTTCTTATCTTCTCTCTCTTGTTTTTTATTTATGTATCTTTTTATTTATTAAGACAGAGTCTTGTTTCGTCACCCAGGCTAGAGCACAGTGGTGCGATGTTGGCTCGCTGTAACCTCTGCCTCCTGGGTTCAAGTGATTCTTCTGCCTCAGCCTCCAGAGTGGCTGGGAATAAAGGCATGTGCCACCACACCTGGGTAATTTTTGTATTTTTATTAGAGATGTGGTTTCCCCATATCGGCCAGGCTGGTCTGGAACTCCTGACTGCAAGTGATCTGCCTGTTTCTGCCTCCCAAAGTGCTAAGATTACAGGCGTGAGCCACTGTGCCTGGCCCATTTATGTATCTTTTTAAATTTGAAAATGAACATTTATTGACAGATTTAGGTATAATAGAAGTTTTTTTTTTTTGAATTAGCAGTGACAATATTAGCATAAGAAAGACAAACATGATAACAAATTGAGTTTCATCATTGGTGATCTTGCATCACTATCAAGGTGTTTACTTACTCTTGGTAAAACTCATGCTCCTATGCAGCAATAAACTCCAAATACAGAGTACAAGACAACCTTGGGAAGCAATAAGATACTTTTTGAAATTCAGAGTTCTACGTTAAGAATATTTGGTAGGTTTACAAAATATATCCTAATCATCTCATTTAGTTATTCTTTCAGCAGTTATTAACAGAATAAAGAACGGGGCTGGCCGGGCGTGGTGGCTCACGCCTGTAATCCCAGCACTTTGGGAGGCTGGGGTGGGTGGATCACCTAAGGTGAGGAGTTTGAGACCACCCTGGCCAACATGGTGAAACCCCGTCTCTACTAAAAATACAAAAATTAGCTGGGTGTGATGGCGGGCACCTGCAGTCCCAACTACTCAGGAGGCTGAGGCAGGAGAATCGCTTGAACCCTGGAGGTGGAGGTTGCAGTGAGCCAAGATTGCGCCAGTGTACTCCAGCCTGGGCAACAGAGCGAGACTCCTTCTCAAACACACACATACACGTGCACACACACACACACACACACCCAAGTAGCTGAGACTATGGGTGCACATCACCATGCCTGGCTGATTTTTGTATTTTTTGTAGAGACAGGGTCTCACTTTGTTGTCTGGGCTGGTCTTAAACTCTTGGTCTCTAGCAACCCTCCTGCCTCAGTCTCCCAAAGTGCTGGAATTATAGATGTGAGCCACTGCGCCTGGCCATAAATGCTATTTGGAGTAATTAAATAAAATTCCAAATCTTGAGATAGTAAAATAACTAAGAAATGTCTTATACCATTATTCTTTTTGTAAACAATAATTTAACACTTGCAAAATGAAACAATGCAAATTGAACACATCACACTTTTCTTCCTGGGACTTTGGCCCTACCCATCTACCCATTCACTTGAAAGAGGCAAAACAATGATAACACAACAGTGAAACAGCATGAACAATTCTACTTGATCCCATCACAGAAAATGAAGCCAGAATATTCTACAACAAAAACAGAGGTGCCATCTCTACTGCTTCTAAAGATTTCCTCTTTCATTTCTTGGTCTAGGATAGGGGTTTCTCAGCCTCAGCACTATTGACATTATGGGCCAGATAATTCTTCATTGTCAAGTCCTGTCCTGTGCACTGTAGGATGCTTAGCAGCATCCCTGGCCTCTACACACTAGATACCAGTAGCATCCCACCGCCAGATGTAAGAACCAAAAACGTCTGTAGACAATTCCCCCCACAGGGAAAAACTGTCTCCAGTTGAGAACTAGTGACTTAGGTGAGTAATGATCACTGACACATGCTGTGAGTCAAATTAACATAGAACTTCTGGCCGGGCGCAGTGGCTCATGCCTGTAATCCCAGCACTTTGAGAGGCCGAGGCGGGCAGATCATGAGGTCAAGAGATCGAGACCATACTGGCCAACATGGTGAAACCCCGTTTCTACTAAAAATACAAAAATTAGCTGGGCGTGGTGGTGTGCACCGGTAGTCCCGGCTACTCGGGAGGCTGAGGCAGAATTGCTTGAACCCGGGAGGTGGAGGTTGCAGTGAGCCAAGATTGCGCCATTGCACTCCAGGCTGGGCAACAAGAGCAAAACTCCATCTCAAAAAAAAAAAAAAAGAACTTCGATGCATGCCCCATCTTGCTAGAGATGATAGATTTAGTACATATCAGAAAATGTCCACCAGTATTTTTCTTTGTAAGCACTGTCAGTGCAGTGACTCTCCTTTTCATTTAACTCATGAGGATATTTTTGTGTGTTTTAAAGAATCTGACCAGTCATTATATTTGTGCTGAGCTCTTTGAAGCAGACTAGATTTTCCTTCAAAAGAATATTTATGGCCAGGTGCGGTGGCTCACGCCTGTAATCCCAGCACTTTGGGAGGCCAAGGCAGGTGGATCACGAGGTCAGGAGATCAAGACCATCCTGGCTAACCTGGTGAAACCCCGTCTCTACTATAAATACAAAACAAAATTAGCTGGGCGTGGTGGCCTGTAGTCGCAGCTACTTGGGAGGCTGAGGCAGGAGAATGGCGTGAACCCAGGAGGCGGAGCTTGCAGTGAGCCGAGATTGCACCACTGTACTCCAGCCTGGGCGACTGAGCAAGACTCTGTCTCAAAAAAAAAAAAACAAAAAAAAACAAAAAAAAAAGTTTATGATTAATCAAATTTCCTGAGAAGGGAAACAATGAATTTAAACTAAAACGTAATTTGTGCTTTACATGCCTAAGAATATTCTAAAAAAAAGATTCTCCTACTTTCCACCTACCTAAAAATATTTAGGTTTCAAAAAACATATATTTTAGTAGGGTTTTGTAAAGAAACTTTCATACTGAACAGTACTTAAAAAAAAAAAAAAAGCAACCAGAAGCTATACTCACAATGAAGTCTAGTCTGAGTGAGAGAAAATATTAAGGTAAATAGAAATTGAAGATGTGTCTGGCGGCAATACATATATTACATAAATCTGGATAAATTGTGGGGTATTATTTTGAAATTACTGTAAATGAAACCAAATTTTTATGCAAATATTTTATTTCTTTTTAAATGATTTATTATTTTTTGTATACTTGATCACTGTTGGAAAATATACAACTATTTCATAACCATTCTTATATTGTAACCTCTAACAGTCTCAATTGGATTGCTTTCAGAATAACACTACTATCTCCACTTCTTCTTTAATCCACCTATAACATTGTTGAAAGTGAAGGCAGCACATTAGCACTTTCTTTTTTCCAGAAATGATTTAGATTTCCCTAAATCAAGGCTTAACTCAGAAGAGCTTTGTAGTATAAATGTCTAAATGTCTGTAGTCTGGCAGAATTTGTTTGCCCACTTAAAAAAAAAACAGTCTTCTTAATATTTCTAATGAGAGACAGCTTTTCTCTTTCACAATATCCTGATATCCTGATTTAAGACCTGTGACACACACCAGGTAGCCCATTTTCATGATCAGAAATCCTGTAATAACAACACAGCAGCTGGATTGGACCTTTCAGTCTTGCAACATGAAAATGATCAATGGCATCTGAAGGTAGCACTGACTCTTGGAGAGAGAGTTTTTCCCATCAAGTTTGCACTATTAGGACTAACTAGCTTCCAACAGTCTTGTGTTTAATCATACTCTTTGACTATGTACAAAGCATGGCCACAAACAATGAGGTTATTGTTGTTTTCCTTGACAAAGTATCTTTTGTATGAACCAGTTGCATCAGCTTTTGTTTTCACACCATGAGGTTCTATAAAGAACTAGGGACATATTGTTCCTCCTCCATTATCTGCAGACTATTTCTCCTACCCTGACACAGAGCTTAGCAAGGAAAATGCTGGATACAAGTGATTTTATGCAGGTTCCCTAGCAAGTTAACCCAACAGAACCATGGCTGCCACAAAACCATGCCTAATTATCTTTTAGAGGAGCATTTAAAGACTTAGCAGCAGTCAAACCTCAGGTTGGTAGCTCCATCCAAACTTTGGTCATCATGAATTCTGTCTGTTAAAACTACTTTTTTTTTTTGAGATGGTGTCTCACTCTGTCACCCAGGCTGGAGTGCAGAGGTGTGATCTCGGCTCACTGCAACCTCCGCCTCCCGGTTCAAGTGATTCTCCTGCCTCAGCCTTCTGAGTAGCTGGGATTACAGGTGCGTGCCACCATGCCTGGCTAATTTTTGTATGTTTAGTAGAGATGAGGTTTCACCATGTTGGTCAGGCTGGTCTCGAACTCCTGACCTCATCATCCGCCTGCCTCGGCCTCCCAAAGTGCTGGGATTATAAGCATGAGCTACTGTGCCTGGCTATCTGTTAAAACTTCTATGTGACCAATGTTGAGAAGAGTTTGGGGATCTTCAGTGGTTAAAAATATATACGTATCTTGATGCTACTGAGGCTTATCTGGGCCATAAATGTGTTTAATGTCAGGAAACACATAGTTGTGTTTAACCTCAGGAAACACAGCAGTGTAATTAACACAAGGTGCCCAGAACTGATTTCTCAGCAGCCAGAACTCATGATGAGAAAACTCACAGCTGAGTGTCGTGGTGAATTGTGATAGTTTCCTTTCTGTTTTGGGAGGGAAGTGGAGGGAGTTCTTTTTTCTTTATGATAATTATTACTTCCTTTCATTGCCGAGTTTTCTTTGTACCTGTTGTCAATTCTTCCCACATGATCCAATTAGCTCTCAGTACAGTTCTCCACAAGGGAAACCATGTCAAGTAACCTACAAGTTCTTGTTTATTTTGCTTGGACACGTCTATCCCAGAGATGGCCCTTCTTCCCTCTGTGCTGGTTGCTCCTTGGCCAATTGCATGGCTGTCATCCTGGACTCCCCTTGGCTGTCATCCTTTGGATTTCCTTTCCTTCTCTTGGATTGCATTCTCTGATTCTATGATCTCTTAGTTTTCTGTTTCTTTGCTCTTTCTCTTATTTAGGTAGATCACATCCTCCAGAAGTTGCTTTAGGTTAGAAACACAGTACAATGGGAGAGGATAGTGGTTATGGCAGTCCTCAACATGCTAGGCTCTGGAGTCACAATGCTCCAATCTGGATTGATAAGTGCATTATTTTCCTATTGCTGCTGTAACAAATTAGTACAAAGTTAGTGGCTTAAGACTCCACAATTTATTATCAACAGTTCTGTGGGCCAGAAGTCTAAAATGAGTTTCACTGGGCTAAAATCAAAGCATTGACATTCTTTTCTAGTGTCTGTAGGAGAAAATCAATTTTCTTGCCTTTTCCAACTTCTAGAGGTTACTGGTATTGGGGGAACCAGTCCCTAATATTTCAACATAGGTTCTTTTCTATTTTCCGTAAGTGTTGGCCAGGCTGAGAAATAAAGAGAAAGAGTACAAAGAGAGAAATTTTACAGCTGGGCCTCCAGGGGTGCCATCACATATTGGTAGGACCGTGATGACAACCCCCAGCCACAAAATCAGCAAGTTTTTATTACGGATTTTAAAAGGGGAGAGGGCGTACAAACAGGGAGTAGGTCACAAGGATCACATGCTTCAAAGGGCTATAAAGATCACAAGGTGAAAGCAAAATTAGAATTACTGATGAGGGTCTGTGTCCTGCTGTGCACGCATTGTCTTGATAAACATCTTAACAGGAAACAGGGTTTGAGAGCAGACAACCAGTCTGACTAGAATTTACCAGGCTGGAATTTCCCAATCCTAGTAAGCCTGAGGGTACTGCAGGAGACAGGGCATATTTCAGTCCTTATCTCAACTGCATCAGACAGACACTCCCAGAGCGGCCGTCTATAGACCTACCCCCAGGAATGCATTCCTTCCCCAGGGTTGTTCCTTGCTCGGAAAAGAATTCAGCGATATTTCTCCTACTCACACATCTGTCTATAGGCTTTCTGCAAGAAGAAAAATATGGCTCTATTCTGCCCGACCCCGCAGGCAGTCAGACCTTATGGTTATCTTTCCTTGTTCCCTGAAAATCGCTGTTATTCTGTTCTTTTTCAGGGTGCACTGATTTCGTATTGTTCAAACACACATATTTTACAATCAGTTTGTACAATAGTGGTCCTGAGGTGACGTACATTCTCAGCTTACGAAGATAACGTGATTAAGAGATTAAAGACAGGCATAAGAAATTATAAGAGTATTAATTGGGGAAGTGATAAATGTCCATGACATCTTCACAATTTGTGTTCAGAGATTGCAGTAAAGACAGGTGTAAGAAGTTATGAAAGTATTAATTTTGGGAACTGATAAATGTCCATGAAATCTTAACAATTTATGTTCTTCTGCTGTGGCTTCAGCTGGTCCTCCGTTTGGGGTCCCCGACTTTCCACAACATACTGGCATTCCTTGGCTTATAGTCCCCATCTATTTTCAAAGCTAGAGCAATGGCTGGTTGAGTCTTATATTGCATCATTGTGACACTAACTCTTCTGTCTGTCTTCTACCTTTTAAGGAACTTTGTAATTACATTGGGCCCATCTGAATAATCTAGGATAATTTCCTCTTTTTTTTGTTTTTGTTTTTTTGAGACAGTCTTGCTCTGTTGCCCAGGCTGGAGTGCAGTGGCGTGATCTCAGCTCACTGCAAACTTTGCCTCCTGGGTTCAAGTGATTCTCCTGCCTCAGCCTCCCAAGTAGCTGGGATTAGAGGCATGTGCCACCACGCCTGGCTAATTTTTGTATTTTTAGTAGAGATGGGGTTTCACCATGTTGGCCAGGCTGGTCTCGAACTCCTGACCTCGTGATCCACCCTCCTCGGCCTCCCAAAGTGCTGGGATTACAGGCGTGAGCCACCACACCTGGCCGATAATTTCTGTATTTTAAGGTAAATTGATTAGCAGCCTTAACTCCATTTGTAAGCTTAATTCTCACTTGCCATGTAGCATGATATATTTATAGATTCCTGAAATTAGGACATGGACACCTTTTGGGGCTTATCATTCTGCCTACCAGTTATTCTTTACACCTGGTACTAAGTTGTTATCCTGGAATCTCCCTTTACTGTCATTCTGGGGAGATTCCCTTCCAGTCTCTCTAGTAGTAGAAGGCCCATTTTCTCTATCTCATGTCTTCTACTTTCTCCATTTACTCCCCTGTTTTTGGGGAACCATTTTCAGCAGCTTTCTGTAAGAGGATGCATGGGAGGTAAATTCTTTGAGACCCTGTGTGTCTGAATTATTTGTCATTTTACCCTCTCACTTGATTTGATACTTTGTCTGGGTATAGAATTCTAGGTTGGAAATGGTTTCACTTCAGAGTTTTGGAGGCATTGCTCCATTGTCTTCTTCTTTTTTTTTTTTTTTTTTATTATACTTTAAGTTTTAGGGTACATGTGTACAACGTGCAGGTTTGTTACATATGTATACATGTGCCATGTTGGTGTGCTGCACCCATTAACTCATCATTTAACATTAGGTGTATCACCTAATGCTATCCCTCCCCCCTCCCCCCACCCCACAACAGGCCCTGGTGTGTGATGTTCCCCTTCCTGTGTCCATGTGTTCTCATTGTTCAATTCCCACCTATGAGTGAGAACATGCGATGTTTGGTTTTTGTCCTTGTGATAGTTTGCTGAAAATAATGGTTTCCAGCTTCATCCATGTCCCTACAAAGGACATGAATTCATCATTTTTTATGGCTGCATAGTATTCCATGGTGTATATGTGCCACATTTTCTTAATCCAGTCTATCATTATTGGACATTTGGGTTGGTTCCAAGTCTTTGCTATTGTGAATAGTGCTGCAATAAACATACGTGTGCATGTGTCTTTATAGCAGCATGTTTTATAATCCTTTGGGTATATACCCAGTAATGGGATGGCTGGGTCAAGTGTTATTTCTAGTTCTAGATCCCTGAGGAATCGCCACACTGACTTCCACAATGGTTGAACTGGTTTACAGTCCCACCAACAGTGTAAAAGTGTTCCTATTTCTCCATATCCTCTCCAGCACTTGTTGTTTCCTGACTTTTTAATGATCGCCATTCTAACTGGTATGAGATGGTATCTCATTGTGGTTTTGATTTGCATTTCTCTGATGGCCAGTGATGATGAGCATTTTTTCATGTGTCTTTTGGCTGCATAAATGTCTCCTTTGAGAAGTGTCTGTTCATATCCTTCGCCCACTTTTTGATGGGGTTGTTTGTTTTTTTTCTTGTAAATGTGTTTGAGTTCATTGTAGATTCTGGATATTAGCCCTTTGTCAGATGAGTAGATTGGAAAAATTTTCTCCCATTCTGTAGGTTGCCTGTTCACTCTGACGGTAGTTTCTTTTGCTGTGCAGAAGCTCTTTAGTTTAATTAGATCCCATTTGTCAATTTTGGCTTTCGTTGCCATTGCTTTTGGTGTTTTAGACATGAAGTCCTTGCCCATGCCTATGTCCTGAATGGTATTGCCTAGGTTTTCTTCTAGGGTTTTTATGGTTTTAGGTCTAACATGTAAGTCTTTAATCCATCTTGAATTAATTTTTGTATAAGGTGTAAGGAAGGGATCCAGTTTCAGCTTTCTACATATGGCTAGCCAGTTTTCCCAGCACCATTTATTAAATAGGGAATCCTTTCCCCATTTCTTGTTTTTGTCAGGTTTGTCAAAGATCAGATAGTTGTAGATATGTGGCATTATTTCTGAGGGCTCTGTTCTGTTCCATTGGTCTATATCTCTGTTTTGGTACCAGTACTGCTCCATTGTCTTCTTGCTTCCAGAATTGCTTTGAGAAATCTGAAGCCATCCTGATTCCTGATCTTTTCTCCATTTCCTGTTTTTCTCCCTGCTCTAAATGTTGTAATATCTTTACCCAATGCTATAAAATTTCATAGTAATGTGCCTTTGTGTAGGTCTACTTTTATCCATTAAGATGGGACTCAGAGCACTATTTCTTTTCTTTTTTTTTTTTCTTTTGAGACTGAGTCTTGCTCTGTTGTCCAGGCTGGAGTGCAGTGGCACCATCTCAGCTCACTGCAACCTCTGCCTTCCAGGTTCAAGGAATTCTTCAGCCTCAGTCTCCCAAGTGGCTGGGATTACAGGCGCGCACCACCATGCCTGGCTAATTTTTTGTATTTTTAGTAGAGATGGGGTTTCACCATGTTGCCAGGCTGGTCTCGAACTCCTGAGCTCAAGCAATCTGCCTGCCTTGGCCTCCCAAAGTGCTGGGATTACAGACTTGAGCCACTGCACCCAGCCGGATTGTTCTGTTTTTTATTTTATTTTTTTCCCTTTGGTTTCTATTTCTTTATTTTTTTGCTATTCTTTTTGAGAGATTTCCTTAACTTAGCTTTATCTTTCAACTTTTCTGTTGAGTTGTTTTTTCACATTTTTATTTTCTATGAACCGTTTTTATTTTCTCAATATTGCATTATTTTTTATAGTACCACGTTCTTATTTATTGGATACAATATGCTGTCTTATTCTCCAGTGATAATTTTTACACTCGATCTTAGCCAAGAGGCCGAGAAGCGATCTAATGATAGTTTTTAAAAGGACGTTTCCTTTTGGATGCAATATGCTGTCTTATTCTCCAGTGGTAATTTTTATACTTGATCTTAGCCAAAAGACTGAGAAGCTATAGTTGTTAAAAGGATGTTTTCTTTTCTAGATATAGTTTCTGTTTCTCCAGATTGCTATTTTTTTTTTGTCTCTGTCTTCAATTTTAGAGGACTTCTTCAGATGTTTGGTGTGTTGGTTGTATGCTCATGATTAAAAGTACACTTGCCTGGCTGGGTGCGGCGGCTCACGCCTGTAATCCTAGCACTTTGGGAGGCCGAGGCTGGTGGATCAAGTGGTCAGGAGTTCGAGAGCAGCCTGGCCAATATGGTGAAACCCCATCTGTACTAAAAATACAAAAATTAGCTGGGCGTGGTGGCGGGTGCCTGTAATCCCAGCTACTCGGGAGGCTGAGGCAAGAGAACCACTTGAAACTGGAAGGTGGAGATTGCAGTGAGCTAAGATTGCGCCATTGCACTCTAGCCTGGGCAACAAGAGCAAACTCCATCTCAAAGATTAAAAAAAAAAAAAAAGTGCACTTGCCAACCATCATGTTCAGTTGAATTCAAAGAAAACCAACTCACATTACTTAGTGTAAACTAAAATAGTTAACAAATTATATCCTAAAAACAATGTCTGTTTGTTAAATGTTGTTGCCCTAGGTTTTTAAATTACAACATCTAAATACAATTTCTCCTCTTAAATTTGTTAAGCTAAATATGTATTTGTTCTTTTTATTTTAGATTCCTTAAAGCATTTTAAACATTTCTTTTTTTCCAAGAGAAATTACAAATAACACTTCTGTCAAGTGGTACTTGTGTAAAGGCACCTTTCTTATTTTATCACTTTGGTTTTTCAGTTTTATACACTTAATATACTCACTGTCTTACTATCAGGAAATTATTTTGACCAAGATTTATTATTCAACTTCATAGGTTAGGAAAGAGATGCTAATTCTTTCTACCTATGTTTTCCTTGTTACTATTCTCTTACCCTCTATATATACTGGCCTCTAATGTATACTGTAAAATCATTGTATTGTTGAGATCACTTAATTATGATTTATATAAACAGTACCTCACCTCATTCTTGCTGTGTTGCCAAGGACGGAGCCCAATGGCGCAGTCTTTGCTCACTGCAAATTCCACTTCCCGGGTTCAAGTGATTTTTTTCTGCCTCAGCCTCCTGAGTACCTGGGACTATAGGCACGTGTCACCAGGCCTGGCTAATTTTTGTGATTTTTAGAGATGGGGTTTCGCATGTTGGCTGGGTTTGTCTGGAACTCCTGGCCTCAAGTGATCCACCTGCCTCGGCCTCCCAAAGTGCTGGGATTACAGGCGTAAGCCACCACACCCAGCTGAGCATCTCACCTCTTTCATACTGTGCTGAACAGTTTTCAGTCTGTCAAAAAAAAAGTGGGGGTTTGCTACTGGATGGAGCTCTGAGTGAGTGGGGGTGGGTGTAGGGGCAGTGGTTTGCTGACTCTGAGTTGCACTGCAGGATGATCTGGGTGGGCTGTTTGGGAATTCCCAGTATTGGTATCTTTTGTTGTTTGCATTTGGGCCAGATTCCCCAGAAAAGTCTTCTGGACTCTTGTGTGGAGCGTAAAGTTCTGGGAACAGAGGAGTAGGAGGTCTGGGAGTCTCACATTTAGCATGTTTACAATCTCTCAATCCCTTGTTTGTGGTATGATACCCACATTCTCACATGTGCTTCTAGGTTTCTAGGCCCCTAAGCCTTCTATTGTACCCTCTGCAAAGAATAAACGTTCAGACTTCTTTTGGGGGTCAGGGAGGAGGTTCAGGGACCAGCTAAAGCTCTCTCTCATTCTTTCCCACTTCCAGAGGTACCTGGGTTTAATATGTGATCCTTTTGGAGTATTCTTTTATATAATTAGGGTTTATCCTCATCTTTTTCCTTTGCTGCCTTAGGATTTAGTGCTTTCTGTATTCTTGTGGAATTATGCCTTAAACAAATGCCTTAGTTTACTTTTAGTTGAGTTTCAGGAGGCAGTAAAATTGGACATATATTCAATTTTTACCTGGACATTTACTTTTACTTTTGAAACACTTTTTTTCCTACTACAAACAAGTCAGATATCCTAATAATTCTAAGCATAACATCACTACTATTTATAATTGAGTCATTTATTTAAGAACATGTGAAGAGTACCTCCATCCTCCATGCCTGGCAGGACCAGGCACTGGGGATACAGTGATGAACAAGACAGCCGAGTTCCTTGCTCTTATGGAGGTCACAGGTTACTGACTACTCAATAACAATTCCTCCCTGACTCCACCTTTGCTTCTAGAGCTCCCCATTGGCCAGCCAAGATCTTGACCATCCTGGCATCAGCTCCCTGTCCTTTCCACAGCCACGCTCTGAGGATTTATATGCTTTGAATACCCACACGGTGAATCCAGTTTTCCATCTTTGGTTCCATGTAAATTTCAGGCCAGCTGGCTCCAGCCACGAATTCTTTTCCCGTCCAGCCCTCTCCTCCCCTCTTCCCTACCAATGTTTGTTGACTCCTTAGTTTGGCCAGGGAGGCCAAGGGGCATGTGAGGTATCCCGAGCTGAATGTTTCTGCTGAATGTGCAGCCTGTACTCTGGATCCTGACACAGAGTGTGACCCACCCTCTTCTTTGTTGCAGGTCAGAGATGTCATCATCGCTGCAAGCGTTGCAGGAATGGGCTTGGCAGCCATGAGCCTTATTGGAGTCATGTTCTCAAGAAACAAGCGACAAAAGCAATAACTGAAAAAGACTGTCCTGTCAGCGATGACTTTATACATCAAGGGGGTCTTGTTTTGCTAGAGAGTTTGGGGTTTGGTTTGTGGATTTCATTGTGATTTATAATAAGGCTTATTTTCACAGAATAAAATAAAGCAAAACGAGGGAGGATTTTATTGGGGGAAGTGCAGCAAGAACTGCCTGGTGTGAAGTCTGTTCAGGGAACAGCCGGGCTGTCTTCCTGGTCAGGGATTGTCTTTCACTTTCTTTTTGCGTGCTGTGTTCTTTGCATTGCAGGAGGCAGAGTCCAGCTCCAGTTATCTCAAGTAGAGGGCGTTTCTGGTCGTCAGGATACATGCGGGGCGGAAGGGAGACAGAAAGACATAATACACAAGAACAGAAAGCAGCAGACAGCCAGGACCCTTGGCCCGGAACTAGATCTAGGATGGCCTCTGAGACTCAGCAGCTGGAGTCTGTAGATGTTCAGCTGAGTTGAAAAAAAAAAAGTCCTCGGCTATAAGGAAATTTAGTATAGATGCTTGCCAATCTTACTAAAATTTCCCTTATTTTCCTTTGCTCTACACGTCTTTCCTTTGCCTTGTTGCTTCCATCTCCTTGGCACTCCTGCTTCCTCACTGCTTCTGCTTGCCATGATCCCCAAGTCTCTGACCCACCTTCCTGCCTGCTCCTCTCCTCCCACATTGGCTCAGATTCTTTCCCCGCTGTCTGTGGGTCCACACTCCCAGTGGCACCTCCAGGAGAGAATCTGATTGGCTCAGTTCGCCAGATAACTCAACTTTCCCATTGGCTACCTTTGGGTCAGGTGATCTCCACTAGACCTATCGCCTATGCCTGATGGTGGGTCACATGGTGCAAATGTTGCCTGAGAGCTTAGTGGATTAGGGATGTGGCTGGGCTCATGGTTGACGTCCCTGCTGCTGAGCCCTTACGGGTCAGGCTGGGAGAAGGTACCATGTTGTGTGACTGGTCATTTGAGGTCTTGCAGCTGTTGCTTGCTGGGCTTGGCAGGTGTTCAAAGTGACCATTTTTCTGAAGGGTTTTTTTCTGAGTATTCCTCAGATGTACTCCCCTGGGGCCGACGGTCTTTCCTTCCACAGGGCGATGCTTCCCTACTTGCTTGTGAATGTTTCCTTCATCTCCAGGTTGTCTGGGGACAATTCTGTCTTTTGGAGGCCTGGGCAGGATTTACAGAGGGCTCCATGCCAGCTCCTTCCTGCCGGGTCCACTTCTGGTGTAGGGTAAACACCTGCCCATTCATGTCCTAGTGTTGATAGAATAATCATTTTCTTTCAGTACAGTTTCCTTTTTTTTTTTTTTTGCCCCGGCTTTTTAGATGTAGCACTTAATGCCAGTTCTCGAGCTCCCCAAACTTAAGGGACACAGGTCAACAAGCAGTAGGTCTTTGGAAGCTCGCTCTCTCACATGGTATAAGGTGAGGGGGACACATGGAATGTAAACCTCCAAACTAATTATGGGGGAAAAAGGAATGAGAAAAACAAACACAAGAAGGCAAAACAAAAACACCTGGTTCAATTAAAAACAACAACAAAGCAAAACAAAAAAAACCCAAAACCAAACCACACAATAAATGAGAAAAAAATTACATAAAACAGATGACATGTATAGAAATAAAAAAATAGAATGGAGGAACTAATTCCAAATATATAAGTAATCCTAAGTGGACTAAATTTGCAAAGTAAAAGGCAAACATTACACTGGATTAAAAAACAAATCCAGGGAATACAGTTTACAGCTGATACATTCAAAATATAAAAACAGATAAAATATAAATAAAATCGGTACAGTGGTGTCTGCCTGTAATCCCAGCTAGTTGGGAGGCTGAGGCAGGAAGACCCCTTGAGTCTAGGAGTTAGAGAACAGCTTGGGCAACAAAGCGAGACTGTCTCTAAAAAAATACACACACACACACACACACACACACACACACACACACACACACACACACACACACACACACACACACACACAAAGACTGAAATGGAAATGAGCCGAGATCGCGCCACTGCACTCCAGCCTGGGCAACAGAGTGAGACTCTGTCTCAAAAAAAAAAAAAAAAAAAAAAAAGAAAAAGAAAATATAGGCTTTAAAGCAAGTTATTACTAGACAGAGGACAAAAAAATTCTGATAAAAGTTTTAATTCACTAGAAATATATAACTTGCTTGCATTTAATAAGTCTCAAAATAATGAAATTTTTGACTGATTGCAAAGAGGAATTCATCATCTGCTGTTTATAACAGAATACCTGAAAGTGGGTAATTAATGAGAGATGATTTGACTTCTTATAGATCTGGAGGCTGAGAAGTCCAAGGTTAAGGGGGTGCATCCGGTGAGGGCCTTCTTGCTGGTGGGGACTCTCTACAGAGTCTGGAGGCAGCACAGGGCATCCCATAGTGAGGAGGCTGAGTGTGTTAGCTCAGTTCTCTCTTCCTCTTTTTATAAAACCACCAGTCCCATTCCTGTGATAAACCACTAATTCATTAACTCATTAATCCATGAATGGGTTAATCCATTCATGACGGTGGAGCCTTTATGATCCAATCACCAATTAAAGGCTCTTTATTTTTTCTTTCTTCTTTTTCTTTCTTCTTTTTCTTTCCCTCCTTCCTTTCTTTCCTTCCTTCCTTTTCTTTTCTTTCTTTCCTTCCTGTCTTTCTTTTCTTCTTTTTCTTCTTTCTCTTTTCCTTCCTTCCTCCCTCCCTCTCTTTCTCTCTTTCTTTCTTCCTCTTTCTCTGTTCTTTCTCTCTTTTCCTTCCTTCCTTCCCTTCCTTCCTCTCTTTCTTTCTTCCTTTCTTTCTCTCTTTCTTTCGTTTCTTCCTTTCTTTCTCTCTTTCTCTCTTCCTTCCTTCCTTCCCCTCCCTCCTTCTCTCCCTCCCTCCTTCCTTCCTTCCTCTCTCTGTCTTTCTTCTATCTTTCTTTCTCTCTTTCTCTTTCTTCCTTCCCCTCCCTCCCTCCCTTCCTCCTCCTTTCTTTCTTTTTCTTTCTTTCTTTTCCTTTCTTTGTTTCTTCCTTCCTTTCTTTCTCTTTCTTTCTTTCTTTCTTTTCCTTTCTTTGTTTCTTCCTTTCTTTCTCTCTTTCTTTCTTTTGCTCTCTCTTTCTTTCTTTTCTTTTCCCCTCCCCTCTCCTCTTTTCTTCTCTCCTCTCCTCTCCTTCCTTTCCTTTCTTCCTTTTTTTTTTGAGATAGAGTCTCACTCTGTCACCCCGGCTGGAGTGTAGTGGTGGGATCTCGGCTTACTGCAACCTCTGCCTCCTGGGTTCAAGCAATTCTCCTGCCTCAGCCTCCTGAGTAGCTGGGATTATGGGTGTGTGCCACCATGCTTGGCTAATTTTTCTATTTTTAGTAGAGATGGGGTTTCACCAAGTTGGCCAGGCTAATCTTGAACTCTTGACCTCAGGTGATCTGCCTGCCTCGGCCTCCCAAAGTGTTGGGATTACAGGCATGAGCCGCCACACCCTGCCAAAAGACCCATCTTTCAATACTGCCACATTTGGGATTAAGTTTCAACATGAAGTTTGGAGAGGACAAACATCATCATAGTGGGAGATCTAAATACACCTTTCTAAGGAACTGATGAATGAAGGAAACATAGAAGTCTATAAAGACATAGAAAATTTACCAACAAGCTTACTTAATGACCATATATAATATAATTGTGAAATACAGATTCTTTTCAACTGCACACATGGAATATTTATGAGAGTCTTAAAGCAAGCCAACAAATTTTAGATTAGTAACGTAGAAATAATCTTCTTTAACCGTAAAGCAATTAATTCAGGAATCAATAGCGAGAGATAACCAGAAAAACCCTATACTTTCAGGAATTTTAGAATATACTGCTAGATACATTATGAGTCAAAAAAAGAAAACTAATGGGAGTTAGATAATATTTAGAGCTGAATGATAACAAAAATACTAGATACCAATATTTGGACCATGCAGCTAAAGGGGTGCTTAGAAAAAATTTTGTAGCATAAATCCTTACATTAAGAAAGGAAAAGGTGACTTGGCATGGTGGCTTATGCCTGTAATCCCAGCACTTTGCAAGGCTGAGGTGGGAGGATCGCTTGAGGCTAGGAATTCAATACTAGCCTGGAGAAAAGAAAAGAAAAAGAGAAAGAAAGCAAAAGAAGAAGAGAAAAAGAAAGAAAGGAAGGAGAGGTGCAAGTTAAGGAGTTAATTATCCAATTTAAGAAGACAGAAAAAGGGGAAGACAATACAAAGATATGAGCAAAAATAAATGAAGAAAAACAAGCATATAAAAGAGAGAAGGCACAGCAAATGATTTAGGAGTAAAAAAGAGACCACAACTATAGATGCTGCAGAGATTAAACCAGCAAAAACAAATATTGATAAATAATTATAAAAAATTGGAAAATTTTGATGGAATTGATATATTCCAAGAAAAATGTCATCAAAATTGAACCAAGAAAATATTTAAAAATCTAAGCAGTCCTTTGCTCATTAAAGGATAAATCAGTAGTTAACACTTTTTCTACAAAGAAATGGTGTGCCTGGATGGTCGTGTAGGTGAGTTTTACCAAGGATTATGGTAACAAATGAGTGAGACCTCTATGGAGAAAATATTGAAGGACATTAAAGAAGACCTCATAAATGGAGAGAGATATATCATTAATGGATAGGAAGCCTCAATGGCATAAGTATGTCAGTTTCTTTCAAAACTCACCTATGGATTCAATGTGATTCCAAACCAAATCCCAACAAGGTCTTTCCTGGAATTGGAAGCCAGATTCTGAAATGTATTTGGAAAAGTAAAGAGGCAGGGTTAGCTATTTCATTAACAAAGAAGGAACATCAGGCAGGGAGACTTGTGTTATTATTAAGGCTTATTATAAATTATTATTGTGATCAAGATAGTGTATTTTTGGTGTAGAGATAGTTAAATTGGCCAATGGATTGAGCCAAATTTCCAAAACAGACCCACAAATAAATGAAACTCTAATTTACAACAGAGACAGTACTGCAGATCATGGGGGGAAAGGATGAACTATTGAGGGATTGGCAAACTTTTTTGGTAAGGGCTAGACAGCCTTACGTGGTGTTCACAGTGTCTGTTGTAGTTAGTCACCTCTGCTGTGGTATTGTAAGAGCAGCTATAGACAATACTGTACGTGAACAAATGATCATGGATATGTTCTAATAAAACTTTATGTGCATTGAGATTTAAATTTCATATAATTTTCATGGGTCATGAGTTATTAGCTTTCTTTTTGTTTTTCTCAGCCATTTAAAATGCAGAAACCATTATTAGCTACTGGGCTGTACAAAAACGGGCAAAGGAGACCAGGCATGGTGGTTCACACCTATAATCCCAGCACTTTGGGAGGCAGAGGCAGGAGGATTATTTGAACTGGGCAACATAGTGACACCCAGTGTCTATTACAAACAAAACAAAAACAGATGAAGGCCTGCATTTGCCTGTAGGCTATAGTTTGTTGATCCCTAACTAGTAAATGGTATTCACATATAACCACATGGACTTTGCACTGCACAGAAAAAGTCAGTTTGGGGAGAATTTCAGACTTACATGTGAAGGACAGATGTCAATTTTTATTTTTATTTTATTTTTGAGACAGAGTCTCGCTCTGTTGCCCAGGCTGGAGTGCAGTGGCATGATCTTGGCTCACTGCAACCTCTGCCCCCTGGGTTCAAGCAATTCTTGTGTCTCAGCCTCCTGAGTAGCTGGGATTACAGGCGTGCACCACCACGCCTGGCTAATTTTTGTATTTTTTAGTAGAGATGGGTTTCACCATGTTGGCCAGGCTGGTCTTGAACTCCTGACCTCAGGTGATCCACCCACCTCAGCCTCCCAAAGTGCTGGGATTACAGGTGTGAGCCACCGTGCCTGGCCAAATGTCAATTTTTAGAAGCAAATACAGGAGAACATCTTTATGACCTTACTGTAGTTCATAAGCACAAAAAATAAAGACAAAAAGTAAGGTACAAAGAGATAAATTTCATTACATTAGATAAGAACATCTGTTTATCAAAACATACTATGGAGAGTATTAACAGTAACCTGTTCAGTAATGGTGACACACTGGGAACACCCCTAATATGGTTTGGCGGTGGTCCCCACCCAAAATCTCATCTTGAATTGTAATTCCCACGTGTCAAAGGCAGGACCAGGTGGAGGTAATGGGATCGTGGGGGTGGTTCCCCCATGCTGTTCTAATGATGGTACGTGAATCTTGTGAGATCTTATTTTTATTTATTTATTTATTTATTTTTGAGATGGAGTCTTGCCCTGTCACCAGGCTAGAGTGCAGTGGTGCGATCTTGGCTCACTGCAACCTCCGCCTCCCGGGTTCAAGCGATTCTGATGACTCAGCCTCCTGAGTAGCTGGGACTACAGACTTGCACCACCAAACCCAGCTAATTTTTGTATTTTTAGTAGAGATGGGGTTTCACTATGTGGGTCAGGATGGTCTTGATCTCTTGACCTCGTGATCCGCCTGCCTCGGCCTCCCAAAGTGCTGGGATTACAGGCGTGAGCCACCGCACCCGGCCAATCTGGTGGTTTTATAAGAATCTGGCATTTCCCCTGCTTGCACTCACTCCATCCTGCTGCCCTGTGAAGAAGGTGCCTGCTTCTCCTTTGCCTTCTGTCATGACTGTAAGTTTCCTGAGGCCCCCCAGCAATGTGGAAGTGTGGGTCAATTAAACCTCTTTCCTTTATAAATTACCCAGTCTTGGGTATTTCTTCATAGCAGTGTGAGAATGGACTATATACAACCTCCAGTGATTGTTGACAGGAGTCAGGATAAGTAAACTGTGGCACATTCCCATTTGCCACATGGGAGTACCATGCAAATGAATGAATAGCTATGGCCAATCAACATGGGTATGAAACCTAATATTGAACCAAAAATATTGTTATGGAATGCTTGATGTTTGATTCTACTTTTACAAACTTTAAAAATTATAAACTAAATGTATATTGTTAAGGATTACATTTATATATTATTAAGGGATGTGTTTATAAAAAAATTTAAAAATCAATAGGACAATAGAGACAAAATTCAGGAGAGTGGCTACAACTGCATTAGGAGGAAGAGGAACACAGGGTTAATTTTTTTGGTAATAGCTTCACTGAGGTATAATTTACATACTGTTGACGGTGATTGTGAGACCTCTGTTCTTGTCTTCTTGGTTAAAATAATTTTAACAAGAGACACAACCATAGAGGAACAACAGAAAGCAATGTATTGCAAAAGAGAAAGAACACTCTGAAAGCTGAGTGTAAAAAGAAACAGCTGAAAGTAATTTAGTGCAAAGATAAAACTCTGAAAGATACACTCTGAAAGGTACACTCTGAAAGATAAGTCAGAGTGGGCTGATCAAGAGTGAGTCAGCAAAGACTGGCTCTGAGGGAACTCCCTTTATGAGAGTCTTATGTGATTATTCATAGTGGGTGGGAAGAGGTGTGTTCCTAGTAATCATGTTCTGGGTGGTCCTCTGGGTGCACATGAGCAGTTGCTGTACATGCTTGTTCATACATTGCATGTCTCATTGCCGTCTTAAATCTCTACCCAGGGGTGTGTTTTTTACTATTATAATGAGCAAAGGGTCATTCTGAGGACAAGCAAAGTGAAAATGCACATGCTCTCTACAGGGGAAAGTCCCCAGTGAAGGTAGTTCTGCTTGGATGAGCTTGATTACAATGTGAGTGCTGAGGTTTGTTGTGTTGTTGGTGCGGTTGCTATGTCCCAATGAACATGGTTACAGGGCTCATTGTGCTGTTGACAGTGTGGTTGCCATGTCCCAAGGACGTGGTCATCTCCTTGACTATCTATCCTGCCTCAGTACCATATAGTTCACTTACTAAAGTATATAATTCGATGCCCTTTAGCATGTTCACAGTCATGAAACTATTACCACAATCAACTTTAAAACCTTCTCATCACCTAAAAAGAAACACAACCTGAATCCCCTAGCCCTTCCATCCCTAAATAATCATTACAATCATGAATTTGCTTTATGTCTCTGTGTGTTTTCCCATTCTTGACAGTTCAAATAAATGGAATCATATACTATATGGCTTTTGTGACCAGCTTCTTTCACTTATCATGTTTTCAAGCTTCCTCTATATTTTAGCATGTATCAGTACTTCCTTTTTATGGCTGAATAATATCACATCATACGAATATACCACATTTCGTCATTTATTCGTCAGTTGATGAACACTTGGGTGTCACCTTTTGGCAATTATGAATAATGCTGAGTATTAGTCAGGGTTCTTCAGAGAAACAGAACCAATGGGAGGTTATCTATCCATCAAGATTTCTTTTTTTTTTTTTTTTGAGATGGAGTCTCGCTCTGTCACCTCTGCTGGAGTGCAGTGGCGCCATCTTGGCTCACTTCAAGCCCCGCCTCCCGGGTTCATGCAGTTCTCCTGCCTCAGCTTCCGGAGTAGGTGGGACTACAGGTGCCCACCACCACGCCCAGCTAATTGTTTTTTTTTGTATTTTTTAGTAGAGACGGGGTTTCACCGAGTTAGCCAGGATGGTCTCAATCTCCTGACCTCGTGATCCGCCCGCCTCGGCCTCCCAAAGTGCTGGGATTACAGGCGTGAGCCACCATGCCCGGCCCCATCAAGATTTCTTACAAAAAATTAGCTGCTGCAGCAATCACAGAGGCTGAGAAGTCCCACCATCTGCTGTTTGCAGGCTAGAGACCCTGGAGACTCAGGAAAGGCAGTGGTATCATTCCGTCTGCGTCAAAAGACCTGGGAATCCAGGGAGCCGATAGAGTAAATCCCAGTATGAGGGCAGAAGATGAGGTGAGCTATCTCAACACAAGTAGTGAGGCAGACGAAAAGGGGACGAATTTCTCATTCCTCTAGCTTTGTTCTAATCAAGCCCTCAACAGATTGATGCTCCCCACTCACATAAGGGAGGGTCATCTGCTTCACCCATTCCACCAATTCAAATGCTGATCTCATCTGGAAGCACCTCAACAGACATGCCCAGACATCACACAGCATCTGGGCACCCCATGGCCCTGTCGGATTGACACAACAAATTAACCACCACGGCTGCTATGAACATCTGTGGACAGGTTTTTGTGGGACACAGGGCTTATTTAAGAAATTGGTTATTTTCTATTTCTTCAACTAGGTTTATTGGTACCTGTTTTGTTATTATTTCTAGTGTTTTATACTTATGTTGCAATTATTCTTCTATATGGATATAAGATTTAATAAAATCCTTTATTTATTTATTTATTTATTTCTGAGACATAGTCTCACTCTGTAACCCAGGCTGGAGGGCAGTGGCGTGATCTTGGCTCACTGCAACCTCTGCATCCCAGGTTCAATAGATTCTCCTGCCTCAGCTTCCCGAGCAGCTGGACTACAGGCGTGCGCCACCAAGCCCAGCTAATTTTTGTATTTTTAGTAGAGACGGGGTTTTGCCATGTTGGCTAGGCTGGTCTCGAACTTCTGACCCAAGTGATTCACCCACCTTGGCCTCCAAAAGTGCTGGGATTACAGGCATCAGCCACTGTGCCCGGCCAAAGCCCATTAAAATTATATGTAGCCCAAGATATTCCTGGCATGTACATAGAAAGATAACATTGCCTCTAGAAAGGGGAACTGGGTTGCTGGAGGCTGGAGGCTGGAGGTGGGGAGAATGGAGGCTTATCTTTCCTTTTATAGCCTTTTATACAATTAAACAAACATAGAGAGCGTGCATGTGAACAAAAATGTAAGTATTCCAGGCTGTAGGCCTAGAGCTTACCAGCAGGCTGGGTGTGGCCTGCCCTACCCTGTTCTCTGTCAGTAGAACTTTGTCACCTTTCCTGCTCAGCATGAACAGTAGGGAGACAGCAGAATTCTCATTCCACTGGCCCTTGATTTGCAGACTCTCCTTTCCTATAGCTCCTGGACATAATTTCCTGACACTCTGAACAGCTTGGATTCGGTGAAAAGCCACAAGCCCCAGCATGAGTACAGTGATGTTCCTCCCCAACTCCGCCCTGCATGGTCTGGTTGGTCATTGTGCCAACCCACCTGAGATCCTTTCAGCAGACAGCACGTGGAAGTCCTCCTGCCCCAGGAAACAGGGGTGTGATGTGGTTGCAAGGGGAGGGCAGGCATAGGAAGAACTGAGATTGCTGGACTGGAGGTCAGCCCCTAAAAAGATGATCAGCAAGCCTGAGTGGGACCGGCCCAGAGGTCTCTGGACAATGGGGCAGGAGATAATTAGCCAAGCCAACCCTACTGTCTCCCTCCAGAAGGAATACTTTGAAGATTGTCCCACTGCAACTCAGAGGAGAATGGAGTGGAGGTGCTGAGAGAGGCCGTCTCCATGGGAGCAAGACCACATGACCACGTGAGCTGAGGGAGTAGCTGGTCATGCAGAACTGCTGTGGCTCCCAAAGAGTTTTCCAGTTCTGGCTCCAGTCCATCTGCATCCCCACACTAAAGCTCTTTGTTTGTTTGTTTGTTTATAGCCTGAAGAGGGTAAGTTATTGGTCCTCGCCCCCATGCCCCACAGTGAGGATGCTCAGCTCCCCCCAGCCCCACCCACCCCTTCCTGTCCAGTTTGCTCAGGACCGGACAACTATATGTAGATGACAGAAGAGATACTTATTTGGAGCTTGGGTGAGATAAGCATGCAGGTGCCTCAAAGAAGCAACCTCTACACACCCAGTACTGGGTTTTGGTTTCCATTTGGTGTGGAATGAGTGTTTCTGAACTGTGGGTGAGAGGCAGAAAGGGGAGTGGTTTCTATACTGCTGTCCAAGCAGGCTCACTCTGTTTCCAGGGTAGAGGAATGTGCCTCCAATAATACGATTTTTCTAGGGCCATGGGGTTTGAGGTTGGTGGAAATGTTTGCCTGTCCCGGCAACCATCATTCCCAATTTGGAGGCATGAATCTCAGTCTCTCTGGGGCTCCTCTCTCCTTTTTGAAATTTTCCCCCATGGTCTCTGTCTCTATATCCTCCCTTGCCCCCACAACCACTGGATCTTGCTTGTTCCACCTGAAACTTGGTGATTGTCAGCTGTGCCCCTGACCACACTGCCACTAAGTCCTTCTCAATCTATATCCTGAGCTCTGATTCCTCTTCTGTCTGGCTGATTTTCATGCCGCCTTGCCTACTTGATATGTGCTCTGCCCCTGTTTGAAGACAGGGAAAATTTTACATGAACCTTGATCTATGTTCTGTTTTTTTTTTTTTTTTTTTTTTGACTGAGTCTCGCCCTGCCGCCCAGGCTAGAGTGCAGTGGCACGACCTCTGCTCGCTGCAAGGTCTGCCTACTGGGTTGACGCCATTTCCTGCCTCGGCCTCTGGAGTAGCTGGGACTACAGGTGCCCACCACCATGCCCAGCTAATTTTTTCTATTTTTTAGGAGAGACGGGGTTTCACCGTGTTAGTCAGGATGGTCTCGATCTCCTGACCTTGTGATCCTCCCGCCTCAGCCTCTCAAAGTGCTGGGATTACAGGTGTGAGCCACCGCACCCAGCCTATGTTCTGAAATAGTTGTATATGGGCTGGGTCACAGGGAAAGTGAAACTCAGAGCTAATTTAAGGCTGGACACAGAGTCAGCAACACACAAGACATCATCTTGAAGGAAGGATGGCTTTGGTAAGTCCCCAGAAACGGTTTTAAAGCTTTGATTTGAGGAACAACCACCCTATTAGTGATGATTATGTGTATTCTTGTTGGTCTACAGCTCTGGCATGGAGGGCACATGGGCACATGCTGAGTTCTGGGGGTCTGGCTCTCTCAGACACTGTGGGAAGGAACCACGGTGCTGGGTTATGACCCTGGAGGCTCCCCAGCCTCAGCTGCCGCATGGGGTCTGGTTCTACTGTGGCCAAAGTTTGCGTTTATGCTTTTCCAAGCCCTCCTCTGGCCAAACTACCAGTGGCTCTGCTAAGCCTCCTGAAGGCAGGAATGGTGGGCTCAGGGAGAGCAGCCCTTGGTTTACCCCACAGGCCGCCTCCTCTGTCACATCATCCTCAGTGGGAGGGATTAGCTGGGGAGGGAGGGTCCAGGGAAAGGGCTCCAGCTGTGTGGGTGGCAATGGGGGCTGTCAGAAAGGGCTCTGTCTCCCTCGCCTCCAGGCAGGGCCAGTCCCTCTACTTTCCCTCCTTCCCTCCAATTCCTTCTTAGTTTCCTTCTTCCTTTAGACCCAATAGCAGCCACATTTCCCAAGTGCTCAGGGGTCCAGACACCATGCTAAACACTTCTTTTATTTAATCCACACCAGGTAGTTAATAAGCAATCCTATGAAGTAGGCATAATTACTGCCAACTTCATGGATAGGAGGAATGATATACTGGTAAGTATAGAGAGGGGGCTGCCCAAAAGTCAGAGAGGGAATTCGAACTTAGGAGGCTCTGACTCTAAAGCTTCGACTTAAAAAAGAAAGAATGTATTTAATTCCAGGAGAAATACGTGAACACATTCACTTTGTCTGAAAAACCGAAACTCTAGCCTGGGCAACATAGTGAGATCCCATCCCTACAAAAAATATTAAAATTAGCCAAGGATAATGGTATGTGCTTATAGTCCTAGCTTCTTGGGAGGCTGAGGTGGGAGGATCACTTGAGCTGGGGAGGCTGAGGCTTCCTGCAGTGAGCTGTGATAGTGCCACTGCACTCCAGCCTGGGTGACAAAATGAGATCATGTCTCAAAAAAAGCCAAAAGCCAAAAACCAAAACTATTAGCATAAAAACTAATGTCCCCTTTGACCATCCTTCCCATCTGTACAGCCTTTCCCCTCTGTACAACCTGGTGCGTATTCTTCCAAATATTTTTCTGTTTTTGCATACATATATGGCTACCTTACAAGTATTGGTTTGTAGCTTTGGGGTTTGTTGTAGTTTTAAATTGCATTCCGTGAGGACAATTCAGTTAGGAAATGCTTGAATCTTTTCCTTTATTTACCAGCTTTTGGAATAATAGGGTGATTCTTTTCCATCCTCCAAAGATGCCTAGTGTTTTTAAAAAATATCCTTATGAACACGTGGGTTTTAACATATTTGATGTGTTTCAGTTTGTGTACAGTTATTTTTATTATTTTTTTTTGATGCTCAAATTGTCCCTTATTTGGTCAAGTTGACTCTTGACCCCTCTAGTCAAAGGCTTTACTTTTTTTTAAATTTCGAGGTTCTGGGGGGGAACATGTGGTATTTGGTTACATAAATTAGTTTTTAGTGGTGATGTCTGAGATTTTGGTGTACCTATCATCTCAGCAGTGTACTCGGTACCCAATGCGTAGTCTTTTTTTTTTTTTTTTTTTTTTTTTTTGTGATGGAGTCTCACTCTATCGCCCAGGCTGGAGTGCAGTGGCACGATCTCTGCTCACTGCAACCCCTGCCTCCCGGGTTCAAGCAATTCTCATGCCTCAGCCTCCCAAGTGGGTGGGATTACAGGCACCTGCCACTATACCCAGCTAATTTTAGTATTTTTAGTAGAGATGGGGGTTTCACCATGTTGGCCAGGCTGGTCTCAAACTTCTGACCTCAGGCAATCCACCCATCTCGGCCTCCTGAAATGCTGGGATTATAGGCGTGAGCCACCACACCCAGCCCCAGTGTGTAGTCGTTTATTCCTCACCCACTCCCACCCTTTTCCCTCAGTCTTCAGAGTCCGTTGTATGATTCTTATGCCTTTGCGTCCTCATAGCTTAGCTCCCACTTACGAGTGAGAACATAGGATGTTTGATTTTCCATTACTGAGTTATTTCACTTAGAATAATGATCTCCAATTCCATCCAAATTACTTCAAATGAAAGGCTTTACTTTTAACTATAGCTCCCCACCAGACTTTGAGTTGGCTGGCACTCTCACCACCCTCGGCAGCAGTTCAACTCCTTTGTGGCTTGGCTCAGCTGAGATAGGGGGAGGAGGGGTGCTGGCTGGCACCAGAGCATACCGGAAACAGAATTTATGTGGCAAGGGCTGTCTCCCATTCTGGGTGTGGCCAGGGCAACATTCCTCGCACCCATGCACCCTCCAGAGGGGCACTGCCCTACCACCAACTCCAAACACACCCTGCCATCCCTTGCTTTAATTTTAGCCTGAGCTCAGACTTCAGCTGCCCTGGGCTTGCCTAGGACATTCTGGGATGGTTAAAGGCATTAATGTTGGAAACATTCAGCCCTACCCTTCATTCCTGCTCTTCTACTTATTAGGCAAGTTACCTAACGTTCCTGAGACTCCATGTGCTCATTGTCAAGTGGGGGTAATGATAGTTTTCACCCAAAGGAGTGGTGTGTAATGTGGGTCAAGTGTCCGCCTGCCTCTGACATGTTGGGCGTTGCAAGTCAGACCTCTAGAACTTGTAGGAATCACTTGGGCCCAGGCTCATGGCAGGTGGCCCTTAAAGAGGCATTTTAGGCTTCCTTCGGAATCATGCAGTCACTAGCTGACAAAAACATACTCTGTGCATAAAATGCACTCACACTCAGCCTGGGCACATCACTCCATCACACTCCTGTGCTGCACATGCATGAAAATCTCCCTCAAAGATACTCTCTTCATCTCCTCCTTGTCCCCTGAAGAGCAACTTTTCAGTCCTGCAGCCCCAGTAAATGAAGGTGCTTCCTACATATGTGAGGAGTGCTCCCTCCTTCCTGTTTCCTGCAGGTGATGAGCACAGGGAATCTGCAGGCTGAGCTGGGGCTCCTTGCAGGTCAGGCCCTAGAATGTTTCCTGCAGATGGCTCACCTCTGCCTGTTTCTGGTTTTTCTGTTGCAGGCCAGACCAAGACCGAGACTTGGAGACCTGATTGAGATTTCTCGCTTTGGCTATGCACACTGGGCCATCTACGTGGGAGATGGCTATGTGGTCCATCTGGCTCCGGCAAGTAAGGATGGGTTCTCTTTTTAAGCACAAGGGTTAAGATCAAGAATGTGAAGAGATGCACAGTTACGTGCTTGTCCTCACTTCAGGGTCTAGCAGAGTAGGCACTCAATACATAATGCTGAATGAATTGTGCTTTTTCCTGCTAGATGTAGCAACTGCTATTCTTCTTTTGCAGTAAATTGGTGGAGAGACTATTGACCTTTATTCCATTATAGAGTGGGGTTCAGTCTGAACCAACTCACTGTACTTGGTGAGCATCCCTCCGTGGGATCTCCTATGTATTTGTTGTTATGGAGGTACAAGCAAGAGTAAGAAGCAGTTGCTTCCTTCAGATAGCGTACAACTGAGCACATAGTATAACGGAAGGAGCATGTGGGCCTCCCAACTCAACAGAACCAGTTTGGAATTGTGGCTCCTCTGCTTACAGACTGTGTGCCTTGAGCATGCGGCTTCACATCACTAAGTTCAGCTTCCCAGGAGTCTGGGGTCCCCTTTAGAGGCCAATTGGAGAATTTAAAGCTGGAGGGCATGGACATCCCCTGGCCTAGTTCCTCTAATTTGAAAATGATGAAACCAGGGTCCCAAGATGAGAAGGGCTTTTTCTGAAGACACACAGTAAGAGAGCCACGGCCAGGACCTGGGGACCCTGGATTCCTGGGACAGGCTTCTGTCTTGTTCAGCTGTTTCCTTTCCTACTGTTTCAAAATGCCACCCTCACCTACTGGAGCTCCCACAGCACTGGCTCAGGGCAATGGGTGACATTTTCTTTTCTTTACCTTTTTGGAGACAAGGTGTCACTCTGCTGCCCAGGCTGGAGCATAGTGGCACAATCACAGCTCACTGCAGCCTGTAATTTCGGCGCTAAAGCAATCCTCCAGCCTCGCCCCCGGAGTAGCTAGAATTACAGGTATGTGCTGCCATGCCCAGCTACTTTTTTAATTTTTATTTTTAGAGACAGGAGTTTTAGCATATTGTGCAAGCTGGTCTCCAACTCCTGGCCTCAAGTGTTCCTCCTGCCTTGGCCTTCCAAAGTGCTGAGATTACAGGCACCTGGCCTGGAGTGACTTTTTCTAAGCCACAAGCTAGTGAGCGGCAGTTGGGACTATGGCCTGGGGCTCTTCTGCCTCCTCTCTTTGCCCTGTACCACACTGCCTTGACTGTTGACTCTTTCAGGTATATCTGAACTCACATGGTCCTTTAGAGCTCAGGTTGTTTACTTTAGAAATGAGGAAACCAGAACTTAGGGACCTTCTCCAAAGTCACCCAGGCTTGGGTCTTCCCTGTTTTCAAGTTTGAGGCCAGGCAGGATGGACAAGTCCTTCCACAGCTGCTCCTCCTTGATGGTGCTCGGGGCGATGAGGCTGCTTGGCTTCCAGCTCTGAGCCCCCCAGGCCCTGCCCAGGACTGAACTCACTGTTTGCACAGGTGAAATTGCTGGAGCTGGTGCGGCCAGTGTCCTGTCTGCCCTGACCAACAAAGCCATAGTGAAGAAGGAACTGCTGTCTGTGGTGGCTGGGGGAGACAACTACAGGGTCAATAACAAGCACGATGACAGATACACACCACTGCCTTCCAACAAAATCGTCAAGCGGGCAGAGGAGTTGGTGGGGCAGGAGTTGCCTTATTCGCTGACCAGTGACAACTGCGAGCACTTCGTGAACCATCTGCGCTATGGCGTCTCCCGCAGTGACCAGGTGCATCTTCAGCCTGCATCCCCTTCCCAGGAGCCAGGCCACTCCCTCAGCTGCCAGAGGCTGGGTCCCTGCTGGGGCCAGGGTGGGATGGAAATAGACATGAGCAAGACAAAATAGCAGATATGAAACTGTTGTCCTTGAGGGTGTCACATTTGGGGTGGGGACAAGGGTGGGGAGATAGGCAAGTCGGCAATGTAGACCAGTGCAGTGGGTTGGGGGGTGGCCACAGAAGGGAGTCACAGCCTGAAACAGCCCTCCACAGCCCTAGAGGCCGGCTTTATGATTCCCACTTTACAGATGGGGAAACTGAGGCTCACCGTGCTTAAGTAACTTGTCCAAATTCATTAAACTCCTAGTTATTGAGTCTCTAGTCCATGTCAGCCATGGTGAAGAGCGGGGGAGTTAAACCTACATGTGTTCTCTCCAAGGGCCCCGATCAAGGAAGGCTTTGTAGAAGAGGTCACACCCGAGCCCAGCCTGATTTAATTATTTTGATTAATCTGAAAGAAAATGAGCTGGAGATTACCAGGGAACGGGGGCAATAAGGAGTGTAGGCAGAGGGAACAGCGTGAGCCAGGAAGGGGAAAAGCCCAGATCATGTTGGGCAATTGTTTTCTGTAAAGGGCCAGATAGTAAATGTCTTCGATTTTATGGGCCAGGTGTTCTCTGTCTTATTACCCTGCTGCCGTAGTTTGCAGCACAAAAGCAGCCACAGACAATATATAAATGAACAGGCGAGACTGTCTTCCAATAAGTGTATTATTTATTTTTTACAAAAATAGTTCACAGGTTGGATTTGACCCATGGGCCATAGTTGGCCAACTTTTGGATACAGGGTCTCACAAACTTTTTTTTTTTTGATACAGAGTCTCACTCTGTCACCCAGACTGCAGTATATCATGTGGAGTTCGATCATGGCTCACTGCAGCCTCGACCTCCTGGGCTCAAGCAATCCTCCCACCTCAGTCTCCTGAGTGGCTGGGACTACAGGAATGTGCCACTATGCCTGGCTAATTTTTGGATTTTTCTGTAGAGATGAGGTTTTGCCATGTTGTCCAGGCTGGTCTTGAACTCCTGGGCTCAAGCAATCCCCTTGACTCGGCCTCCCTTGGGATTACAGGTGTGAGCCACCACACTCAGTCCAAGATAACTTAAAAAACCACATATCCCCTCATACATTCTTAGATGACATCAAACACTTTAAAAAATCATAAATGTAAAAAATTTGTAAAGGAAAGGATGGATTTTGGTATATTGCATATTACATATTTGTGTACATGTTTTCTTCACAATCTTGGAGTTGCACATTTAGCTCATTCAGTTAGGGAAAAATGTCTTCCGTGTAGTTTAAATAGCCGAGCCAGGTGTTATTGTCAAACCAATCAGCCTAATCAGGCTTATTTTGACGTTCAGAAAAAAACTGACAATTTTTCAATTCAAATGAGTGTGTTAATGCACAGTTTCATGATAACCATCTCACTTTAGAATTCTCATTCTAAAGCAGCAGACAGATGAGGCAGGAGCCTCGACGTGGTTGCATATTCCTTTCTGAAGCCCTCTTTGTTTAGGAGCAATGCATTCTTGAATCCTCCCTTACTGGTGACTAGGAGTGTTTACACCTTAGCCTGTGCACCGTAGATTCAGGGTGTGGGAGGATTTAGCTGTTCTGTTGTATGATAGGAGAAGGAGAGGTGATAAAAAGGGGAGATGGGTAAGGAAAATCCACAACTTCTGGAAACAAGTACCCCAGGAGGGAGACCACGCTATTAACTGAGAGACTGCCAGGCCATGCTGGGCACTGGGGCACGGTGGGACATGCTCTGGTACTCAGTGGGAACCCTGCTGACAGGGTCTCCCCTCTGTTGAGCTGAGGAGGGTAGACCTATCTCTGAATGGGAGGGGTGTCGGAAGGGGATTGGGGGTGGGCTGCCTTATCATACATCTAAAAGCTCTTCTATAGGCTGTGCAGAAGCCACAAAATCAATCTGGAAGACCCCAATTTTAGGAAGTGGTTGGCCCTCTGCTATGCTTCTGAGGGGTCAGAACTCAAGCCAATGGGGAAGACTCAGGGGAGGCAGTTTTATTTAGTTTGTCCCTTGTCCTGGAGCCTCTCTTGTTGAACTTCATCTCCTGCAGGTCACCCAATAACTTGCCTTTCTTTCTTCCTCTCCCTCCTTCCTTCTCATCTGACTCTGTCTGTCTGGAAAGACTCTCCTCTGTCTGTCTCTAGCTCTTGCTCTGTAAGAAAGTGGACTTGTGAAAGCTGCAGGACTCTTGGCACACAACAACGCCATCCAGCCCCTGCTCTAATAGATGACCAAGCTCTAGCACTGCTTCTGGCAAAATAAGGCTGTGTCCGTAGGATGACCCTAGCCCCCCGATAAATGCCTGCCTAAGAAAGCTCTCTGCTGCCAGGAGAATTTACCATTTGTTCTAACGAACACCTGACAAAGACCCTGACCCTTTCTTAGACTGTTTATTACAAAGGACTTATAATTATGAATCCTTCCTCTGTCCCTTTGAAACATAGATACAGTCATCTCTTGGTATCCATGGGTGGGGAAGGGATTGATTCCAGGACCCCCTGAGGACACCAAAATCCATGGATGCTGAAGTCCCTTGTATAAAATGGTATGATATTTGCATATAACCTGTGCACATCCTCCCATGTACTTATTTTATTTTCGAGACAGCATCTCACTCTGTCACCCAGGCTGGAGTGCAGAGGTGCTTCACTGAAATGTGATCTCACCTCATTGCAGCCTCAACCTTCCTGGGCTCAGGGGATCCTCCCACCTCAGCCTCCTGAGTAGATGGGACTACAGGCACACGCCACCACACCCGGCTAATTTTTGTATTTCTTTTTTGTAGCAATGGGGTTTCACCATATTGCCCAGACTGGTCTCAATCTTCTGGGCTTAAGTGATCCACCTGCCTTGGCCTCCCAAACTGCTAGGATTACAGGCATGAGCCACTCATAATTACTCATAATACTCAATGCAATGTAAGTAGTTATACTGTATTTTAAAAATGTGTATTATTTTTTATTGTTCTTTAAAAAATTTTTTTTCCAAATGTTTTCAATCCACAATTGATTGGATCCATGGATGTGGAATCCATGGATATGGAGGGCTGACTGTATATCCCTTACAACTCTGAAGTGCCTTCCTCAAGGACCTGAGAGCCAGTCCTTTGAAATATAATCATCAGGAAGGATAGAGCCTCTGTCCCCAATATCCGTGGGAGGTTAGAATCCTAACTTTGATAATTGCCAGCTAGCAGACACAGCTGGCCTCATCGCATATTCAGGGACTAATCCTTTGTAATATTTCACCTCCCTGACTCTATGAGCCCTCGCTCACCCGTCTCCCTACTCCTCCATCTCCCTTTACAATGTCAGTCACCTCTGCACAAATTGGAATGGAGCTCAGCTCTTTCCCTGCTGTCAGTAGAGACTGAATCAAATCTGTTTTTGCTGTCTTAAGTTATGTCTGGCTTTGTTTGTCTTTGACACTTGGAAACAATTCTGAGTGTATTTGAATAAAATGGTTTTTTTTCCCCCTTTCTTTTCCCCAGTCACTCACATGCTTCAAATTCATTGATACTCCACAGAAATCTGCTATTTGGTCGCTGGTTTAAATACTTGCTTCCCTGTCTGTGAAGGGCTTAAGTGCCCCTGTTGGGAAGTCAGGCAGATCTGAGCCTTGTCACTTGTCAGCTGTGTGGCTTTGCGTGAGTTCTTTTTTTTTTTTTCTTTTTTTTTTGAGACATAGTCTCACTCTGTCACCAAGGCTGGAGTGCAGTGGCGTGATCTTGGCTCACTGCAACCTCTGCCTCCTGGGTTCAAGCAATTCTCCTGCCTCAGCCTCCCAGGTAGCTGGGATTATAGGCACCCGCCACCATGCCTGGCTAATTTTTTTTAGTGGAGACGGGGGTCTCACCATGTTGGCCAGGCTGGTCTCGAACTCCTGACCTCAAATGATCTGCCCACCTCAGCCTCCCAAAATGCTGGGATTACAGGTGTGAGCCACCGCCCCCCCGGCCTTTGCGTGAGTTCTTTACACTGTCCATCCTCAGTCTTCTCCTCTGGAAAGTAGGAATTAGAATCACTACCTCCTAGAGTTGTCAGGCAGATTAAAAAAAATACTGGGCCTGGAGAGTTCCCAGCACAGTGCTGATATCTAGAAAGCAGCCATTCTCACAGTTTTCACCCCCACCCCCCACCCCGTGTTGTTTCCCCCAGTCGCTCCAGTGCTAGTCTCTCAGAGACAGTGGCCCAGGCAGGGCAGACCCACAGGATCGCAGCAGACTGTCTCGGCTAGCTCCCAAAAGCTGTGCCGAGCACACCAACCCTCGGGGGTCGGCCTCACATCTCTGTGGTTTTTTCAGTTTCTTCTTCCTTTTGCAGAACCATTTCCTGCCAGCACATAAGTGAGACAATCTTACTCATTAAAGCACACCCTCAATGCTCCTCATGGGCCAGCATTTGTTCAGCAGATGAATTATGAGTGCCGACTCTGTGCCTGGCAGTGGGATCAGCACCTGGGACATTGAGACCAATCCAGGCGAGCTCCCTGCCCTCAAGCCTGTGTAGTGAGAGTTCCCAGGGGTGATTTCCCAACTTCATATCTGCCTCAAGGGCCCCAGTCAGCCAGCCCTGACCTAGAACATTGGGGCACTGCCCCTCTGTCCTTGCTGGGGGTTTACTATGCTTTTTGCTTTAATTATTATTGTTATTTTTTAAGACAGGGACTCACTTTGTCACCCAAGCTGGAATGCAGTGGTGCAATCTTGGCTCACTGCAACCTCCGCCTCCTGGGCTCAAGTCATCTTCCTGCCTCAGCCTCCTGAGTAGCTGGGACTACAGGTGTGCACCACCTGGACTCAGCTGTTTTTTTTTTTTTGTATTTTTTTGTAGAGATGGGGGTCTCACCATGTTGCCTAGGCTGGTCTTGAACTCCTGGGCTCAAGCAATCGGCCCATCTCAGCCTCCCAAGGTGTGAGGATTGCAGGTGTGAACCACTGAGCCCGACCTATTATGCTTTTAATACCCACAGGTGCATCTGGTTTTCCTCCTTTGACTCTGTGTATATCACGCCTATGGCTTCATTCTTCCATTCATTCTGTGCCCACCAGACATCTCCACTCCTCTTTCCTGGGTGGCCTGACCTCTTGGCATCCCCTCTCCCAGCCAATATTTGTTCCCTCTGTGATTCAAATGAAGAGGACTGGGCCAGATGAGTCTTTCCTGAGCTGTAGTTTCCTGGTGTATGTATCGTGGTCCCGCCCTGATGCTGAGTGTGCTCTCCCTTCTCTTCTGCTGCAGGTCACTGGTGCAGTCACGACAGTAGGTGTGGCAGCAGGCCTGCTGGCTGCCGCAAGCCTTGTGGGGATCCTGCTGGCCAGAAGCAAGCGGGAAAGGCAATAAATCCAAGAAATTGTCCCAACAACCACCAATTCTTACGGAGGAATATTATTTAGCCAGCAGGAGTGGAGTTTGGTTTACTGATTTTACTGTTTTGTGTTCATGAATCTTTATTTTAATGGAGTTAAAAGCACAGGAAAATGTATTTGGAAATGCAGCTTAGTATGAATTCTATTAAAGACACAATTGGGCTCTGCTATGGACTGAATGCTTGTGTTTCTCTCACACTCCAAATTCATATGTTGAACTCTAACCCACCTGTGGGATGGTATTGGAGGTGGGGTCACTGGGAGGTAATTAGGTTGTGAGGGTAGAGCCTCTAGGATGGATTTAGTGTTCTTATATGAAAAGGAAGAGACTAGACCGGGCACAGTGGCTCATGCCTGTAATCCCAGCACTTTGGGAGGCCAAGGTGGGAGGATCACCTGAGGTCAGGAGTTCGAGACCAGCCTGGCCAACGTGGTGAAACCCCATCTCTACTAAAAATACAAAAATTAGCCAGGCGTGGAGGCAGGTGCCTGTAATCTCAGCTACTCGGGAGGCTGAGGCACGAGAATTGCTTGAACCCGGGAGGCAGAGGTTGCAGTGAGCCAAGATCATGCCATTGTACTCCAGCCTGGGCGGCAGAATGAGACCCTGTTTCAGAAAAAAAAAAAAAAAAAAGAAAAAAAGAAAAGGAAGAGACCAGAGCTGGCACTCTCTCCACCACGTGAGGATCTAGTGAGAAGGTGGCTGTCTGCTAGCCAGGAAGATTCTCCAGGTGCTCTCAGCATAGCTCTCACCCTGACAAGTGGCTGCCCTGAACACTTACTCCCTCCACCGCCCCAGGGAAGCACAGGTCTCCCCCTGGAGGATGCTTCCGGGGTGCATCCGCCATCTTTGGTCCCACCAATTTCTTCACAGGAAGTGAGAGAATGGGGGGCTGAGCAGCTCCTGACCTTTCTGCCCACAGCTTCAAGCTTGCACTGAGTGATGCTGCTCCAAGGCCTGAGCCTGCGAAATCTGCAGTGGGCAGACAGGAGCTGTCCTGGGACATCAAGCAAGGCTGCGAGTGAGACTGCCCATGCAAGTCTCATCAGAGAACATTCCAGTGGCCTGGCCCAGAAAACTGACTTTTAGGTCAAATTGACTGGAAGGGAATCCAGAGCTTTTGCTTAGTGGCTGTGTGACCTTGGGTCAGTGGCTTAGACTCTGAATCTAGTTTCCGTCCACACAGTATTAAAACTGCCCACCTCCCGGGAACTATGGAGATCATGTAGCCTGAGAATGCGGCTAGTGATTTTGACTTCGGAGTGTGTAAACAGAACAGCTGTTGTGGTCAATTTGAGCACGCTTTCCAAAACAGAGATGGCAGGAGAAGCTGTGTTTAACATCCCTTTGTGTCCGGAATTGCTGGGTTCTTGGTCTCACTGACTTCAAGAATGAAGCCGCGGACCCTCGCGGTGAGCATTACAGCTCTTAAGGTGGCGCGTCTGGAGTTTGTTCCTTTTGATGTTAGGATGTGTTCGGAGTTTCTTCCTTCTGGTGGGTTCGTGGTCTCGCTGGCTCAGGAGTGAAACTGCAGACCTTCGCGGTGAGTGTTACAGCTCTTAAGGCAGCACGTCTGAAGTTGTTCCTTCCTCCTGGTGGGCTGGTGGTCTTGCTGGCTTCAAGAGAGAAACTGCAGATCTTCGCGGTGAGTGTTACAGCTCATAAAAGCAGTGTGGACCCAAAAAGCGCGCAGTAGCAAGAGTTATTGCAAAGAGTAAAAGAACAAAGCTTCCACAATGTGGAAGGGGACCCGAGCAGGTTGCCACTCCTGGCTCGGGCAGCCTCCTTTTATTCTCTTGTCTGGCCCCCGCCCCTCCCGCCCCTCCCGCCCCCATCCTGCTGATTGGTAGAGCAGAGTGGTCTGTTTTGACAGGGTGCTGATTGGTGCGTTTACAATCCCTGAGCTACATATAAAGGTTCTCCACATCCCCATCAGATTAGTTAGATACAGAGTATGGACACAAAGGTTCTCCAAGGCCCCACCAGAGCAGCTAGATACAGAGTGTCGATTGGTGCATTCACAAACCTTGAGCTAAACACAGGGCGCTGATTGGTGTGTTTACAAACCTTGCGCTAGATACAGAGTGCCGATTGGTGTATTTACAATCCCTGAGCTAGAAATAAAGGTTCTTCAAGGCCCCAACAGAGCAGCTAGATACAGAGTGATGATTCGTGCACTCACAAACCCTAAGCTAGACACAGGGTGCTGATTGGTGTGTTTACAATCCCTGAGCTAGACATAAAGGTTCTCCACGTCCCCACCAGACTCAGGAGCCCAGCTGGCTTCACCCAGTGGATCCTGCACCGGGGCTGCAGGTGGAACTGCCTGCCAGTCCCGCGCGTGCGCCCACACTCCTCAGCCCTTGGGTGATTGATGGGACTGGGTGCTGTGGAGCAGGGGGCAGCGCTCGTCGGGGAGGCTCGGGGTGCACTGGGGCCCACGGAGGTGGGGGAAGGCTCAGGCATGGCAGGCTGCAGTCCCGAGGCCTGCCCCCTGGGAAGGCAGCTAAGGCCCAGCGAGAAATCGAGTGCAGCGCCAGTGGGCTGGCACTGCTGGGGGACCCAGTACACCCTCTGCAGCCGCTGGCCCGGGTGCTAAGTCCCTCATTGCTCGGGGCCGACAGGGCCGGCTGGCTGCTCCGAGTGCGGGGCCCGCCAAGCCCACGCCCACCCGGAACTCCAGCTGGCCAGCAAGTGCCGCACGCAGCCCCGGTTCCCGCTCGTGCCTCTCCCTCCACACTTCCCTGCAAGCTGAGGGAGTGGGCTCCGGCCTTGGCCAGCCCAGAAAGGGGCTCCCACAGTGCAGCGGTGGGCTGAAGGGCTCCTCAAGTGCCACCAAAGTGGGAGCCCAGGCAGAGGAGGCGCCGAGAGCGAGCGAGGGCTGTGAGGACTGCCAGCACGCTGTCACCTCTCACCTTTCTTTGATGGGCTAGAGACAGATCCCAGGGCCCTATCCCTGGCCCATCATGACGGCTTCCTTCTTCTCCTGTGTCTTGAGTGCCAAGGGTCAGGGCTCTGCAGGAAGGGCCAGGTCCAACCATGGGACCTCCTGATGGTTTGAGTAGATCTTTGCAGGAACTAAGACCCTCCCTACTAATGTCTTAAATTATTTTCTCTTACCCCAAAAGGAGACTTTAAGCCACCCAGGAAAGAGGACAATAGGGCAGGCAGCACTGAGAGCTCCCCTGCTCCTGTTCCTTCTGTGTCCTGGTTGTCTCAGATCCCAAACACCTTCAGAGCACTTTCTGGTGGATGCACATAAGCAAAACATTTCATTGTCCATGAGGCAGGAGGGCAGCACTAGGGCTTCTCTGTGTCCTGCCAGCTGTCCCGTCACTCCTGGGTGGGGAGAGGGATGCTGTCTTCGAGAGTGACACAAACGACAAAGGACAATCGAGTACTACCACACACAGCCCAGGATTCCTGTTTCTCCAGCACCAATCAGTTTTCTTAAAAATTTCTTAAGCTGAAAAACAGCTTGTGGAAGGAATATATGCATGCTCTCTTCAGCCACTTTTATTTATTTTTTGAGACAACGTCTCTCTCTGTTGTCCAGGCTGGAGTACTGTGGCACGATCTTGGCTCACTGCAACCTCCGTCACTGGGTACAAGTAATTATTGTATCTCAGCCTCCTGAGTAGCTGGGACTACAGGCGCCCGCCACCATGTCTGGCTAATTTTTGTGTTTTTAGTAGAGATGGGGTTTTGCCACGTTGGCCAGGGTGGTCTCGAACTCCTGATCTTAGGTGATGCCCCTGCCTCGGCCTCCCAAAGTGCTGATATTATAGGTGTGAGCCACTGTGCCCAGCCTTCAGCTACTTTTAATCTTAGCAAAAAGATTTGCTGAGACCAAGGACTGTCCAGAGGTGGTACAACCATTTAATGAACTTATGAAAAAATGAAGTATGCTTTTGTTACATATATATATAATTATATATAAAATATGTATTATATATGTGTGTGTGTATGTGTGTGTGTGTATATATACATATATATATATTCCATATTTAGTGAAATCTAGTTCATGGAAGTCAGTCCAGAGAGGTCTGGAACTGGTTCAGTGTATTTCTCAACTTCATAGCAACACAATTCTGGTGGGCATTAACCTTTACTGTGGTGGCCACAACATTTTTTTGAGAAGAGTGGTCATGTTTTTTATTTTTATTTTTTTGAGAACAGTGGTCATGTTTTATATTTTTATTTTTTACTTGTACTCTTTTTGATCATAGCTCACTGCAGAAATCCTGGGCTCAAATGATCCTCCCGCCTCAGCCTCCTGAGTAGCAGGGACTATAGGCACACGCTGTAAGAATTAAAGAGGAAAGAAACACAAAAAGGGGCTCAACAGCCAAAGACAGGTTTATTTAGAGAATAAACCTGAGAAGGGCTTCTGGTTGATTTTGGTCAGGAGTGTTCTAACAGACTAAGGATATTTAAGAGTTTAGGAAGTGGGAAGATCATTGTAGGTTCGGAATGTTTCTATGTGAGGGAAAGTTTATTGTAGGGTTAGAATGTCTCTCGTCAGAGGGGAGGCTATCTTGGGGTTGGCATGTTTCTGGTTGGAAAGGGTTTTATCTTAGGGTTGGAATGTTTCTGGTTATGCTGGGAGTTGGTTTCCCAGCATAGGGAAATGCCCTGATGTTCTGGGACTGACGTTCTGGGGCTGGATTTAGGCAGTTTTTAATCAAGAGGAACACAGAATGTTGGTATTTGTCCAAGATGGCGATGCTCCTGCTCTGTCATGCACCACCACACCTGGCTAATCTTTTTTTATTTTTAATTTTTATTTTTTTGTAGAGACAGGGTCTTACTATGTTGCCTAGGCTGGTCTTGAACTCCTGGGCTCAAGAGATCCTCCTTTGGTCTCCCAAAGTACTGGGATTACAGGTGTGTGCCCCTGTGCCTGGCCCTGTTTTTCTACATATCAGTTAATAGATTTATTAATTAAGTAAACCACTATCTTTTTTTCCTTTTTGAGAGATGGGGTCTCACTATGTTGCCCAAGCTGATCTCAAACTCTTGGGCTCAAGTAATCCTCCTGCCACAGCCTCCCAAGTAGCTGGGATTACAGGTGCATGCTTGTAATCCATCATCTATCGAGTGGTTATAGTAAGTTAAGCATTGTGCTTGATGCTAGAGTCCCAATGGTACCAAACTTGGACTGTCCCCAAAATACTGGCAGGGAAAGGCACATTAGTAAAATAACCACATGGATCAGTGTTCATTGCAACTGTGAGAATCACATGAAGTGCAGACACATGGACACCTGAGACTCCTAATGGGGATCTGACCTAGTCATGGAGGTCAAACACACCTTGGAAGGGCCTGGATGCTCCCATTGTCCAGCACCCTGGAACAATTGATCCTGGACAGGTAATGAAGTCTGGGGAGGTGAGCCTTAGATCACAAGAAGTGAGAAAGCCTTCTTCTCTTGCTGGGCCTTCTGCCTTTTAGGCCTGGACTCTGGGTAGAACAGCTGGGCCCTCTGCTGTGGAGGTAGCCCTGGAGCAAGGCAGGCATGGATGCTTCTGCAATCCCCAAATGGAGCCTGGTATTTCAGCCAGGAATCTGAGCAGAGCCCCCTCTAATTGTAGCAATGATAAGTTATTCTCTTTGTTCTTCAACCTTCCAATAGCCTTGAGCTTCCAGGGGAGTGTCGTTAATCATTACAGCCTGGTCTCCACTGTGTTGGGGAATTAAGGGACCAACCAGCTTGCTCATGCATGAAAAAGTACAACCCAGGGGAGGGTGATGTCCTCAGTCCTGAAGCCAGAGTGGTGGTGGCCACAGTGACCACCATGGAAGTGGCCACTGAGTAGGGTCACTGGTGGCAGAGGCTGGAGTGAGGAAGCACAGAAACATGGGGACCTGGGCACTTCTGGAGCCATACCCAGGGCATGCTGGAAGTAGTGGAGGGAGATTTAGAGGTAGCTAATTCTCAGCATTCCACCCAGGACCAGCTTGAGCCATGGCAATCTGGGCATGGAAAGAATATTACTCCATCTAGTAGTCACAGGTGGGTGAGAACTCAGACCTTTGAGCTAAAAAAAAAAAACTTTCTAAAAAGAGGGCCAACTGAGGAAGGTAACTGGGAAGATGCTGGTAGATGTGTAGGTGTTGTGAGGGGATTTAAGCACCACATGAGACGATACCGGAAGGTAATTAGGTTTTTTTCGCCTCCCTGAGAGTAAAATTAATGACATGCAATTATGTCGCTGTTATGTCTGTGTAGAATGATGAAGACAATTCCTTGAACATCTGTTACATATCAGACATAGTGCTGGGTGTCGTGTATGCATTATCGTAGGTGATCCTCCTGACATCACCTGACATGGAAGAACTGAGGTTCTGAGAATCAAGAGCCTTCTCTAAAGTCACCCGGCTAGAAATTGCTGGAACTACCCAGTGAGTGTTCACTCAATGTTACCTTCCTCCTTTGTGATTCAGAAGTCTATAAAAACATGGTAGAAGTCCTTTCTGAAGGGGCAGATGGCTGTTTATTGATCCTTCAGTCTTGTTTCAATTAGATCATACTTTTGCCAGCGAGAGAGGGAAACAGAGGAAAGGATCTAGAGAACGCCTGAGACAGGGCACGAGGGTCAGGCTGCTGGAGGCATGGGGGAGGCTCATCTCCACTGGGACCCCCACAGCTGCTTCTAACACAGGATTTTGTGGCTGCTTCAGGCTGTCGCTTTTTTTTGGTATCTCCTAATCGCAAAAGAGCATCCAGCAACAACCAGGATTCCAAGCGCCGTGGCCACACCGACTTCAACCTTGGCCTTTTCCACCTGCAAAGCAAGCAGCTTTTGTTGAGCGTTCACGGCAAGCCAGGCTGGCACTTTCTCCCTCCCAAGGGCCTGGAACTCCTCTCCCTCTCCCCTCTCTCCTGCCTCCCCTAAGGCCTGGCATCTCCTCTCTTCTCTCCCAGCTGGCTGGCTCAGAATCCTCTCCCAGAGAAGCCGTTGGTTGTATCCCCAGGGACTCCATTTTCTGGGCTGTGACCACTTCTTGGTGTTCGACTTGTCTGGGCTTGTCCTGAGAATGGGCCCATGAGGTCCTTTTGAGAGAGCTTCCAAGTGAGGACATTTGTTCTGATTTGGGGCAAGGAAGAAGGTTTGTGCCTCGCTTCCTAGGGTCAGAGCTCCAGGGGCCAGACTGGGGACTATTTTGCAGTCTGGGTCCTCCCTGAGCTACACCTTTGCACAGGGAGGGCTGTGGCAGAAGCTGAGGGGAGACTTAGGGAGGCCATGGCCATATGCGTGCCCTGGGGTCACTGTGTACTATTCCCAACTGCAGCCTGGAAACTTCCATCTCCAGCTGTACTTCAGCCTAAACTCCATGCCTTATCTCCACCTGGGCCTCTAATGGGGCACCTCAGACATCACATGCCACGCCAAACTCTGGATTTCCCTCCGCAAAGCCTCTACTCCTGCCACCATCCCTCTCTCATCAAGGGCCCCCAACCATTCAGTCACGCAGGCCAGGGGCCCTGAGTAGGCATCACAGGCAGAGACTCTAGAAAGGGACAGCTGGGGTTCAAATCCCGGTTCTGCCACTTATTAGTTGAGTGTTTTGGGGCAACAAATGTGAAAGACTGTGAAGGGGCAAGGGATGGAGGCTGTGCCCAGATCTTACACACAAATGTCCTTGAGCTCTTACACAGGTCCACGGACCCTGAGCGTCCCTTGCCTGAGTACTCTTTGGGGGGTTGCAGGACCTGTCATTGTCCTGGGTTGGCCCAGATTCTCCTGATGACCCCCAGAACTTCAGGAGCCATTTTCAGGATAGGTTTTAGAGGGGAAGGATCCTCAGAGCTCCTCCATCCACCCCCTCCTCTGCACATGGAGAGGCCTGGGGGGAAGGGAACTGTCCAAAGACCCTCTGTGGATTAGAAGCAGATCTGGCATTGGAGCTCAGAGGTCCTGACTCTCAGCCAGCAGGTCTCTAAGAGGCTGCATTTGCATCATTCACAGTGATCGCCTGGCTGCACAGCCCCGTGAGTCCAGCCCCAAGCAGAGGGAGATGGATTATCCAGAGAGGTCCTTACCTGTTTACAGCGGGACTTGCCATATCTCAGCTGGGTGACAAAGTGCTCACAGTTCCTGCTCACAATACTGTACTTCATCTTCTGACCAACCATCTCCTTCGCAGAACTGATGATCACCTCCACGGGCCGTGGTTGGTACTCATGGTCCAAGCTGTTGTTGACCCGATAGCAACAGCCTCCCACCACATCTTCCAGGCGCTCCCGTTTCACCTCTGCACTGTTGCTCAGGACTGAGAAGACACTGGAGGAGCCAGCCCCGGGGTACTCACCTGCAATCAGAGGCACTCTCACTGGCAGGGGAAGGTGAAGTAGGGAGAGAAGGGCTTGAAATCTCCACTAAGGAACTACTGGTGTTTATCCTTTCACAAATGTGATTGAAGGATTCACAGATTTTGCTTTTTTTTTTTATTTTGATGGAGTCTCACTCTGTTGCCCAGGCTGGAGTGCAGTGACGCGATCTCAGCTCACTGCAAGCTCCATCTCCTGGGTACACGCCATTCTCCTGCCTCACCCTCCCGAGTAGCTGGGACTACAGGCACCCACCACCACGCCGGGCTAATAGATTTTGCTCTCTTTTTTTAATAAAATAAGGTGTGAATGTTCGTTCAAGTCAGTGAATGTCATGATTGCCAGTGGCTGCTGCCATATTCCATGCTATGCATGTACATCACTTCTGTGGCCAATCCCCTGTTATCCGTCATTTAGGTATTGGAAAAATTTTCATCATTATAAACAATGATGGTAAAGCATATTTATTACCTGTTCAGCTTTGTACACTTGTGTTTCGGAAAAAGATCCAATTCGTTTAGTACCCACTGTTTCAGTTACCATGCTGTGCTGTTACACATACTTCCTAATTTAATCTCCTTTTTAACTTTCAAGGAAAATATTATCATCTCAATTTAAAAACCAATATTGGGCTGAGAGACATCATGAGACTTTTCTGTGCTATGAAAAGTCCTAGAATCAGGATGTGAAACTGCTTCTCTTAAGCCCCAAAGGGCAGGCTCCTTCCACTGCACTGGGCTGACCCTGAGGGAATCCTTTGTAAAGTGTCTTCTGTCCTACAATCTGGCACAGTTCTAGGCACATAGAGAGGAACACAGAAGAGCTGTCAACCAATGGAGCCCCAATTCCATTATATAGTGACTCCAGGTGTTATCTTATTTTTATTAAAATGGATAGTACCTAATGCACACAATAATTAGGTGTGTTACCTCTTTTGCCCCGTTTCTAATCTCAAGGCTGATGTTTGCATTTAGAACCCTCTTAAGAAAATCCTGTTGGCTGGGCGCAGTGGCTCATGCCTGTAATCCCAGCACTTTGGGAGGCCTAAACAGGTGGACCACTTGAGCTCAGGAGTTCGAGACCAGCCTGGACAACATGGCGAGACCTGTCTCTACAAAAAATACAAAAATTAGCTGCGCGTGGTGGCACACGCCTATCATCTCGTCTCAGCTATTCAGAAGGCTGATGTGGGAGGATCACCTGGCCTGAACTCGGGGAGGTCAAGACTGCAGTGAGCCTGATCCCTTGCATGTGCAGTTCCCAATGGGGTTTGCACTCCTATGAGAATCTAATGCTACTACTGATCTGACAAGAGGCGGAGCTCAGGCAGAATGCTCACTCACCTGCCTCTCAGCTCACCTATTGTGTGGCCCGATTCCTAACAGGCCACACACAGCCCAGGGTTGGGGACCCCTGCTTTAACTGATGCATTGATTTGATAAAGTATTTTACAAGCCTGATAATGTTATAACCCTATTTATTCAGGTCAGATTTATGCCAACTTTGCTGAGAATATGGAGGGTATAGATGAGTGAACATCAACAAACATAACTTCTACCGTGGTTAAGAATTTTACTTAAGAAAAGTATTGAAGTTCAAATCCAGGTAGTATTACATTTGAAATTTTTATAAGGGTTATTAATTTAATAAAATTCATTATCAGGTTTCCCCTATAAGCTTTCTCCTAGGTTAGTTTTCCACAAGCATTGTTTTACATACACTGTAATCAGGATAACACAAGCTTAGTGTTAGATCTTGTAGGAAACCAAGATTAGAAGCATTAGAAATGTGCAGAATTTAAGAAATTATGTTTTGTGGTAATCTGTGGCCAACGATGATAGAACCTAGTGCAATTGTAAAGTGAAATTCAAGGAGAAGGAATGAGGAGTTAGGCAAGCAGCACACTTGAATATTAGTGAAGGAGAGGAGCTGTGAGTCAGGAATCAGAGAGACCTGCTAAAACCAGACAGATATAAACACCAAAGACGGAAGCCAAATAGGTAGCCAAAAATCCAGATATTTGAGAAGCAGGAAATTTACAGCAACCAAAGAAATAGGGCAAGATAGGCAGGTGAACACACATGATACCTCAATTGACAATCTTCCTCCTACCAAGCCAGACACGTTGTAAATGCTGCTTCCCATTGGAGCCCAGAAAAAAGGAAAGTTTAGGCTTTCTGTGTCCTATGTGTGGAAGCAGGGAATTGGATTGAAGACTTTCATAGTTGTAAAATAAAGGCAAATCCTGAGGAACTCACTGATAGAGATGTGAAATGACAGTACGGAAGAAAACAGAATAACTATATAAATATATTAGTCTAGGGCCACTTAATTTAGAGGAAGAAAAAAAATCACCCCATCCACAGAAATAGTTTGATAAACAGGTCACTAAATAATTAGCATTTATAAAGATTCTTAGTTATCAAGGGCTGCATTGTATTTTATATACTCAGTTTTATAAGGCGATACTTTTAAATAAGCATTTTAATGAAAATGGTTAAACTGAAAATAATTTTGGTCCTTAAAAGGAGTCAGGAGCTTTTATATATAAGGTACATATTTTAAAAGAATACCTCCTTTATAACAGGGTTTTACAGACACTACTGTAATTTATAATCATTGTTTTTTACTTTTGGGTTCACCTAGATCGTATGAGTTGGTATGATACTTCCAGAACAAAATTATTCATAATGTGTTTTTTGTAATTTATGATTTTTAAGTAAGCTTGACTTATAAATTGACATTGTAATTTTGTACATAATTGGATATATGTGCTAAAATTTAACATTTAGATTTATTTAATTGTAGAAAATACAAATGTAAAACTTATACATGGAAAGAACTGTATGCAGTTGACTTTACCATGGAAATTGGAGGGAAACAGTTTTAGATCAATTTTCTTTCAAAATTTTCTTTATTGTAAAGTATGCAAAATATATATTCATACCATTTATTAAATCAGAATGTTTATGCAAAAAAAAAAAAAAGACTGCAGTGAGCTGTAATCACATCACTGTACACCAGCCTGGATGGCAGAGTAAGACACTGTCTCAGAGGAAAAAAAAAAAAAAAAAGGAAAGAGAGAAAAATTGTCTTTAAAAAGCCTCTTTACGGCTGAGCGCGGTGGCTCATGCCTGTAATCCCAGCACTTTGGGAGGCCGAGGCTGGTGGATCACGAGGTCAGGAGATCGAGACTATCCTGGCCAACATGGTGAAACCCCATGTCTACTAAAATACAAAAAACTAGCTGGCTGTGGTGGCATGCGCCTGTAGCCTCAGCTATTCGGGAGGCTGATGCAGGGGAATCGCTTGAAACTGGGAGGCGGAGGTTGCAGTGAGCTGAGATTGCACCACTGTACTCCATCCCGGTGACAGAGCAAGACTCTGTCTTAAAAAAAAAAAAAAAGCCTCTTTACACACTGCAAGTTAGGCACAAAAAGGACCATGTGTCTTCATTGCCATGCTTTGTCTTACAAGGTCCCTGAGGATCATCTGGATTAAGTGGGCTTGATTTACTATTTTCCATCAATTCAGACATTTTTACAATCCTGCCTGGGAGATGATGGCTTGGAGAAAACTGATAAGATGCAAATGTCTTGCCCTGATAGTGATGGGAATGGTTTTTGTCCAGTGACAATGTAAATGCTTGGTGAAAAGAGAACATGAGAAGTTATGTAGTGGCACTGCCCTAGAGGATATGAACTTGCCTGCACCTACCTAATTTGGCAGTCTCATTGTCTCATTTCTGCATTTTTGTTGTTGTTTTTTGAGACAATGTCTTCCTCTGTCTCCTAGGCTGGAGTGCAGTGGCACTGTCTCAGGATCTCGGCTCACTGCAACCTCCGTCTCCCAGGTTCAAGCAATTCTCCTGCCTCAGCCTCCTGAGTAGCTGGGATTACAGATGCCTGCCACCACCCCCAGCTAATTTTTGTATTTTTAATAGAGACGGGGTTTCACCATGTTGGCCAGGCTCGTCTTGAACTCCTGACCTCAAGTGATCCGTCCGCCTTGGCCTCCCAAAGTGCTGGGATTATAGGAGTGAGCCACTGTGCCTGGCCTCTGTGTTCGTTTTTTCCCCTTTCATTGGCTATCCATACATACGTTTCCTTCATTCTGCTTTTAACTGGGTATGTCATATTTCTGCTTCTGTTATTAATGAGTTAAATAAAACATTGGTATTGCTTACTGTGTATTTGTATGAGAATTTTAAAAAAATGTATAAACCTGTGAGAATTGCTCCCAGTAAGGAATCTTAAGTATATAATATCAAGACACCTTGTTGTGTGAAAACATATGAGGCAAAGGATCTGGCACGGAGAAACATTGTTCCTTTTGAGAAACTTTCTTCTTTAAGACCTAAGAAACCTGGCTGGTTTAAGTCGTATGAGATTCTGCATGCCAAGGTAACTGACTTTGAGCTGGAGAGATCCCAATGCTGAAGCAGCCCAGCTTCGCTGCGGGAGGCAACGGTCTCTTCTTCCGTTCTGCCAGGACCTATGGAATGCACTGTGTCTACTTCATGGGACATATGTGTGTGCAATCTCATCAAGCATCCTCTAAGAAGAATGTGTCTCCTAACTCAAGTTTCCCTTGCTTAACTGTCTTTCAGTGGCTCTCATTGACTTATTTTTTTATTTTTTGAGATCAAGTTTTGCTCTTGTTGCCCAGGCTAGAGTGCAATGGCACGATCTCGGCTCACTGCAACCTCTGCCTCCGGGGATCAAGTGATTCTCCTGCCTCAGCCTCCTGAGTAGCTGGGATTACAGGTGTGTGCCACCACACCTGGCTAATTTTGTATTTTTAGTAGAGATGGGGTTTCTCCATGTTGGTCAGTCTGGTCTTGAACTCCTGACCTCAGGTAATCTGCCCACCTCGGCCTCTCAAAGTGCTGGGATTACAGGCATGAGCCACCGTGCCCGGCCCTCTCATTATCCTTTTAACAAATATTTTGAAAATTATATATTCATCAGTCCTTACTTGGAGGAGCCAGATGGATCACGTAGCCATCTCCTATATACAGGGCCCAGTGCTCATAGCCAAGGCGGAAAATCTCAATCAGGTCTCCAGGTTTGGGCTCTTGGTGTGGCTGCAACAGAAAAGCCAGAGATGGAGTACCCGGCCTTCTAGGCAACAGCAGAGACCCTGGCTGGGGGAGCTGCAGCTCATCCTGGAGACGCCTTGCTGATGTTCATCAGCTGCTAGCCCCATGAGATCCTCAGCCCTGCTGTCACTTTCAGAGGCTCTTCTCAGTGGGGGCACTGGGGGCTGGAAGCCTGGAGAATGATCTTGTGGGATGGGAGACAGAAGGACCGTCTGGGCGCATGTGTGACATGTGTGTGCTGTGTGTGTGCATGCTGAGGATGCAGATGTGTGTGCATGTGTGCATTGTACACATGCTCCTCAGTAGGCCGACTCAAGAGCCTGCATGAACCAGCACCTTCACTGAGGCCAGGAGCAAGGCTGGGAAGGTGAGTCTTGAGCTCTCCGCCCTCTGCAGACTGACCCTCAGTTCCTCATCACTCCTGCCCTGTGCCTCTCCATGGCCCCAAGAGCCACCTCCTCCTCAGACCTTGCCCCATCCAGCCTCAGGACACCTATCTCTTGGAGATGACACCCTGGGAGACAGGAGCTCACAGCATCCTGCTGGGACCTGAGTGGGGTCTTGTGGGGCCCCCCAGCTCCCAGCACTGAGGGGGCTCTGCACTCACAGAACAGGCCTCTGTGGGAACTTGTCCTACAATAACTGCACCATCTCCACAGCCCCAGGGGAAGGCATGATCATCCCATTGCACAGATGGGGAAACTGAGGATCAGAGAGGTGGCAGGGCTTTCCTGAGAACACTCAGCTGGAAGGAGGCCGAGCTGGTTCTTCCCTGCACACCCCTCACCCTGGTTCCTGTCTTGGCCACCTTCTTCCCCTTCCTCACCTCCTTCCCACTTCTCCATGTCCTGCCCCAGGGCATAGCAGCCTCATGACTGGAGGATTTTTCCATTTTCACCCTCTCTGTCCCTGTCCTCAGTGGGTGACAGCCTCCTCCTCCCTCATCCCAGGATGTCCCATCATAGACCTGGGGTCTGCTCTCCTTTGCCCTCTTCCTCATGCCAATATCCAGTCACTAAAACCAATCAATGTGGACTCCGGAAGCTTCTCCTTGTTGGTGTGCTTGTCAATATCCCATCCACTGACTTGGTTCAGGCAGCCCCATGCCTGCCTCTGTGACCCCCACAACCCCCTGACCAGCCCCTGCCTCCTGTCCCTGCCACTCCATATCCAACTCCTCAGAACCCATGGTGGCCTTCCCAAGGGCACATCTGGCCATGACCGTCCTCTGACCTCAGGGCCCAGGACACACCCTGTGGGCAGCTCCCAGGCCCTTCCTGACTGGCCCTTCCTCACCCTCCTCTCCCTCCCTGGGCTCTGCACCCACAGGCCCACTGAGTGACATCCCAGCCCCTCACTACTGCCCTGGCTCTGGTCTCTGCTGCTCTGCACATCTGGTTCTCCCTGCCTCCATCACTTCCCTGCAGCCACTCTTCCTCTTCCCCTCCCTCAAACCCCCTCACCTGAGAAGCTGCCCTGATGGCCCCAGCCTGGCTCAGCTGACCCGCCACCCCACTCCTAGGACCTGGGTCCCCGGGGGCCTCTGCTGCTCTCTGCAGGGGTCAAGTTGAGCTGCAATTCCCTGTGCCTCCCTGTGCCCCTCTGGGCTGTGAGCTCCAGGCAGGCAGGATCCTGTGTGCTCCTCCCTCCCTGCACCTCCAGGACCCAGTGAAGGGCCTGGCGTAGAATGGGGCAAGGAAATAGACAAGGAAGAGGGAGGAGAAAGGAGCAGGGCCAGGACTCCCTCCCAGCTCCTCCTCTGTATGTCAGGGCACCACAGGAGATGGTTTCCATGTGGGGAGAGAGAGGGGCTTTTAACTGCAATGCTGAATGTCTAAAACCACAGTCAAGGTACTGGCAACCTCAGCTGGTGGCCAGTGAGATATGAGCTTTGGCCTGGGCTCCCTGTTAAAAGCCCTGATTTGTTTTGGCAGCAGTAAAGCCCTTCCCCAGGATCAGGTGGTGCTGTTGGAGTGGGCTGCCCTCCAGAATTTGCAGGACTCCTTCCCGGAATGGTTTTGTTTCTAGTAATAGCCTGAGCCCCGCTGTTCCTTTTTAGTCACACACCACCGAGCTCAGCCTGCTCTCCCTAGAGCTTCTGCCAATCGGTACATCTGGGCTGATAGGAGGAGAAATTTCAGTTTTCAGAAAGCTGCTGAGATTAGAATGCACCTTAGAAGGCTGGATGATGCCACAGAGGAACGAGGAGAGAGAAAGCATCGTTTGGGGCCGAGAAGGGACTGAGCCCCAGTCACAGCAGAAGCAGACGATGTTGGGATTTGCTTGCTTCCCACAACCCAGAGTCCCCCACCTGCCCACACTCTGGCTTCTCCTCAGGCTGAGGTAGATTTGACACCCGGCACCCCACAGCTCTCTACTACATGGGAGTCCCGGGCTCCCCGCACTGTGCCAGTTACGCAGAGGAGGTGGACTCTGCCCAGAGGACTCCCTGTCCAGCTGGGCAGATGCACTTTTAAAAGACAAATACAGTTTTCCATGACAGCCTTCTAAAGACGAGCTCTGGAGCTGTGTGCCCAAGGCCAGGAGCCTGGACTGAGGCCTTTCCTAGGGGGAGCTGCCCAACTGCTGTAGAGTCAGTAATGCAAAGCCCTGGGAAACTTACCGAAGCCATCTCGAAGCCAAGAGGAGGTCTGGTGCTCCTCTTGTTTGTGGATCAGCTTTTATGCTGAAGGAGAGAATTTCACTTTCACTTTCCTTTTGACACTGTTTCAACCTCACTTAAATACTAAACACTGTTTAAAAGAGACAACTGTTTAAAAAGGAGCTATTTCTCTAGATGGAAGGACTAATCATTTCTTACACAAGCCATGGACTCATTGGTGCTTTAAAGCCACCTTGGGAGCAGCCAGAGTCGAAGGGGAGCCCTGAATTTCTGCCCTTGCTTGAGAAATAAAGGTCTTTTCTTTTTTTTTCTTTTTTGTTTGTTTGTTTGTTTGTTTGTTTGTTTTTTTGAGACAGAGTTTCGCTCTTGTCACCCAGACTGGAGTGCAATGGTGCGATCTCGGCTCATTGCAACCTCTGCCTCCCGGGTTCAAGTGATTCTCCTGCCTCAGCCTCCCAGGTAGCTGGGATTACAGGCACCTGCTGCCATGCCTGGCTCATTTTTCCATATTTAGTAGAGACGGGGTTTCACCATGTTGGCCAGGATGGTCTCGATCTCTTGACCTTGTGATCTGCCTCCCCGTCGGTCTCCCAAAATGCTGGGATTACAGGTGTGAGCCACCGCACCTGGCCAAAATAAAGGTCTCTTCTAAAAAGAACCCTGGGCAGCTCTTCCTACTCCAGGAAGGGGAGGCATTCGGAGGCAGGGAGATGTCAATCCCCAGTGCACCCCATAGGACATTGTCTTGTAAAGACACCCAGAAAATATTGGGCCAGAAGTCTTGGGAGAAGGCCAGAGGGGGTGTTTCATTCCATGGGGATGCCCTGGAGGTGAGGGGTACCTTAGACCATGTGGAGCCTGGGAGCTCATGGCCCCATTAAAATGCATTTGGGTGCAAGAAGCAGAACTAAACTCAAAAGGGCTTCAACAGCCTGGACACCCATTGTCTCGGTAACAGAAAGGCAGGAAGAGGGTGACTCAGGTTGGGTTTAGTGGCTCACCAAGGTCACCAAGGACTCAGCAGGCTGTCTCCATTGCACTGGTCCTGGGTCTGCACTGTTGCCCTGCAGGGACTCCCATGGCTGTAGCAGCCTTGAGTGGCCCATTTTTACCTGGCTATGCCCAAAAGATGGAGGGAAAGATAATTCTCATTTGTCTTTTTTTCAGGGAGTTAAGTCTTTCCCACAGTTCCCCAGATGACCTGTTCCCTTCTCCATTGGCCAGAACTGGGCCATATTTTCACACCCAACCAGAGGCCTAGACAGGTGGATCACTTGAGCCCACGAGTTCAAGACCAGCCTGGCCAACATGGCGAGACCCCGTCTCTGCTAAAAATACAGAAAAAAAAATTAGCCGGGCATGGTGGCATGTGCCTGTACTCTCAGCTACTTGGGAGGCGGAGATGGGAGGATCGCCTGAACCCAGAAGTCAGGCTGCAGTCAGCTGAGATTGCTCCACTGCAGTCTAGCCTGGGCAACTGGAGTGAAACCATGTCTCAAAGCAAAACAAAACAAAAAACCCCCATTTCTGTTGTTTAGGTTAGCATGCCTCTGGGTTTCACTCAAAACACTGTTGAACGATGTTGCTGTGTTTGGGCAGAGCTTCCAGGGACCGCTGTGGATATCATGAGGAAGCCTCAGAGCTTTCTCGGGCAGAGCTTCTACAGGTGTCTTGCCGTGGTCAGTTTCTTTGCTGTTTTTATGGCCCTCTGCAGGAGTGTCCATGGTCATTATCTCAGCCACCTTTTGGTTTCAGTTTCTCATCAGGTCTTGGGGGTGTCTGGCCACAGCAGATGTTATCTTATTACCTCAGTCCTTTATACCTATGTTTATCATTTTGAGGGTTCAGCAGTTTCACTGTGGGCTGAGTCACTTGTCGTAAGTGACTCCATTTTGAAATATTTAGGATCACAAAACTCTTTAAGGGGGCCCCCACAAGAGTCTGCATTCAACAATCCCAGAGTCTGGGTTTTTGCCTTGTGGCATAATAAAAATTTTTATTTTTAAATAAATTTATGCCTTGTAGCATAATAAAAGTTTATTTATGCCTTATGTGGCATGATAAAAAAATATATTTTTGGTCTTTGACCCCAGTTCCAGACACAGAGGTCCTAAGACCCTTGGAATTTCCTGAGTGATAGGATGTCATGTTATTCAGAAGGAGTCTCTGTCAAACAAATCTGAGTTTATGCTAATGAGGTGGCTCTTGGTTGAGGAGGGAGAGCTGGATAACTTCAGGTTGGGGACTGATCACCATTATTTAATCAGTAATGTCTACATTATGCAGCCTCCGTAGAAACCCCTACATGACGGGGTTGGGAGAGCTTTGGGGCAGGTGAACACAGATGTGGTGGGAGACTGGCCTGGCTGGAGAGGGCATGGTGGCAAAGATTCTCTGTGTGACCACATTTTAGTCAGGTTCCCAAACCTCTTCCTAGGCACATCTGTACTTCCTTGTAAAATCTAATTTTAGCAAAGGACCCTGCCAAGTCAGTTTAGCAGGAACTTCCCACCCTCAATATCTGACCGGGTTCATCCTTCTCACTGTCCTCCAGGTGATGTCTGATCACCCCGGCCTGTCTTCAGCAAGAATCCTGTTAGTGTGGTTTAACCAGAATCTCTCTTGCCCCTGAGGTTTCCTCTTTGTAATTTTGCATCCACTGACCTGTATGCTTCTCCTTGCCTATGAATTCCCACTTGCCCGTGCTGTGTTCAAGTTTGAGCCCCATCTCTCTCTCTTGCTGCAAAATCCCAGTGCAGTGGATATCAAGCTTGTATCATTAGATAATTTTTTCTTTAACAATGGAAGCTGTGCACAATCACTGCCCCCCATATTAGTTTCTTCTTAGTTTCTTCCATGTAGCTGTTGCTGAGTTGTATCCTTTATAATAAACTGACAATCATAAGTAAAGCAGTTTTCTAAATTTTGGAAGTTGTTCTAGGGAATTATCAAATTTAAAGGGGATTTAGGGGGTCTCCACCATTTGTAGTCAGCCAGGTAGAAATGTGAGTAGCCAGGGAACTCCATTTGTTGCTGAGCCTGGAGACTTTACCTGTGGAGGCTGAGCCTAACTCTGGATAGTTAGCGTCGGAATTGAGTCGGATTGTTGAACATGCGGTCAGTGTTGGAGAATTGCAGGACTGATTGATGTGGACAAATGACATGTATTTGGTTGCTATCAGAAGAAACCATACATGCCCACTTCTGTTACTCGAAAAAAAACGGGGATCATTCGTTTAGTAACAAACAACTTTTCATGAGAACACAGGTGTGGATCAATAGCAGTTTTATTACTTGGCACAAGTAAGGAGGACACTGTGAGGATTCTCCAAAGCAGTCTTCCCTACGAAAAGTGACAGGAGGGTTTTATGGGTGATGGAGAGGGGAGAGGGTGCATCGGCACATGCAGAGGAGGGGTCCCAGTTGCACAGATGCAGTGAGTCATCGTGCCAACACATAGGTTGCATGCTATGGTAATGAAGCTGTAGCTCCTCCGGGGTGGAGACTTTAGCATGGTAATGAGGAAAGTTCACTCAGATTCATCTGTAGGTTGCTGGGATCTGTTAGGAGCTGGTTTTAACCAACCACATGACTGCATTCTATGCAAGGTTTAGGAAGAAACAGGCTACAGGATGGTAGGCTGTAAAAGGCTGATTGCTGAGTTGATTAAATTCCTATAATCCCTGGAAACCCTTGCTGTCTGCTTACACTTCCAGTTCATTGCAGCTTGTGCTGAGGTTGAAACAGCTTGTGGTAGATAGTGTCAGGTTTTAGCTTAGAGTCAGTTCCAGGCAGCTGGGGTCTGTGAATGCAGGACTCCAAAACAGCCAGTGGCCTTTCTTCAGCAGCACCAAAGCTTAGATGCTGCAGGAGTGACGGCTGTATTCCAAGTGACAAACAAGGCTTTCTGAAGCCTGTTCTGCTTTGTCAGACTTGGAGTCCAAACTGACCCACATCAGGATGGATGGTCTGCTCCAAAGGATCAGACATCTAATCCCACAAGAGCACATTAGCAACGGAGACTGCCTCTCTTTCTCTATTGCCTCTTTTTTTCCTAGAGGCTCCAATAGGTAACAATAATAGCAGAAATAATCAGTTATGAAGACTGATTTGTTTTTAATACTCAAAGAGTTTAAATTCCAACCAGCCCACTGACAGCAAAAATCTAGGAAGTTGTGCTTTACCACCAACACTTTCTTCTTGCAGCTTTCCCTGATTGGGATGATATCTCTAGCATGTATGAAATTACAAGCATATGATATTTTACATTAATTTATATTGTATATCTAGATGCAATAGCTGCTGTAACCCAAAAAATATTTGAGACAGCTTTCAGTCAAAAATTTAGAGATTTATTTAGCTAAGGTTTAGGACACATCCAGGAAAAAAGGAACAGAAAACCATAGGAAACATCTGTGATTCGTGCTTTTTCCAAAGTGCGTCTGGGGACATCATTATTTAAAGGGAAAAGTGTGGGCATTAGGGGAAAGAGAAAAGGGAAAAAAAGGGAGGGTAGATAAAAGAGGCAAGTGGTTGCATTCCTTTGAGTCTTTGATCAGCATTCACTGAATCTGCATTTTACATGTGAAAGGAGGGGGTAGAGGAATAGTTAATTATGCATTCATTTCATGCTTAGTGAATCTGGATTTTTATATAAGCAGTCAAATATGCATTTGTCTCAGGTGAATGGAGGGATGACTTATAGTTCTGTCCTTTCTCCCATACCTGTGATGATAAGCTGTCAATTTACATCATCAGGGTGTCATTCAGCAGAACTGTTTTAGGGTGAAGATCTTGGGGCTCACAAAGAATTCCCTTGTGAGCAAATTGTTAGGGAGTTATATAGCTTTTTATTTTTGTAGCTATCTATTTAGGAACAAAATGGGAGGCAGGTTTGGGTGACCCAATTCCTAGCTTGAATTTTCCCTTTGGCTTAGTGAGTTTGGGTCCCGAGATTTTGTTTTCCTTTCCTGCAGCAAAATAGAAAGCCATTTAAAAATATGTTTTTTCATTGCAAATTTATTTGAAGCCATGGCAGCATTCAGTATTTAGATGTTGAGAAAGACTCTGGCTGGAATTTGGGACAAGGAAATGTTCCCCCTCCACTAACCTACTATAGTAGCGAGGTAGGAGGCTGGCAGGACTTGCTTTCTCGTTGCAGCCCTGTTGATCATGTTGATTGGAGCAGGATGTGGTCAGAACAGTATGCAGTGAAGAAGCCAGCCAAAACTAGCAGAGGGTGATGGAAGTGACCTCTATTTGCCCTCACTGCTCATTAGCATAAGACACTCCCACCAGTGCCATGACAGTTTACAAATACCATTGCAATAGGCCATGGTAATGGCCTGGAAGTTACCTTAGATGGTTCTGGAAACTCTCCACCCTTTTCCAGAAAGTTCTGAATAACCCGTCTCTTAATTAGCATATAATTAAAAGTGGGTATAAGTACAGCTGCCAACAGCCCATATGTTGCCAACTCAGCCCGCTGCCTATGGGTTAGTCCTGCTCTGCAAGGAGCAGTACTGGTTCAAAAAAGTTGCCTTCTCTCACCATAGGCTCATCCTTGAATTCTTTCATGGGCTAAGCTCCAATGTGGTGTGGGGAAAAGCAAGAGAGATCAGATTGTTACTGTGTCTGTGTAGGAAGAAGTAGACATAGGAGACTCCATTTTGTTATGTACTAAGAAAAATTCTTCTGCCTTGAGATTCTGTTAATCTATAACCTTACCCCCAACCCCGTGCTCTCTGAAACATGTGCTGTGTCAACTCAGAGTTGAATGGATTAAGGGCGGTGCAAGATGTGCTTTGTTAAACAGATGCTTGAAGGCAGCACGCTCCTTAAGAGTCATCACCACTCCCTAATCTCAAGTACCCAGGGACACAAAAACTGCGGAAGGCCGCAGGGACTTCTGCCTAGGAAAGCCAGGTATTGTCCAAGGTTTCTCCCCATGTGATAGTCTGAAATATGGCCTCGTGGGAAGGGAAAGACCTGACCGTCCCCCAGCCCGACACCTGTAAAGGGTCTGTGCTGAGGAGGATTAGTAAAAGAGGAAGGAATGCCTCTTGCAGTTGAGACAAGAGGAAGGCATCTGTCTCCTGCCCGTCCCTGGGCAATGGAATGTCTCGGTATAAAACCCGATTGTATGCTCCATCTACTGAGATAGGGAAAAACCGCCTTAGGGCTGGAGGTGGGACCTGCGGGCAGCAATACTGCTTTGTAAAGCATTGAGATGTTTATGTGTATGCATATCTAAAAGCACAGCACTTAATCCTTTACATTGTCTATGATGCAAAGACCTTTGTTCACGTGTTTGTCTGCTGACCCTCTCCCCACAATTGTCTTGTGACCCTGACACATCCCCCTCTTTGAGAAACACCCACAGATGATGAATAAATACTAAGGGAACTCAGAGGCTGGGGGGATCCTCCATATGCTAAACGCTGGTTCCCCGGGCCCCCTTATTTCTTTCTCTATACTTTGTCTCTGTGTCTTTTTCTTTTCCAAATCTCTCGTCCCACCTTATGAGAAACACCCACAGGTGTGTAGGGGCAACCCACCCCTACAATGTGGGGCCCAAACATGGGACACAGATTTGGCATGGGACACAGATCCAAACCAGTCCAAACTGGGCCCACTGCCTGTCTTACAAGACCCATGAATACAGCTATTCTCATTTATTTTTGTATTGTCTATGGCTGCTTTTGTGCTACAGTGGCAGATTGTGTGGCCTCCTGGCATGCGAGGCCTAACATATTTATTACTTGGGTCTCTGCTGACCCCCTGGGCTAGAGGTTTATCAATTTTATTGATCTTCTCAAAGAACCAGCTTTAGACTGATTGATTTTTTTCTTTTTCTACTTTATTTATTACTTCTTCTATCTTTATTACATTTTCTTTCTTTGCTTGTTTTGGTTTTCATATGCTTCCTCCCCCTTCTTTTTTTTTCTTTTCTGGCCAATTGCTGAAAACCTGGCTCCCCTACTTCCTTGAGGTAAAAGCTTAGATCATTGATTTGAGACATATCTTCTTTTCTAATATAAGCTAATACTATAAACTTCTCTGTAAACACATTTTTAGCTATATTCCTCTGAGACTGTAGGAATAAAAAATGTCAGGCCTCTGAGCCCAAGCCAAGGCATTGCATCCCCTCTGACTTGCACGTATATGCCCAGATGGCCTGAAGTAACTGAAGAATCACAAAAGAAGTGAATATGCCCTGCCCCACCTTAACTGATGACATTCCACCACAAAAGAAGTGAAAATGGCCGGTCCTTACCTTAAGTGATGACATTACCTTGTGAAAGTCGTTTTCCTGGCCTCATCCTGGCTCAAAAACCTCCCCAACTGAGCACCTTGCAACCCCCACTCCTGCCTGCCAGAGAACAAACTCCCTTTGACTGTAATTTTCCTTTACCTACCCAAATCTTATAAAACGGCCCCACCCCTATCTCCCTTTGCTGACTCTCTTTTCGGACTCAGCTCGCCTGCACCCAGGTGATTAAAAGCTTTATTGCTCACACAAAACCTGTTTGGTGGTCTCTTCACACGGACGCGCATGAAAAAAAACAACGTGCTTTTTCTATTCTCTCATTCAACAATAATCAACAAAACGTCTTCTGTGACCTCTGCTCACCAAGAAATGTGTGATTTGTCCCCACCAACTACTCATTCATCAATTCTGCAGCAGACATCAGCTGTGTGTCCTCTCATTCTGTTCAATTTTGACACTAATTGGAGATAATGTCAGATCCCACAGGTTGAGGGCTCAGTTGCACAAGATTCTCCCCAACTTCTGATGTGAATTGCCAGCTTCAGGTTGTTTTACTTGTGTTTCTGATTAGCTGTGTATAAACTGGGGTTCCCAGGACCTCCTCATTGGGTTTGGTTAATTTGCTAGGGCAGCTCACAGAACTCAGGCAAACACTTACTTACACTTACCTGTGGGGAAAAGCAAGAGAGATCAGATTGTTACTGTGTCTGTGTAGAAAGAAGTAGACATAGGAGACTCCATTTTGTTCTGTACTAAGAAAAATTCTTCTGCCTTGAGATTCTGTTAATCTATAACCTTACCCCCAACCCCGTGCTCTCTGAAACATGTGCTGTGTCAACTCAGAGTTGAATGGATTAAGGGCGGTGCAAGATGTGCTTTGTTAAACAGATGCTTGAAGGCAGCACGCTCCTTAAGAGTCATCACCACTCCCTAATCTCAAGTACCCAGGGACACAAAAACTGCGGAAGGCCGCAGGGACCTCTGCCTAGGAAAGCCAGGTATTGTCCAAGGTTTCTCCCCATGTGATAGTCTGAAATATGGCCTCGTGGGAAGGGAAAGACCTGACCGTCCCCCAGCCCGACACCCGTAAAGGGTCTGTGCTGAGGAGGATTAGTATAAGAGGAAGGCATGCCTCTTGCAGTTGAGACAAGAGGAAGGCATCTGTTTCCTGCCCGTCCCTGGGCAATGGAATGTCTCGGTATAAAACCTGATTGTACGTTCTATCTACTGAGATAGGGAAAAACCGCCTTAGGGCTGGAGGTGGGACATGCGGGCAGCAGTACTGCTTTGTAAAGCATTGAGATGTTTATGTGTATGCATATCTAAAAGCACAGCACTTAATCCTTTACCTTGTCTATGATGCAAAGACGTTTGTTCACGTGTTTGTCTGCTGACCCTCTCCCCACAATTGTCTTGTGACCCTGACACATCCCCCTCTCGGAGAAACACCCAGGAATGATCAATAAATACTAAGGGAACTCAGAGGCTGGCGGGATCCTCCATATGCTGAACGCTGGTTCCCCGGGCCCCCTTATTTCTTTCTCTATACTTTGTCTCTGTTTCTTTTTCTTTCCTAAGTCTCTCATTCCACCTTACGAGAAACACCCACAGGTGTGGAGGGGCAACCCACCCCTTCACTTACCAGTTTATTACAAAGGCTATTTTAAAGGATACAAACAAAGAGATGCATGGGGTAAGACATGCAGGAAGGGGTGCAGAGGTTCCATGGCCTCTCTGGGTGCTCCATCCTGTGTATCCAGATTACAGGCATGAGCCACTGCACCTGGCCTGGGATTACAGGCATGAGCCACTGCACCTGGCCTGCGTATTATTTTATACATTTATAGGTCATTTGGGTTTTTCCTTCTGTTTATTATTGACTCATGACTGTAAACCAAAAAGTATCTGAGACAGGTCTCACTCAATTTAAAAGTTTATTTTTGCCAAAGTTAAGGACATGGACAGAGAAAAGGATCATAAAATCCACAGGAACAATCTGTGGTCCATACTGTTTTCCAAAGGTGATTTTGAGAGCTCCTAAATTTAAAGAGGGTAAGTGGGTTGGAGGGGAAAGAGGGAGGGTATGATCACATTACTGGATGCACATTTTTTTTTCTGTTTTTGAGACAGTCTCACTCTGTCCCATCAATGGTGTGATCTCGGCTCACTGCAACCTCTGTCTCCTGGGTTCAAGCCATTCTCCTGCCTCAGCCTCCTGAGTAGCTAGGATTACAGGCGTGTGCCACAATGCTTGGCTAATTTTTTTTTCTTTTTATTTTATTATTATTATACTTTAAGTTTTAGGGTACATGTGCACAAAGTGCAGGTTTGTTACATATGTATACATGTGCCATGTTGGTGTGCTGCACCCATTAACTCATCACTTAGCATTAGGTATATCTCCTAATGCTATCCCTCCCCCCTTCTCCCCACCCCACAGCAGTCCCCAGAGTGTGATGTTCCCCTTCCTGTGTCCATGTGTTCTCATTGTTCAATTCCCACCTATGAGTGAGAACATGCGGTGTTTGGTTTTTTGTCCTTGCAATAGTTTGCTGAGAATGATGGTTTCCGGTTTCATCCATGTCCCTACAAAGGACATGAACTCTTCATTTTTTATGGCTGCATAGTATTCCATGGTGTATATGTGCCACATTTTCTTAATCCAGTCTATCATTGTTGGACATTTGGGTTGGTTCCAAGTCTTTGCTATTGTGAATAGTGCCGCAATAAACATACATGTGCATGTGTCTTTATAGCAGCATGATTTATAATCCTTTGGGTATATACCCAGTAATGGGATGGCTGGGTCAAATGGTATTTCTAGTTCTACATCCCTGAGGAATCGCCACACTGACTTCCACAATGGTTGAACTAGTTTGCAGTCTCACCAACAGTGTAAAAGTGTTCCTATTTCTCCACATCCTCTCCAGCACCTGTTGTTTTAATGATTAGTCAGTCCAGCACCTGACTTTTTAATGATCGCCATTCTAACTGGTGTGAGATGGTATCTCATTGTGGTTTTGATTTGCATTTCTGTGATGGCCAGTGATGATGAGCATTTTTTCATGTGTTTTTTGGCTGCATACATGTCTTCTTTTGAGAAGTGTCTGTTCATATCCTTTGCCCACTTTTTGATGGGATTGTTTGTTTTTTTCTTGTAAATTTGTTTGAGTTCATTGTAGATTCTGGATATTAGCCCTTTGTCAGATGAGTAGGTTGTGAAAATTTTCTCCCATTTTGTAGGTTGCCTGTTCACTCTGATGGTAGTTTCTTTTTCTGTGCAGAAGCTCTTTAGTTTAATTAGATCCCATTTGTCAATTTTGGCTTTTGTTGCCATTGCTTTTGGTGTTTTAGACATGAAGTCCTTGCCCATGCCTATGTCCTGAATGGTATTGCCTAGGTTTTCTTCTAGGGTTTTTATGGTTTTAGGTCTAACATGTAAGTCTTTACTCTATCTTGAATTAATTTTTGTATAAGGTGTAAGGAAGGGATCCAGTTTCAGCTTTCTACATATGGCTAGCCAGTTTTCCCAGCACCATTTATTAAATAGGGAATCCTTTCCCCATTGCTTGTTTTTGTCAGGTTTGTCAAAGATCAGATAGTTGTAGATACGTGGCATTATTTCTGAGGGCTCTGTTCTGTTCCATTGATCTATATCTCTGTTTTGGTACCAGTACCATGCTGTTTTGGTTACTGTAGTCTTGTAGTATAGTTTGAAGTCAGGTAGCATGATGCCTCCGGCTTTGTTCTTTTGGCTTAGGATTGACTTGGCGATGTGGGCTCCTTTTTGGTTCCGTATGAACTTTAAAGTAGTTTTTTCCAATTCTGTGAAGAAAGTCATTGGTAGCATGATGGGGATGGCATTGAATCTATAAATTACCTTGGGCCGTATGGCCATTTTCACGATATTGATTCTTCCTACCCATGAGCATGGAATGTTCTTCCATTTGTTTGTATCCTCTTTTATTTCATTGAGCAGTGGTTTGTAGTTCTCCTTGAAGAGGTCCTTCACATCCCTTGTAAGTTGGATTCCTAGGTATTTTATTCACTTTGAAGCAATTGTGAATGGGAGTTCACTCATGATTTGGCTCTCTGTGTGTCTGTTATTGGTGTATAAGAATGCTTGTGATTTTTGTACATTGATTTTGTATCCTGAGACTTTGCTGAAGTTGCTTATCAGCTTAAGGAGATTTTGGGCTGAGACGATGGGGTTTTCTAGATATACAATCATGTCATCTGCAAACATGGACAATTTGACTTCCTCTTTTCCTAATTGAATGCACTTTATTTCCTTCTCCTGCCTAATTGCCCTGGCCAGAACTTCCAACGCTATGTTGAATAGGAGTGGTGAGAGAGGGCATCCCTGTCTTGTGCCAGTTTTCAAAGGGAATGCTTCCAGTTTTTGCCCATTCAGGATGATATTGGCCATGCGTTTGTCATAGATAGCTCTTATTATTTTGAGATACGTCCCATCAATACCTAATTTATTGAGAATTTTTAGCATGAAGGTTGTTGAATTTTGTCAAAGGCCTCTTCTGCATCTATTGAGATAATCATGTGGTTTTTGTCTTTGGTTCTGTTTATATGCTGGATTACATTTATTGATTTGCATATGTTGAACCAGCCTTGCATCCCAGGGATGAAGCCCACTTGATCATGGTGGATAAGCTTTTTGATGTGTTGCTGGATTTGGTTTGCCAGTATTTTATTGAGGATTTTTGCATCGATGTCCATCAGGGATATTGGTCTAAAATTTTCTTTTTGTTGTTTCTTGGCCAGGCTTTGGTATCAGGATGATGCTGGCCTCATAAAATGAATTAGGGAGGATTTCCTCTTTTTCTATTGATTGGAATAGTTTCAGAAGGAATGGTACCAGCTCCTCCTTGTACCCATGTAGTACACATGGCCCTTGTGGCTCATGTGGCTTCTCCAGGTAAGAACACATCTTTTTGTTTCAATATCAGCCTTGACCTTAGAAGTATGAACCTTTGCTAAACCAGTACCAATAGTATGTTCTGATGAGCTGGTTATCTTTTCTTTGTGAAAATTAAAAACTATAGACCTATATTCTGTATGGGATGGAATTTGTTCTACATCAATTAAGTTTGATTTTTTTTGTAAGCCCTCTTGCATGGTCCAAATGTGCCAGGTGACATGAGAAATGAGAGGAGTTTCTTATAAGAGCTTTTGCATTCAACTGTAAAATGGCAACCCACTCTGGCTCCCCTCTTCACTATGGAGAGCTTTCTTCTTTCGCTTATTAAACTTTTACTTCAACCTCACCCTTTGGAGCCATGCTCCTTAATTTTCTTGGTCATGAGACAATGAACTCAGATAACACTTCAGACAATGAGACCATTGACCATTGACCTGTTTCACTGTGAGGAGTCATATAAGTCAATAAGCCCAACCCATGTACACAAAGCTTCCAATTAGCATTTTAGTGCCTCACTCTTGAATATAAACAAACCACTTGGCTGGGTGCAGTGGCTCACACCTGTAATCCCAGCACTTTGGGAGGCTGAGGCAGGCAGATCACCTGAGGTCAGGAGTTCAAGACCAGCCTGGGCAACATGGTGAAAACCCATCTCTTGCAAAAATACAAAAATTAGCCTGGCTTGATGGCATGTGCCTGTATTCCCAGCTACCCAGGAGGCTGAAGCAGGAGAATTGCTTGAACCCAGGAGGCAGAGGTTGCAGTGAGCTGAGATCATGCCACTGCACTCTAGCCTGAGTGACAGAGCGAGACTCCATCTCAAACAAACAAACAAAAACAACAAAAACACAAACAACTAAGGATTGCCAGGCATTTGAGGAAATCCTCTAATTTGAAAGATAGACAGCAAAATACACAAATAACTAACAAATAAGCTTCAAGAAAACAAAGAAAATATGGCAAGCAGAAGAAAATTTACAAAAGCATCATTTATTGTTGAGCACCCGATTCTGTTGCTGTTCGGGGTGCCACTATGTAAACCGTATGGACCTAGGGGGACTGAAGAAAGGGTGGGGGGGTCGAACGTGGAATAAAAGACAAGAGACAAAAGAGTATATTAGGAAGAAGGGGTCGGGGGCAACTTGCCTCTAGTGGACAAGGGCGCTGAGCTTTACACAGCCCTCCATATTTATTAGGCAAAAGAGATAGTGAAAAGGGGGGTGGAAAAAGGGGTCAGAGTAGGCTTGCAAGACTGCATTCCCTAGATCTCCCAGTAGATAACCTCAAGGAACTTGGTGCCAGGAAGCGATTGCCCTCAGCAAACATTGTGTCGGCAGGAGCAGTCGTGAGTTTGCTCACATCCTGCATTTATGATAAACAGTTTGCTGTTTGATCATATAGCCTCCAGTGGAATGCTGAGTTGGTCACATCCCACGGGTCTTCGGCTCCCTATAATTTATATCATGGAAGAGAGAAGAGAAAATATATTCAGGAAACAAGAACAGGAGGCTATAAAAAAAGAAATATTTAGCTGGGCATGGTGGCTCATGACTGGAATCTTAGCACTGTGGGAGCCTGAGGCAGGTGGATCACTTGAGGTCAGGAGTTTGAGACCAGCCTGGCTAACATAGCGATACCTCATCTCTACTAAAAATACAAAAATTAGCCAGGAGTGGTGGAGCACACCTGTAATTCCAGCTACTCAGGAGGCTGAGGCATAAGAATCACTTGAACCTGGGAGGTGGAGGCTGCAGTGAGCTGAGATTGCGCCACTGCATTCCAGCCTGGGTGACAGAGTTGAGACTCTCTCAAGAAAATATATATAAATAAAATTAAATTAAATTAAAAAAGAAACATTTAGGGAATAAGATAGTAGTTTTGGTTTTCTTGCTGAAAAATTGAAACTGAATCTGATCAAAACTCTAGATGAAAAGAAGTACAGGAGACAGTGGAGTATTTTAAACAATGCCCTAGGGATTAACCAGCAGAATTCAGACTCTGAGAAGCTCTATAAGGAAAAGTTATCAGTTTTATCCCCAACAATAAAATGTAAGAAAAAAAGAAAGGAAGATGGAATCTATGGATTAAAGACCTAGAGTACATATAAACAATTGATGACCTTGCACAGAAAAGAGACAATCCAGAATCTAAGGCTATGATAGTATTGATGGATGGATAAGTAAAATTATAAGCTAATTTATGAACTTAATGCAAGAACAGTAGTATCAGTAAATGAAATGCAGCAATGTATTCATTAAAAATTCATTTACTCCAGGAATTTAAGGAATTTAAAGATACTTATAGCATGAAATTAGAAAGCCTATTAATGTAATTTACCTCATTAACAGATTAGAAAAAATATGATCATATCAGTAAACGCAGAAGACAGACTTGACACTCACTCATGAAAAAAATGAAAGTGTATCTTAACAAACTAAGAAAAAATGAAAATCTCTTTACCCTAAAAATAGTATCTATTCCCAACCTATGATAATCATCATATTTAATAGTGAAATCTTAATTGCATTTCCCTGTGGTCAGGAACAGGTCAAGGATGCCTGCTAACCACACTGCTACTCAACAGTGTGCAAGAATTCTTGGCCAATGTCATATAATAAAGGAAGCATGAGGGAGAGAGGAAGGAAGCGAGGGAATGTGGTTGGGAGTGGGGGGAAGAGTGAGAGACAGAGAGGGAGAGGGAGATTGGAAAGGAAGAAATCAGAAATCATTATTTTTTGCAAGTGGTAAGATTACCTATCTGTTTGTTTGTTTATTTATTGAGACAGAGTCTTGCTCTGTCCCCCAGCCTGGAGTGCAGTGGTGTGATCTCGGCTCACTGCAACCTCTGCCTCCTGGGTTCAACAGATTTTTGTGCCTCAGCTTCCTGAGTAGGCAGGATTACAGGCATGTGCCACCATGCCCAGCTAATTTTTTGTATTTTTAGTAGAGACGGAGTTTCGCCATGTTGGCAAGGCTGGTTTCAAACTCCTGACCTCAAGCGATCCACCTGCCTCGGCCTCCCCAAGCGCTGGGATTACAGGTGTAAGCCACTGTGCCAGGGCAAGATTGTCTATTTGAACTAATAAAATATATATAATTTTAGCAAGTTTGCTAGGAACGAGATTAATATACATAAATCAGGTGCATTTTTGTACCAGTATCAAGTAAGTACAATTTTTTAAAAAGATAGCATTTACAAATCACACACAAAGCTATAAAGTGCCTAAGTATAAATCTAACAAAAGTTGTGCGATGCCCCAGTAAAAACAAACACACACATCTTATGTTACCAGAGCAACCCTGGAGACATAGCTGAGAAAGCTTGTTATTTTCTTAAACAGTAGATAACTAAGAAAGCTCATTGTTCTTCCTTAAACAGGTTTTTAAATCATTTTACCTACAGGTATGTTTGCTTAAGAGAACTTCAGATGGCCCAGGAGGCTGCTGGAGCCTCAGGACTCTTTGGCAATTACTAGAGGAAGATAAGGTCAGAGCAAGACCCCAGCAAACTGAGCTGGTGATGCCTTGTTACCTTCAGATCATTAACGTATCATTATAATGCTAAAGTCCTGTATTAGGCCACGCAGCTGATAAAGACATATCTGAGACTAGGCAATTTACAAAATAAAGAGGTTTAATTGGACTAATAGTTCCACATGGCTGGGGAAGCCTCACAATCATGGTGGAAGGCAAAGAGGAACAAGTCACATCTTACATGGATGGCAGAGGCAAAGAGATAAGTCGAAACTGAAGAAGACAGAAGTGCAAGAGAAAAATCCACTGCCTTCCAAAGAAATGATTGAACAGGAGAAGCAAGCTGGTGAATCGTAATGAGGCATGTGCTGCCAATATGCACTGTACATTCCACAAGCATTGCTTTCTTATTTTACTTATTTTAGCTGTTTAACTTTGTAAGATGCATAGAGGTTGGATCAAGTTTAAATGACTCTGCTGCCCCTTTCACACCAAAGAACTACTGACAATGAAGGCCAAGCCTGCCACTCCCATCTGACTTTCTGGCTGGCAGAAAAGGAAAGAACGTGCATGTTGGTGAAGGAAGAAGTGGGGTGGAAAAAGTGGGGTGGGACAACAATGAAATCTAGAGTAAAACCAAGCTGGCCCAAGGTGTCATGCAGCCTGTAATACTGTTTAATCAGAGTGCCATTTTTTTTTTGTTCAAATGATTTTAAGTATTGGAATGCAAAATTTTCAAAAATATGCAAATAGAAGTTTAAAAACTTTTTTAAAAAAAGGGGGGGACTCCTCTTTTTAAAACCATCAGATCTCAGGAGACTTATTCATTATCACGAGAACAGCCTGGGAAAGGCTTGCCCCCATGATTCAATTACCTCCCACTGCGTCCCTCCCACAACACATGGGAATTCAAGATGAGATTTGGGTGGGGACATAGCCAAACCATATCAAATCCCCACCCCTAGAAGAAAATTGCTGCCATTTTCTGAACATACCTCATATGAAGAAGCATGTTTATGATCTGTAACTGCACATCTGGAGTTCCTCCCTGTACATGCTTACATACATACCTCCCCGCCCCACATCTAATTCCTTAAAGTTCCCTGGATTCCATCACCTTCGGAAGGGGTTCTTTAGAAAAAGAGCTCACTCCTCCGTTCCTGACCAGCAATAAAATCTGCTTGCCTTTTTTTCCAATTGGATATTCTTTCTTGGCTATCAATACAAAGTAAGGAAAGAACTTGGTTTCCCAGTGACAGAAGGAAATAAAGGATGACCAAAATAAATTGAGGGATATACTGTATATATGATTGGGAAGAAGCAATGTAGAGATGCAAGCTCCTCTGTGCCCCTAAAAATCTATACACAGAATACATTTTAATAAAAATATCCTATAAAACATTTGTGGAAATTGAGGTTTATCTTCTTTTAAAAAATAATTTCAACTTTTATTTTAGATTCAGAGAGTACCTGTGCAGGTTTGTATATTGTGTAAAGCTGAGGTTTGGGGTGTGAATTATCCCGTCACTCAGGTAGTGAGCATAATACCCAATGGTTTTTCAACCCTTTCTCCCATTCCTTCCTTCTTTTCTCCCTCCAGTCTAGTAGTCCCCAGAGTCTATTGCCATCTCTTTGTCCATGACCACCCAATGTTTAGCTCCTACTTATAAGTGAGAATATATGGTATTTGGTTTTCTGTTCTTCTGTTAATTCACTAAGGATAATGGCCTCCAGCTGCATCTATGTTGCTGCAAAGGACATAGTTTCATTCTTTTTTATGACTGTGTAGTAATCCATGGTGTATATGCACCACATTTTCTTCATCCAATCCTCTGTTGACAGGCACCTAGGTTGATTCCATGTCTTTGCTATTGTGAATAGTGCTGCAATTAACATACAAGTCCGGCTGGGCATGGTGGCTCACGCCTGTAATCCCAGCACTTTGGGAGGCCGAGGTGGGCGGATCACGAGGTCAGGAGATCAAGACCATCCTGGCTAACATGGTGAAACCCTGTTCTACTAAAAAAAAAAAAATACAAAAAATTAGCCGGGCATGGTGGTGGATGCCTGTAGTCCCAGCTACTCGGGAGGCTGAGGCAGGAGAATGGCGTGAACCTGGGAGGTGGAGCTTGCAGTGAGCCAAGATCGTGCCACTGCACTCCAGCCTGGGTGACAGAGCAAGACACCGTCTCAAAAAAAAAAAAAAAATGCAAGTCCAAGTGTCTTTTTGGTAGAATGATTTTCTTTTGGATGTATACCCAGTAATGGGATTGCTGGATCAAATGGTAGTTCTGTTTTAAGTTCTTTGAGAAATCTCCAAAGTGCTTCTCACAGTGACTGAACTAATGTACATTCCCACCAACAGTGCATAAGCATTTTCTTTTCTCTGCAGGCTCACCAGCATCTGCTGTTTTTGACCTTTTAATAATAAACATCCTGACTGGTATGAGATGATATCCTCTTGTGGTTTTGAGTTGCATTTCTCTGACGATTAGTGATGATGAGCATTTTTTCATGTGTTTATTGGCCACTTGTATGTCTTCTTTTGAGACCTGTCTATCATGCCTTTTGTCCACTTTTGGATGGGGTTTTTTCTTGTTAAGCTCCTTATAGATTCAGGATATTAGACCTTTGTGGGATGTACACTTTGTGAATATACTATTTTTCTCTCATTCTGTGTGGTGTCTGTTTATTCTGTGGATAGTTTCTTTTGCTGCCCAGAAGCTCTTTAATTAGGTCCCACTTGCCAATTTTTGTTTTTGTTGCCATTGCTTCTGAGGACTTAGTCACAAATTCTTTTCCAAGATCAGGGTCCAGAATGGTGTTTCCTAGGTTTTCTTCTAGGATTCTTATAGTTCAAGGTCTTACTTTAAATCTTTAATCCATCTTGTGTTAACTTTTGTACATGGTGAATGGTAGAGGTCCAGCTTTAAAATGTGTTAGACTGGGTAACTTATAAACAACAAATTTATTGTTGACAGTTCTGGAGGCTGGAAAATTCAAGAGCAAAGCACTGGCAGATTTTGTTTCTGGTGAAGGCCTGCTTCCCATTTCATAAACGCCTGTTTTCTTGCTGTAATCTCACATGGTGGTAGGGGTGAGGGAGCTCTCTGGAGTCTCTTTTATTTTATTTATATATATATATTTTTTTTTTGAGACAGAGTCTGGCTCTGTCACACAGGCTGGAGTGCAGTGGTATGATGTTGGCTCAATGCAATCTCTGCCTCCCGGGTTCAAGCGATTCTCCTGCCTCAGCCTCCTGAGTAGCTGGGATTACGGGCGTGTGCCACCATGCGCAGCTAATTTTTGTGTTTTTAGTAGAAACGGGGTTTTGCCATGTTGGCCAGGCTGGTGTCGAACTCCTGACTTCAGGTGATCTGCCTGCCTTGGCCTCCCAAAGTGCTGGGATTACAGGCGTGAGCCACCTCGCCCGGCCTGGAGTCTCTTTTATAAGGGCACTAATCCCATTCATGAAGGCTCCACCTTCATGACCTAATCACCCTCCAAAGTCCCCACCTCCAAACACCATTTCCTTGGGTGCTAGGATTTCAACATATAAATTTTAGTTGGGAGGACACAAACATTCAGACCATGGCACATATATTACTGTATAATGTATACTATGCTATATATATGTATATATGGTATATATTATATACAGTTATATATAATTCTTAAATTATTTCTCATTTAATCTTGCTCTTTCCTTGGTGGTGGTCCTTCGTTTGTCTTGTCTGTACTTTTCGACTTGCAAGGTTCTTTGATTCCTCTCAAGCCTCCAGCTCCGATGTCCATCTTTATCTGGAAGCTCTAGTGTGCCTGTGTACTCTAGATAATGGTTTATGGTTAAGAGCCGCAAACTCTGCAGACAGAATCCCTGGGTTCTAATCCCATGACTTACTCACTGTGTGATCTTGGCAAATTAGCCTTTCTGTGCGTCAGTTTCTTATGTTATAAAATGAGGATATTAACAGCATCTACTTGTCTCAGAGACTGTGGCTATCCACCAAAATCCATTCTCCCTGTTTTTTATAGTAATAGAATAAAACTATTCTGTTATTTTATGACTACTCTATTTCATGTGGCTGGTCTTATGTGTCCCACTGAAGAACATTTCCAGCCTCCCTTGCAGGTAGTGTGACCGAGACTGAGTGCCTGCAGATGAAATGTGACTGTAGCTGGTGTGTGTCGGACCCATGTCTGGGGCTTATGATATCAGGTGGGTCTTGTCCACTGCCACTACTAGCCTTCTCAGTGGGTGAGGCCAAGATAGGGTGGCAGCTGAGCTTGGGCCACAGAGACAATGATGATGCCCTGGGGGTGGTGGAACAATGGCTAGGACAGACCCTGAATGTCTCCAGGGAGCAGAGCTGCCCTGCTAAGCTGGACCATTGTCTCTAGAATTGCTAGATGAGAACGAAATAAATAAATAACCTTATTTATTTATTTGACCACAAATAAATAAATAATAAAGAATAAATGACCACATTCTTTAAGCCATTGTATTTTGGAGTATCTTTGTTAGTCTACAACACTTGCCTCTGTGAGTGCAGTCCAGGCCCTGAAGGCAGATGGAGCCATATCCCAGGCTCCTGGTGGAGGAAGGTGCAGAGTTCGAGGAACCTTTGCACTCTTGTGCCTTCCCTCAGGCCCAAAGCTCCTGTAGACTCAGTCTCGTGACCCCAGAGGTGAACCAGGCCTGATGTGCTGGTGTCAGGTGGATGGTTTAATGAGGGGAGGAGAGTGGGGCCCTGGGAGTGGGCTGACCTTCTTGTTTTCTGGCGGTATTTCCCTGGAACCATCCTCAGGAGTGGACACAGTAGAGCTGGACACTTCCACTGATCCGGAGCTCCCGCAGCTGCTCCAGGGCCTGCTGGTTCATGCTGGTGGCCCCCAGCCCCTGCCCATTGAGCGCCAGCTTCAGCCCTCCCTCCTGGAACAGGAGCAGCACCTGGGAAAGGAGGACATGAGGGGGTTGCAGCTTCCAGCCAGACTTTCCCTTGTCTGCCTGACGCTCTCTCCAGTGAGACCCTCCTCCTCTCATAGGACACGAAGACTGGACCCAGGGGGCACCCAGTACAGTGCTGGAAAAGAACAGGATAAGGGGCCCGGCTTGTCACCAGCCCACTGTGGTCTTTGACAAGGATCTTCCCAGCCTTGGGCCTCAGTTTCACCACCTGTAACTGGGGCTGCTTCCTGTAGAGGAGTGGTTCTGCACGTCGGAATCATTAGGGGAGCTTTTTAATAAAGCTGATGCCTGGGCCCCCCCCCACCTGCATCAATTGAGTTTCTGGCCATGGGATCCCTGGCATCAGAGTGGAGCGTTGAGGACTGCTGTACAGACATTCGCTGTGCTCTGCTGGCTCTGGCCTCCCACCCCATAACATCTGTCCTGCACACCTGCCCCAGCATCTCCCAGGTCATTATGGGACTTCAGCTCTGTGCTCCAGCCTGAAGGGATGTAATCATTTGGCTCTGACCTACCTCAAAGAATCTCTGGGGGTAAAAGAGGAAGGGGGCTGAGATCAGTTTCTTCTGCCCCCAGCGGGAGATCCAGGCCAGAGTTCTGTCTGCGAAGGAGGCCCTGAGTGTCACAGGAGCATGGGCAGCCTGGTCCCTCAGGCTCACAGTAAAACTGCAGGAAGCAGGAGGAAGGAGAAGGAATCAGCGCCCATTGCCCATAGGCCGCTGCTCAGCCCCCAGGGGAAGGATGGAGGTCAGGGAGTGGATGGAAGGTTGAGCTGCTTCAGCCTCCAGAAACAAGCACTGAGGGCCTATGACAGCCTCATGGCTGAATGCTCAGAACAGTGGAAAGAACACGAGTTCTAGATGAACTTGAGATTGACCTCCAGGGTTGCCATCTATGACTACAGGAGGATGGGGGTGGGAGGGAAGTGTGTGAAAATTGCCTAGCCTGAGCTTCAGTTTCTCCTCCTGAAAATGGGGATGATTATGATGATGATAGCTACAGCTAACATTTATTGAATGCTAACTAAGTGCCAGGTATTATCTTAAATGTTTTCCAAACAGCATAGTGGTTAGAGTCAGGCAGTCCCGATTCAACCCTGGCTCTGCTACTTTCTAGTCCTGTGACCTTGGGCAAGACTCTTAATCTCTCTGTGCCTCAGTTTCCTCATCTGTAATGTGACGATAACATAACTGCCCTGTACCTGCCTGTGGCATTGTTGTAAGAATTAAATGAATACATAAAAAAATGCTTATTTAGAATAGCACCTGGAACGTAATAAGCATTCAGATGATACCTATTGTTTAAAAATATTGCTATATAATACAATCTCTACCTCATAGAGCCAAAAAAAAAAAGGAACAAAGGAGATAATGTATGTGAAAACTAGCAATTCCTAGCACACAGTAGGTGTTTTACAGAAGCTAGTTTGCCTTTCCTTAATCCTCACAAATTCTGTGCTGTGAGGTTTGTCAGCCCATTTAAGTGATGAGGACAAGAAGTTAAATGACTTCTCTGTTACTAGTAATAGTGGTAGGGCCTTAGGTTAGGATGTGAACTAGGATTCATGACTCTAGATTTGGGGGTGGGGGGATCTGGCACCTGCCTCTCAAATAGGGCAACCGGATTATATTATTTTTCTTTATTTTATTTTATTTTTTTGAGACAGAGTCTTGCTCTGTCACCAAGCTGGAGTGCAGTGGCACGATCTCGGCTCACTGCAACCTCTTCCTCCCAGGTTCAAGCAGTTCTCCTGCCTCAGCCTCCGGAGTAGCTGGGACTACAGGCGCATGCCCGCACCGCCCAGCTAATTTTTGTATTTTTAGTAGAGATGGGGTTTCACTATGTTGGCCAGGGTGGTCTCGATCTCTTGACCTTGTGATCTGCCCACCTTGGCCTCCCAAAGTGCTGGGATTACAGGCTTGAGCCACCGCGCCCGGCCCAGATTATTTTTATGTCTTGGGAACTTCCCAAGTTTCCTTCTTGAAGAGCTATGCTGGAGAAGGCGCGGCATCCTGATGGGATGCAGAGGCAGGTAAGGTAGGGGAAAAGGCCGCCCTGGACAGGCCTTTCAAGGGCTATTGGTAGATCCTTACAGGAGGAGGCCCCGTAAGTTTCCAACTTTGGGAAGGAGGTGGCCAGGGCCCAATGTTGGGAAGAAGCTTGGAAGGCAGGAACCCTGGAGAGTGGACTGCGTGGAGCCTCCAGCCCCACTATGGCTCCCCCTACCCCGTCCTGCCAGACAACACTGTGTCTTCCTCTGGCCTGCGAACTCCTGGTGAGGAGGCCTCAGTGTCTCCCTACCTCACCTTCATGCAGCTCAGCCCGCCAGATCACTGGATAATCATGAATCACTAGATGCCCACTAGATCACTGAATAATCACAAATCACCAGATGCCCAGTGAAGCTCTGTTGAAGCTCTTTGAGGCTGCAGTCATACACTCCCACTCAATAACGAGGAGGGAAGGGATGAGGTGAAGAAGGAGGGATAGATTTTCACTGCAGATGAATCCTGTGCCCTCCATCTCTTACTCTCTCTGCCCCATTCAAGCCATCAGTTGCTTTCACAAAATAGCAGCAGCTGCATTGGTTGCAGCCTCGCTAAATACCAGGTGCTGTGCTAAATCTTCATGTTGGTGGATCTCGGCTGAACTGGTGTATAGGAATGTTTTGTCTGGTCCATAGTATTCTTCAACTTTAATATAATATTCAAAAATTGAGAGAGTTTATATAAAAGATGGCTTCTATTTTTGCTTTAAAAATAGTCAGAAGATCTGGCATGACTGGGTGTATGGAGATACTCCTTCCCCTTTACCACCTTCCCAACTGGTTTCCTCACTATTTATGAGACCTGTCTGGCCTCTGAGGACACATGCATTCATGGCCCTTGGGAAACAGCAGTTACTTGCTGACTATGTCACTAGTAACCTTGTGACTTTGAGCTACAATATGAACCCGGTCTCATGCCTCCAAGTTTTGTGGGAAGAAGTGTTCCATCACTGAGCACTTTTCATTTTCCCTAGCAGGTTGGAATTATCATTCACCTTTTTCCGGTAGGGAAACTCAGACTCAGAGAGGTTTAGTGACTGGCCCACGACCGCACTGTTTATAAGAGACAAAACCAGGAATCCAACTCAGTCATGCCTGTCTTTGGAGGCCGAGGCCATCGAGTGCTGGGCTTCATGCCTGTCCCAGAATTCACAGGCATGATCGGCAGTGTGCAGGGCAAGGGTTTAGTGAGGTCAGTGACTTAAAAATAAAAACAAAATTAAGCAAGGAGAACATAGGGTGCTTTCCTTACTCTGCCCTCCCCTACCTCCACTGAGATGATTGCAGTAGTACCCACATTTGTGGACACTTACCATGTACCAGGCACTATTCTAAGTACCACCCCTAAAGTCGGCATTATTATCAACCCCCTCTATCTTTTTTTTTTTTTTTTGAGATGGAGTCTTGCTCTATTGCCCAGGCTGGAGTGCAGTGGCGCGATCTCGGATCACTGCAACCTCTGCCTCCCGGGTATAAGCGATTCTCCTGCCTCAGCCTCCTGAGTAGCTGGGATTACAGGCATGCGCCACCATGCCCGGCTAATTTTTCTATTTTCAGTAGAGTCAGGATTTCACCATGTTGGTCAGGCTGGTCTCCAACTCCTGACCTCGTGATCCACCCGCCTCGGCCTCCCAAAGTGCTGGGATTATAGGTGTGAGCCACCGCGCCCGGCCTATCATCCCCTTCTTACAGAGAGGAAAACAGAGGCACAGAGAGGAAAAGTATCTGTCCTAAGGTTGCACAAGTAGGTGTCCTGAGCACATGCCAACCCAGGCATTCTGGCCCAGAGAAGTCATAAACTCTAATGCGTTTCCTCAAGGCAGGCCGGCCAGTGGCTCCTGTCTAACTGGATTGGAGCCACAGGTCTGGGTTTGAAAGCACCATGTAGGAGAAGTTTGGTAATGTCCACTTAGTCACTGGGTCCCTCCAAGTCCTGGCTTCCAAATACCAGCCCTCTTCTCTGGGGCAGTCTGGCTGTATCTTTTGAACCACACATTGTGTTACCATAGGAAGCTACATGTTTGCTCTGGGCCTCAGCCTGCACCTACGAAGGGCCTTTCCTGGGGCCCCTTTCCTAGGACCTGGGACAAGAGGCTAGGCCTGACTAGATGTACCAGCAGGAATGATGCTCCCAGCAGTGGGGCTGTCGGTCCCAGTCCCAGCCTGACCTTCATAAGCTCTGCCAAATTGGGCCACTTCTCCTTTCTGCTCCTCTGTTTCCTCATCTGTAAAATGGGGATTAAATGGTGGTGCTAGGAGATTAAAAGAGATGATGTTTTATAGCATGTGACTGTCACAGAGAGGCTGCTCCCTCCCCTCCACTTAGATGCTGGATACTTACTGCTTCGGCTCTTGCAAGACCAGTCCCCGTACTATGATGACCTGCCCAGGCGAGAGACCCTGGGGAAGAGCATGTGAGCAGGGCACCTCCTGAAGGAACAAGGGAGGTATTGAGAAGTTGACTTCCAGGGGGACTGGGGAGGACCGCCCATCCCCGGGGGCCAGGGGAGCACTGGGGCAGGCATGTTCTGCCCAGGCCTGCCGCCAGGACACGCTGCTTATTTGTTAAGCACCTGGCCTCCTGTACTCTGTTATTGCCGAACACTTTCCCCGGCCTGTCCAGGCTGAGCTTGGCCTCTCTGTGTCCCGACCACCATGTCCTTCTCCCTTCACTGCATCCTTAACTGTAATTGCCATCTAGTGGTCTGTCCCCCACCAGCCTGTGAGCAACTGGACGGCTGGGACCAGCTTGTTCCTCTATCCTAGAGCCTGGCACCGGGCCTGGCACAGAGAAGTATCAAGTAATGATGTTCACAATAAGTGGAGAAAAGGTAAAATGAAGCTGGAGCTTCAGCCTGAAGCTGCCCAGCCCACCCACAGCCTGCAGCTTGCTATAAAGGAAGGGGAAATCATGCGGCTGGGGGCATAAGCTGCCTGGCCCACCCACAGCCTGCAGTTTTCTATAAAGGAAGGGGAAATCCTGAGGCTGGGGGCATGTCCTACCAGGCTGAGCTCATTAGCTGCTCACCCAGGCTGCGCCCCCAGCCCTGACAGAGCAGGAGGGAGGTTCACTCACCAGCCTGGGGCTCATCAGCAGGAAAGGCTGTCAGGGAAAGAAAGAGAGGACACAAGGCCATGTGGTATTTGCTCAGGAAAAGGGAAACTCTTGTTATTCTAACAAATTGGGAATATTTGGGGCTTGTCTCTCTCACAGCAGTAGGTGAGTCATTGGAGCCCCAGTGGGATCCTCTGGACTTCAGAGGTTCACCAGCGCTGGAATAATAGGGAAGAACGGGGTGGAGGATTTGTCATCCACTCCCTGTGTGGCCTTGGGCAGTACATGGGCCTCATCTCCCCTTCTGTCCCGCAAGACCAACCCCAGCCACCTTGCAGAGGTGGTTTGAGAAATGAGCATTTCAACTAAGGCCTCTCCTGCTAGGAATACGGGGTCTTGCCCCCTCTGCATGCAGCCCACCCCCATTCATCTTCCCAAGCTGGGCCTGGAGAGGGGCTGGGAGAGGAAAATCCAGGCCCTCCAGAGACTGAAGCAGAGCCAGCCATGTCCGTGGCAACCGCAGCAGTGAGGGAAGGGGCAGCTGGGCCTTGTGTAATGGGAGCAGCAGTCCAGAAGGGCGGGTCAGCTGGTGTGGCTGCTCAGACCTTGCTGCCAAGAAACTCACATGTCCAGCTGGGTACTCTCTGCTGCCCTCCACAAATGGCTGTTCAGAAAGAGAGAAAAGAATCAGCAGCATTTAGGACCACTGCAATCCCCTACCTATGCCTGGGAGGTGGGCAGAGCCCTGGCCTTTACAGCTCCTCATGTTCCCATTCGGCTGGTCAGTGGTAGCTTCTTGCTGGCATTTTGAACATCCCAATTCCTAGGCCCCACCTTGGACTTACTGAATCAGAATCTCTGGTGGCAAGCCCCAGAAATCTGGGCTTTAATAAGCCCATCAGGTGGGAATGATAAAGCCAGCTGCCACCCGTTTCGGCCCCCAGTGTGCCAAATCATTCCTGGCCATTGCTTCTCAGTGTTAACCAGACCCACACTGGTTACAGACTCCTGCCTGCGGCTCCTGGACACCCTTTCTGCCATCACTTTCTCTTCCCCCTCAGCCCACTCACACCCGAAACCTCAGTGGACTCCCTCCCCCTTGGCTATTACTGGTGCACAGGGCGTCCTCTCTCTCAGTCTAGGGTGGAGGAAGGGGTCCCAGGCCCGTCCAGGAGTCAGGGGAAATTAGAGGCTGCCACTGCCCAGGCCTTGGTCCCAAGGAAACTTACATTGATGTTCAGGAATCCAACAGCCTCTACCAGGATGTCACCAAATATACCCAGCGTGTCCACATGAGACAGTGGGAGCCGGTAGCGGAAGTGGAGAAAGTGCTGTCCATTCACACTCACCTGGAGAGACAGACAGAGGCTGGCTTATCAGCAGCTAATGTTCATTGAGTTCATAACAATGTCCCAGGCATTGCCAAGCACTTTTTCCTCAATTTTGCCTCACTTAACTTCACGTCATCTCTATGAGGTAGGTACATTTTACAGAGCCTTGGGCGGCTTAAGTAATCTTCCAAAGGTTGCAGAGCTGGCCTGGAGACTAAGGCACCTTCAACGCTCCCTCTACCCCAACAGAGGCCCCTCATTGTGCTTTCTCAGCAGCCCAAAGAGTCATCTTTGCTCCATTTACGTGAGGAAACTGAGGCTCAAGAGGCTACCCTCCCGCCAGCTGCCCTGTCTCCTGGAGATGTCTGAAGATCCCATCATGTTTCTGGCAGGAGCTCACATTAGGGGTCTAAACCTTGAGATCAAGTTCTCTGTCCCTCTCCCCTGCCACTGTGGCTGTAAGATGGGGATAATGAAGGTACCTACCTAATGGGGTTATTGTGAGCATTCAATGAGCAGATACTTTTAAGGGCTTAGAACAGTTCCTGGTATACAGTAGGTTCTCTCTAAGTGCTTGCCATGACTATGGCAGGAGTGCCCTCTTTGGAGCCAGGCACTGTAGAGCTTTCTTGCTGCCATGTGGGCCCAGGGCAGCCTGGAACCGGGCATGGCAGCTCCTTGGTCCTCTTGGTACCTGACCACTACCAATGCCACTCAACATTGTGTCGTGGGGAGTCTGGCTGAGGGAAGGAAGGGCGCAAGGACACAAATTCTAGACCACCCAATGCCCGTCCCTTCCTTCACCTTCACTTCCTCATTCCCGAAGAGAAAGAGGATGAGGAAGCTGGAGCCTCTTCGCAGGGCCAGGTGGGGCCACCGGGCCTCCCTTTGCCAGCGTCCACCATGCAGGGTGTTGCAGATGACATGGGGCTTGGTGGTATGGAAGCGAGGGTTGAAGTGGAAGGCGATATCTGGCCGGGGACACAGGCTGCAGCCACACTGGAAGTCCACCTGAAACCTACTGGGAGGTGAGGCTCTCAAAGTGCGGTTCTGACCAGAGACCCACAGAGATCTCAGTGGCAGGGAGGAGCCCTCCAGCTCGATGCCTCTAGGGCTGAGCTCCAGCACCCCCTGGGCCACCTCCCCCGCCTTACCTGTGTGCATCTAGAGGGACCACTCCTTGCAGCATGACCATCTTGCCTGCATGCAGGCCTCCAAAAATCGTCGTGACATAAGGAACCACCTGAACAAGAAAAGAAACTCATCCATGCAGGTTTGGAGAAAGGGCTTAGGGACCTCTATGTCAGGCGAGTGGGAGGAAAGGAGCAGAATAAAACTCAACTTTTCCTCTCCAAACAGAAAATTCCTTATAGGTAAAAATCAGTGTTCACTGAAATATTTTCTTCCACCTAATCCCCTTTCCTGGACCGTCACACGGCAAAGCTGCATTACACCAGAGAAGTCAAATTCCGCTCCCTTGCCAAATTCAGCACCAGCCAGTTGCCTTTCCCCAGCTCCTAGGACACAACAGGCTGCAGTGACCCCAGGGAGGCTTGCCATCCACTAGATGTCACCCTGGTCCCCAGAAGCCTGGTACTGGGGCTTTCTGAGGACTGTTGAGTGGCTGGAGACTAGGAACTGGGAGGCAAGAAGAATGGACAAGTTAGGAACTGACAGCTAACTCTGAAATGGACCCCTGGAGAGGCACTTAACAATGGCCTTCCCAGGCTCACCTTTCCCCATGTAGAAGTTACCTGGGCTGGGCTCTGTGGCTCATGCCTGTAATCTCAGCACTCTGGGAAGCTGAGGCGGGTGGATCAACTTGAGGTCAGGAGTTCGAGACCAGCTTGGCCAACATGGTGAAACCCTATCTCTACTAAAAATACAAAAATTAGCTGGGTGTGGTGGCATGCACCTCTAATCCCAGCTACTCAGGAGGCTGAGGCAGGAGAATTGCTTGAGCCTGGGAGATGGAGGAGGTTGCAGTGAGCTGAGATCATGCCACTGTACTTCAGCCTGGGCGAAAAAGCAAGACTTGGTCTCAAAAAAAAAAAAAAAAAAAAAAAAAAAGAAGTTGCCTGGCCTTCCTAAAATACATCATACAGTTTTACAACTTCCTGCCTTTTCTGGGCTGTTCCTCCTGTCTCTTTCCACCCTGACTCTTTCCAAGCATCATCCACTTGGGTTCCTTGGATTATTCCTTTCTTCCCCTGAGCTCCCAGGGCATTTTGCTCATGTGGCTGGCTTGGCCCTTGGCTTAGAGCGACTGGTTGGCTTTTTTCCCTAGTTTATAAGCCCCTCAAAACTGAAGCCTTCTCTTTCCCTCCTGTAGGCTCAGTGCCTCACCTGACGCCGTGAGGGCTCTGCATAGATGTGTTTGGAATGAATGTGAGCAGGATGGCAGGTACATACCAGTGGTATCACAGGATTGGCCTTCCTGTGTTGCTCTCTAACTCCCAACAACCTTTAGGAACCCAAACCACCTAGAAAAAACTGAAAACCACCAGGATGGCCCTCCAGGTGCGAGCTCTCAGCCTCTAAAGCAAGGAGCTGCCGTAACCTGGGCAGCTGCTTCAGCCCATTCCTCAGGCACCTGAGAAGCATGGGAGGGAGGCTTGGGATGCCAGCTTGGCAAGCTCAGCTGGTTGGTTCAGCAGTTGATCACTTCCCATTCCCAGGCTCCCTCCAGGCCTGTAATTAACTGAGTGGATGCAGCTCTCATGGGAGGGGAGGGCCAAGTAAGGGAAAGTGATAATTAATGCTCATTAGTAGGGGGTGTCTGCTGGGAATTCAGCCTTCTGTAAATCATTGCCTGGCTTCAGAAAACCTCTTGGGCACTGACTGAGCTGGAGGAGAAAGAGAGAAACACCCCCAACCCCTATCCCTGAGTGGAAATTCCCACCTGACCCTTCCTTCCAGGCTGGGGATGAGACTGTCCTTACTAAGTAATCAGCATTCCCCCAACAATCCTACCCCCACACCCTCATCCTCCTAGCATCCATTACAGTAGGGGCAGAGCACTGTGGCTCCAGGCTTCGCCACTTTCAAAATGCAGTGACCCTGGAAGCCTAGCAGTCATTTACACCCAAGTGGGAATTAGCAGTCAGCCACTTTACTAAGCTCAGGAGGGCCTTCCAGAACCCAGGGCAGGTGCTGGGAGAAGCAGAAAGACTGAGGTCCTTTCCACCCCACCACCCAGGAGTGTGGGCCCAGTTGGAAGGGAAGAGCCCAGAGACCGAGGAGGTTCCACATTAGAGTGACAACTCACCGGGTGGAAGACTGGTGGTTGCAGAATGAAGCTGTCAGGAATTGGGTCCAGTTTTTCTCCAGGTGACATGACAGTGGGGCAACTCCAACTGTAGATCCTCGTTCCAGGAGCCCTGCCCCCACTGGGCTGACTCATCTGCCCCAGTCAGGGTCCTAAATGCCTGGAGCAGCTCTCCCAGCTGTTAGTCTCACCTGCGACCTGCAGCGTTTTAATGCTGTCTGGAGCAGCCCTAGGAGGGCAGCGGGCGACCTCCAGGCTCCACACCAGCCCCACTCCCGGTGGTATACAGCAGAGCTCTGGCTGGGCGGGGGCTGTCAGCAGAACTCAGTGTCCAGGGGAGGAAGACTGGCATTAACCAACTAACTACCCACTCCGGGTCTGCAGCACATGGCCATTGCAGAGAGAAGCCAGAGGCTGGCTCCTGTGGGGCCAACGAGGGTTTGTGGTTTCCAACTCGAGCCCTCATTAGGTCAGAGGAAGGGGAGGTGGTACGTGTGCTTAGGTTCCAGAAACAGCCCCACCCCCAGCTCCCTGGACAGCCTTGGGTGACTTCCCATTCCTTCCTCCCTTCACCACAAAGGGTTTTATCTCTTCCCCTCATTTTCTTTTTTTTTTTTTTTTTTTGAGATGGAGTCTTGCTCTCTTGCCAGGCTGCAGCGCAGTGGCGCGATCTCAGCTCACTGCAGCCTCCGCCTCCTGGGTTCAAGCAATTCTCCTGCCTCATCCTCTCTGGGACTACAGGCATGTGCCACCACGCCCGGCTAATTTTTGTATTGTTAGTAAAGACTGAGTTTCACCATGTTGGCCAGGATGGTCTCGATATCCTGACCTCGTGATCCGCCCGCCTTGGCCTCCCAAAGTGCTGGGATTACAGGCATGAGCCACCACGCCTGGCTCTCTTCCTCTCATTTTCTTGCCCCTTCCTCTACTCTTCTTCCTTTTCCAAGTTTTACAGCCCCCTGAGGCTCCATTTCAGCATCAGCTGGAAATGCTGGGGCCCAGCTGGGGTCACAAGAAAGTAGAATGAGGGAAGGGGAAAAAGCAGAGCCCCTTAAGCTTGGAAAAGGCAGCACAAGAAGCACAGAACTGCGCAGGAGGGAGACTTGAAACTTGACTTCCTCTTCAGCCTCTCGTCTAATGTGCTGTGTGCCCTTGGGAAAGTCACTTCCTATCTCTGGGCCACCCTTTGTTCATCTGTACATGGAGAAAGTGACCATAGCAGCATGTCCCACAGCGAGGCCTGTATCTGGGGGTGGGCCCAAATATCTGCATTTTACTACAGTCCTTCCAGTTCTGGTTCAAATCCCAATAAGGCTTTCCCTTTAAAAAGCAGCACAACCTCTCAACTTTATCCTGAGTTAGGAGGTTCCAGGATCTGACCCATTGCATCAGACTTGGCAGCAGGGAATTCCTGGACCAGGACCAGGCTGGGCAAAGGCTCAAGCGCATGGGGTGCTGAGGGCAGAGTAAGCAGCTCCCTGGATGGAGGGAGAGTGCATGAAGGGTCCTGGGATAAGGTATCTTAGCCAGTGCTACCTAAGCTGTGGTCCACAAGCCACCAGCATCAGCCTCACCTGGAAACTTGTTAAAAATGCAAGTTTGGGGTCCCCACCCCAGACCAACTGAGGAGCACTCTCTGGAAGCTGGGGCCAGGAATCTGCATTTTAACAGCCCCTCCAGGTGATTCTGATGCACTTTAAAGTTTGAGAAGCATTGACTTAGGATGGAACTAGAAGGGCTTTGGGTGCGGAGCTGAGTTTGTTCAGATGTTGCCGAGTAGGTGGAGCTGGGTTACTGAAGGTGCTTATTTGGAGAAATTCAATCAGACGTGCTCAGGAAGGGTGCTCTGTATACACAGTGAGAGGAAGCTAAGGGTGGAGGGGCCAGTTTCTTGAAGAAAAGAGTCAAATTCTGAAATAGTTGAAGAGATTTATTCTGACCCAAATATGAGTGACCAATGGCCTGTGACACAGCCCCAGGAGATCCTGAGAACGTGTGCTCAAGGTTATTGAGCTAGATTTTGGTTTTATACATTTTAGGGAGACATGAGACATCAAGCAATACATGTGATATGTACATTGGTTTGGTCCAGAAAGGTGGCACAACTCGAAGAGGTGGGCTTCCAGGTCATAGGTGGATTCAAAGACTTCCTGATTGGTTATTGGTTGAAAGAGTTAAGTAAGTACCTACAGACCTGGACTCAGTAGAAGGGAGTGTCTGGGTTAAGTTAAGGGGTGTGGAGACCAAGGTTTTATCATGCAGATGAAGCCTCCAGGAAGCAGGCATCAGAGCTCTTATCAGACCTAAAAAGATGCCTGGATCAGGGAAAAGACTTGGAAAGGGAAGGGGATGCTTTGCAGAGCAGATTTTCCCCACAAGAGTGAGGTTTGCAGGGCCATTTCAAAATATGTCAAATATGTATATTAATATTTTGGGGTAAAATGGTTTAATTTCTTTCAGGGCCCTCTGTCATGTGATGCTATACTAGAGCCAGGATAGAACTTGGTGTCTTATTGCTACAATGAGTCTGTTTAGTCAGTCTTCAGATTTTTGTTTTAATGTTAATGCTGGTCAGTTGTGCCTGAATTTCAAAGGGGGAGAGGGCATAATAAGGCATATCCAACCCCCACTTCCCATCACAGTCTGAACTGTTTCTCAGGTTAACTTTGGAATGCCTTTGGCTGAGAGGAGGGGTCCGTTCAGTTGGTTGTGGGGCCTAGAATTTTACTTTTGGTTTCCAAGTTGAATGGGTCTGGACATGGGACGCTGCACTGGAATCAGATCTGGGTCCTAGTCCCAGCCCCGGAACCAGTGCAGATCTTGCGGCTTGAGGTCAATGGTGTGCTTTCCCCATCCAGCCTCACTTCCTTCCTGGGTGAAATGAGGAAGGAGGATACGTTAGCTTGCTTGGGCTGCTGTGGATAAAAAAAGTCAAACTCTGTAAAATATTTAAAGACGTTTATTCTGAAGCAAATATGAGTGACCAAGGCCTAAGGCACAGTTCCAAGAGGTCCTGAGAACATGTGCCTAAGGTGGTTGGGCTGCAGCCAGGTTTTATGATTGGTTCAGGTTCGAAAGGTGGCATAACTCAAAGAGGGAGTCGGGGTGGGGGTTACAGGTCATAGGGGGACTCCAAGACTTTCTGATTGGCTATTGGTTGAAAGAGTTAAGTTATTATCTAAAGGCCTGGAATCAATAGAAGGGAGTGTCCGGGTCAAGATAAGAGGTTGTGGAGACCAGGGTTCTCATTATGTAGATGAAGCCTCAAGGGTGGCCACCCTTAGAGACAATAGATGGCAAATGTTTTCTATTCAGACCCCAAAAAGGTGCTAGACTCAATTAATTTCTTCAGGCTTGGGAGGGCCTGGAAGGGGGAAAGATCTAGTTATGTTAGCAGAGATTTTTTACAAATGCAATTTCCCCCCCACGAGAATGGCTCTGCAGGCCATTTTAAAATATGGCAAAGAAACATATTTGGTGGTAAAATATTTGATTTCCTTCTTATCCGTCATGTGATGTTATGTCAGAGTCAGTATGGAAAGTGAGCCACATTATGTAAGGTTAAACAAAACCCCTCTGTTGAGATTTTATGGTTTGTAGGTTGTGACTCCCCAGGCCCCTTAAATAGGAATTTAGGCAAGAGAAGAAAAACGTCAGAGTTTAGTCCTCACTGCCATAACAAAACCCACAGACCAGGTGGCTTGAACAACAGAAACTTATTTTCTTACTGTTCTGGAGGCCAGAAGTCCAAGATCAATATGTCAGAGGGTTTGGTTTCTTCTGAGGCCTCTCTCTTTGGCTTGCAGATAGCCACCTTCCCCAGGTCTCTGCGTTTGTGTCTTAATCTTCTCATCTTATGAGGACTCCAGTCATATTGGATGAGGGCCCAACCACATGACTTCATTTTACCTTAATCACCTCTTAAAATGCCTTGCCTACAGATACAGTCACATTCTAAGGGTCTGGGGCTTCAACACAGGCTTTTTGAAAGGACCCAATTCAGCCCCTAAGAGTGGAGTAGCTGTAACTGTTATCTTCCTGAAACCCCAAGGCTATTGCCACAGCCAGAGGTAGGGCTGATGAGGCCTGTTCCGGGGAGGCAGCTGCAGGAAGAGGATGGTGCATTTCCTTTCTCTTTTTAGGTAACTGCTTTTTGACTTTATTGGGCTTGTCAAGAGCTTCTGCTTGCTCCAGGATAAGAAAGGGCCTCAGTGTCTGTGAGTGTTTAGGGGTGAGAGAAGCAGTCTCTCTTCCTGAGCCAGAATGAGGGAGAACTTGTGAGAGAAATCCAGGAAAGTGCTGGTGACCTCAGGGGGCCAACGGCCTAGGGTGACCCTGACACTGGCAGGGCATCATCTATTCCCACCTGTTGACGAAAAGAGTCGAACTCTAAAATATTTGAAGAGATTTATTCTGAGCCAAATATGAGTGACCACGGCCCATGACAGCCCTCAGGAGGTCCTGAGAACACATGTGCAAGGTGGTTGGGGTGCAGCCTGGTTTTATACATTTTAGAGAGGCAAGAGACCTCAATCAAATACATTGAAGAAATACATAGGTTTGGGGTTGGGCATAGTGGCTCACGCCTGTAATCCCAGCACTTTGGGAGGCCGAGGTGGGTGGATCACTTGAGGTCAGGAGTTTGAGACCAGCCTGGCCAACATGGTGTAACCCCCATCTCTACTAAAAATACAAAAAAATTAGCCAGGCATAGTGGTGCACACCTGTGATCCCAGCCACTCAGGAGGCTGAGGCACAAGAATCACTTGAACCCAGGAGGCAGAAGTTGCAGTAAACTGAGATCACACAACTGCACTTCAGCCTAGGTGACAGAGCAAAACTCCATCCATCTCAAAAAAAAAAAAAAAAAAAACGAAAAGAAAAAAAGATATACATAGGTTGTTTGGTCCAGAAAGGTGGGACAACTCAAAGCAGGAAGGAGGGGGGCAGGGGGCTTCCAGGCTGTAGGTGAATTTAAACATTTTCTGGTTGACAATTGGTTGAGTTTGTCTAAAGACCTGGAATTCATAGAAAGGGAAAGTTCAGATTAAGATAAAGATTGTGGAGACCAAAGTTCTTTTGAAGTCTGATCGTGGCTGCCCTTAGAGACAATGGATGACAAATGTTTCCTATTCAGGTCTCAGTTAATCTCTTTAGGAGATTAGGAGGGTCTGGAAGAAAAAAACCTAGCTATGTTAACAGAGATTCTTTACAGTTGCACATTTTCCCCCACAAAGAACAACTTTGCAGGGTCATTTCAAAATATGGCAAAGAAACATGTTTTGGGGTAAAATATTTTGATTTTTTTCCTTGTCTCCTAATGTTATGCCAGAGCTAGGTTGGAAAGTCAGTCACAATATATAGGGTTAAATAAAACCCATCTGATGAGAATTTATGATTTGTAGGGCATGACTCCCCAGACCCCTCAGGAATTTGGGCAAGATAAAAAAATCAGAGTTTAGTCCTCACACCTTTCTCCCCAAACCTGGCAGGGGATCATCTATTCCCACCTGTTGATGAAAAGAGTCGAACTCTAAAATATTTGAAGAGATTTATTCTGAGCCAAATATGAGTGACCATGGCCCATGACAGCCCTCAGGAGGTCCTGAGAACACATGTGCAAGGTGGTTGGGGTGCATCCCCACGGCCAGCTCAGCTCCCTACTCCATTTTTCCCTTACAATGCCTACCATCACTCGTTGTATATTTGAAGAACTGTTTAATTTTTCTCCCCATTCGCTGTACTCCCTGACTATGTTTCATGATGGCAGACTTATTCCTATACCCTCAGTATTGAGCAAAGTGCCTGACACAGAGTGAGTATTCAAATATATTTATGGAATGAATGAATGTAACTGTAACCGCCCCATGGGTTCTTCCTGCCCATTGCACAGACAAAACCAATTCACTGAGACCACAGCATTGCAATAGAGTTTAATCATTGAGGCCAGCCGTGCCACGTGGTAAATGGAGTTATTACTCAAATCAATCTTCCTGAAAAGTTGGAGGCTAGGGTTTTGTAAGGATAGTTTGGCAGGCCAGGGAGTCTGCTTCTGGGTCCACGACTGCTTGGCGGGGTTGGCAGGTCCAGGTGGAGCCATCGGTTGATTGTCAGAAATGCAAAAACCTGAAAATACATCTCAAATTGTCAATCTGAGGTTCTACAATCATGATATTATCTGCAGGAGTAATTGGGGGAGTTGCAAATCTTATGATCTCTGGAATAATGGCTGGTAATTGTTTACCTCTACACCTTGGCAGAATCTAGGCTCCTCTCATCCTCCTAACCTGGTGGCCTTTCATTAGCTTTACAAAGGTGGGTTAGTTTTAGGGAAGGGCTATTATCATTTAAACTATAAACTAAATGTTTGAAATGTTTGTTCCCCAGTACCATAATGAAATAGCACTTGAAAATAAATTTAATTTTCTCAGCAAGGCCATTTTTATACTTTCTGCAGAAAGGGTACACTCGCCAGCAGTTTTGCCATAAGAGTACACTCAACAAAGGAGACAGGGTCATTTATAACCTGATGTGTTCACCCTACTGCTGTGTCCGGTTTCCACTGGCTGGAACGGGACCTCATATTCTGTAGTTGTCCCGATTGGCTAGCAACTTAGAGCTTTTTAAGAGAGGCAAAGGCAGAGGAGAACAAAGGAAGGAGGAAGTAACTTGCGGAATGCTGAGAAAGGTAAAAATACCTTCAAATAAGGAAGAGGAACAGGCTATAACCTAATGCTTGCTTGGACCAGTATAAGCATGCCAGGGCAAATATTTAGGCTAAATTGTGGGAGCTAAGAACATAAAGTACATTGATTTCTCTATTACGGCTAGCAGATATTTAAGAATGTTAGCACAGGTCTTTGAATAAATTTTGCTTCTAAGAGAAGTTACTATTTATTTCTAATTAGATGGGGAGGAAAGTCTTTGAAGAGGAACCTCTACTTTACTTTTTACATAAATGTCTCCCAAAGTTAGCTTGGCCTAAACTCAGGAATGATCAAGGGCAGTTTGGAGGTCAAGAGCAAGATGGATGTTAGTTGGATCAGATCTCTTTCCCTGTCATAATTTTCTCACCATCATAAATTTGCAAAGGTGGTTTCATAACCACTGATGATTTATGGCTCTTGTCCAGCCTCTGCTCCTCAATTTATCCCAGTAGACCTGGAATTGTGGCTCAAGCACAAACTAGTCCCATACTCTTCTTCTAACTGGCCACAGATTATAATTGGGGCATTACAATTAGTAAATTATAATTTTAAAATTATATATAAATTTAAAATTATAATAAAAAATTATAATTTACTAATTATAATACCCCAATTATAACTATTATTAATCAATTATCAATTAACAGCCTAGGAAAAATAATTTGTGGTCAGGGATCTTGAGGTGGCCCCCTCTGTCCCCTTCTTTGTTCCAGCAGGCTCTTTCACAATCCCTGCTTCTGAATGGGTGTAACTCTTGGGGCCTAGAGGAGGGACTAATGTGTACTTTCACCTACTTTGGTCTATATCTCTGCCTCCCTCTTCTATCTGATAGCCTTCTAGATCACTAGAAAACTCTTCCACGGATCCTCTTTCTCTAGAGGTCAGTTTCAAATCATTCTGGAACAGAGGGTAGGATATTTAGGAGAAATACTAGGCAAGAAGAATTGACAGAACCTGACAGCCAGCTGAATAAGGGAGTCGAGGGAAAGGGGATGGATGAGTGACTCCAGTATCTTGAACCTGATGACTGGGAAGATTCTAGTGTCCTTCATGAAAAACAGAGAAGGGGCAGAGCGAGATGTGGAATAGAAGCCTATACCACCCGCCCCCCACCACAGGAACACCAGATTTTATCAACTATCTGCACACAGAAAAGCATCATCACGAGGACCAAAAATCAGGTGAGCAACTGTGGTACCTGGTTTTCACTTCATATTGTGGAAAGAGACATTGAGGAAGGCAAGAGAGACAGTCTTGAATTGCTGACACCACCCCTACCCCACCCCCTAGCAGTGGCCATGCACCATAGAGAAGAGAATCTGTGCACTCTGGGGAGGGAGAGCATGGTGACTGAAGGATTTTACATGGAACTCAGTGCTGCTCTGTCACAGCAGAGAATAAAGCCATGCTGGGCTCAGCCAGCGCTCAGGCATGGAGGGAGCATTTGAACCAGCCCTAGCCAGTGGTCAGAACTTGAGTTTCTTGGCAAGCCTAGCCACCACAGGGTGAAGTGCTCTGGGGTCCTAGGTAAACTTGAAAGGCAGTCTAGGACACAAGAACTGCAATTCCTAGGCAACTTCTAGTGCCAGGTTGGGTATACAGCCAATCAATTAGGGTGGCATGTGACCTAGGGAGATACCAGCTGGCATGGCTAGTATCATACTGAGTGGGGAAAATCTGAAAGCCTCTCCTCTAAGATTTGGGACATGACAAGGATGCCTACTGTCACCACTGTTATTCAACATAGAACTGGAAGTTCTCGTTAGAACAATTAGACAAGAGAAGGAAATAAAGGGCATCCAGACTGGAATGGAAGAAGTAAAATTATCCTTGTTTGTAGATTATATGATCTTATATTTGGAAAAACCTAAAGAGTCCACCGAAAAACTATTAGAACTGATAAACCAACTCAGTAATGTTGCAGGATACAAAATCAACATGCAAAGATCAGTAGTATTTCTATGTGTCAACAGTGAACAATCTGAAAAAGAAGTTTAAAAAGTAATCCCATTTACAATATCCACAAATAAAATCCAAGACCTAGGAATTAACCAAAGAAGTGAAATATCTCTACAATGAAACTGTGAAACAATGATGAAAGAAGTTGAAGAGGACACACAAAAAATGGAAAGATATTTCATGTTCATGGATTGGAAGAATCAATATTGTTAAAATGTCCATACTACCCAAAGCAATCTACAGATTCAGTGCAATCTCTATCAAAATACCAATGTAATTCTTCACAGAAATTGAAAAAAAAATCCTAAAATTTGTGTGGAATCACAAGAGTAGCCAAAGCTATCCTGAGTAAAAGGAACAAAACTGGAGGAATCACATTATTTGACTACCAATTATACTACAGAGTTACAGTAATCAAAACAGCATGCTACTGCCATAAAAAGACAGATAGACCAATGGAACAGAATACAGAACTCAGAAACAAATCCATACACCCACAGTGAACTCATTTTTGACAAAGGTGCCAAGCACATATATTGGATGAAAAGACAATCTCTTCAATAAATGGTGTTGTGAGAATTGGATATCCACATGCAGAAGAATGAAACTTGATTCCTATCTCTTGCCATATATAAAAATCAAATCAAGTGGATTAACAACTTCAATCTAAGACCTCAAACCATGAAACTACTTCAAGAAAACATTGGGGTAACTTTCACGTTGGTCTTGGCAAAAGTTTCTTGAGGAATACCTCACAAGCATAGAAAACCAAAGCAAAAATGGACAAATGGGATCACACCAAGTTAAAATCTTCTGAACAGCAAAGGAAACAATCAACAAAGTGTCAAGCCAACCCACAGAATGGGAGAAAACATATACAAACTACCTATCTGATAAGGGATGAATAACCAGAATATATAACAAGCTCAAATAACTCTATAGGAAAAAAATCTAATAATTTGATTTTAAAAAAGGCAAATGATCTGAATAGACATTTTCTCAAAAGAAGGCATACAAATGGCAAACAGGCAAATGAAAAAGTGCTCAACATCACTGATCATCGGATAAATGCACATCAAAATTACAATGATATATCAATTAAATGGCTTGTATCCAAAAGACAGGCAATAACAAATGCTGGAGGATGTGGACAAAAGGGAACTGCTGTGCAATGTTGGTGGGGATGTAAATTAGTACAACCACTATAGAGAATAGTTTGGCGGTTCCTAAAAACTAAAAATAGAGCCGTCATATGATCCAGCAATCCCACTGCTAGGTATATGCCCAAAAGAAAGGAAGTCAGTATATCAGAGAGATATCTGCATGCCCATGTTTACTGCAGCACTGTTCACAATAGCCAAGATTCGGAAGCAAAGTGTCTCAGCAGATGAATGGATAAAGAAACTGTGGTACATATACACAAGGGAGTAATATTCAGCCACGAGAAAGAATGAGATTCTCTCATTGGCAACAACATGGATGGAACTGGAGGTCATTATGCTAAGTGAAATAAGCCGGGCACAGAGAGACAAACATCACATGTTCTCGTTTATTGGTGGGATTTAAAAAATCAAAACAATTAAACTCATGGAGATACAGAGTAGAAGGATGTTTACCAGATGCTGGGAAGGGTAGTGGGGAGGTGGGAGGGAGGGGGAATTGTTAATGGGTACAAAAAAATAGAATGAATAAGACCTAGTATTGATATCACAACAGGGAGACTATAGTCAATAATTTAATTATACATTTAAAAATAAAAGAATATAATTGGATTGTTTGTAACACAATGGATAAATCCTTGAAGGGATGAATATCCCCCCCAATCCCCCCACAAAAAAAGATGCCATGGGTATAATCCAGAGGGTGGCAGGCTATGTGGGTTCTCAGTCTGGAGCCTGCCTAGCAAGCAGCTTCGAAATCATTACTAAGCTTAAGGGGGCAGTGGGACACGACTGCTTCTCATTCCAGTGTCTCTTTGGGTCTGATAATTTAAAGGAGGCTTGCATTTCTCAAACAGAATACTTCTTTTCTTTCTTACTTTCATATGTATGTGAAAATGTCCATAGTAAAAAGTAGAAATTCAAAACAAAAGCCATAATTAATGTTAAGCTTTTGATTCCATATCCTACTAATGGCAGGTGAGATGCATGGCTAAGGGCCTGGATGTGGGGAGCACGGTTTGCTCCTTTGGGCACCCTCCCTCCCACTGCAGTACCCTGGAATAGAAGGATGACAGGGGCTACTATGTCTACCTCAAAGACACCACCTCTTCCTCCCTTTGCAGTTGGGAGCATGGAGAAGGGACAGAGGTGATAGATTCTAGTGTGCCGTGGGACAGTCCATGGACTCCCTCCAGCTCTGCGTAGTTCTCTTGTGCTGGGGGCCTTTGTGTATGTGGTCTCCATAGAGACAGTGTGCAGGCAAAGTTCTTTCATTCCAACACTCTCTGCCACTGAGGACTCTCACCCCCCACCGCCAGAGAGGCACCTGGGTCTCCCTTTGGGCGTGTCAAAAGAAAGACAAATTAAATTGAACATAGTTTAAATGAGCAAATAATTTATGAATCAGGCAACCTGTCGAATCACAGGAGATTCAGAGACACTCCAGTGATACTGCATTGTCGAAGATGATTTATGGTCAGAAAAAGGAAAGTGATATACAGAAACAAGTGAGGTACAGCAACAGCTGGACGGGTTACAGCTTGGCATTTGCCTTATTTGAACATGATTTGAACAGTTGGCTAAAACTCGGTGGCTGGCACAAGAGTAGGTTATAGTCTGTTTACACATCCAGTTAAGTTACATTTCACTATGTACAGAGAAACCTTTAGGCTGAACTTAAAATACGTAAGGAGGCAGCTTTAGGCTAAGCTTAATTTAACAGGCCTTTCCAGAATTAGAAGTCCTTCTGCTTCTCCATCTCAGCTCCTCCACATGGTGTCACAGGAAGCACTGAGGTCCTCATCTCAGCACCGTGAGAACCAGCAGTTAATCACCAATAGAACTTCACTATAGGACCTTCAAGGCCCATCTGTATTTTGGGAAGAAAGGTGACCTCAGACAGAAGGTTTGTGATGCAAGAAGGAATGATGAGCAAAGGTGGTGGCAAACATATAGGCAAATCTAAAAGAATGTCTGCCTAATATAATAATGGTAATAATAATGTGAATTGGGGATTAAAAAGGGGCAGACTAAAATAGCATGGGTAGGAAAGATTAGAGTGAAAGTGTTCCAAGGTCCTTACATTGTTTCAGAGGATTGTTTAGGATATTAATTTTAGACTTAAGCATACATGTTAAAATTTCAAGGGCAATAAGTAAAAGAATACAGTGTAAACTTCCAAATAAGTAGAGGGAAAATGCAATATACTAAGATTAGATATTTATGAAGAATATTAGAAGAATTCATTGAAAGGTTTTAAAACCTAACAATAGAGAGATAGAATACATTATTAACTGAAAGAAACAATTTTGTAAAGATGCCAAAATTGCCAAGCTGATTTATTGATTTACTGTAATTCCAAGCAAAATGCCAATAGGGTATTTTGAGCAACTTGACAAACTAGTTTTGCAATTTATAATGAAAGGCAAAAGCTCAAGCATGGTTGAGAAGTTCCTGAGGAAGAATAAGTAAGGAGGGATCTTGAGATATTTGTACATCAAGATTTATCATAAAGATGTAGCAATTAAAACCACATGATAGTAGCACAAAGACAGATACATTTATCAGTGATACTGAATAGAGTCAACAGTATTCCTGCTCTTTCAAAGCATTATGCAGGACAGAGGTGGCCTTGTTCATCTATGAAGAAGTGGAAACTATCAACAAGTGATGCTGAGACAGTTATTCATATGAGGAAAAATGAAGTTGGATCCCTGCCTCCCACATATACAAAAATCAATTCCAAATGGATTAGCGAAAAAGGCAAAATTTAAAAACATTTTCAAGAAAATATAGGAGACTATCTGGCCAGGCACGGTGGCTCACGCCTGTAATCCCAGTACTTGGGAGGCCAAGGCAGGCAGATCATGAGGTCAGGAGATCGAGACCATCCTGGTTAACATGGTGAAACCCTGTCTCTACTAAAAATACAAAAAAAAAAAAAAAAAAAAAAAGAAAATTAGCTGGCCATGGTGGTGGGCGTCTGTAGTCCCAGCTACTCAGGAGGCTGAGGCAGGAGAATGGCGTGAACCCGGGAGGCAGAGCTTGCAGTGAGCCAAGATAGCACCACTGCACTCCAGCCTGGGCGACAGAGCAAGACTCCATCTCCAAAAAAAAAAAAAAAAAAAAAAAAAAAGAAAATATAAGAGAATGTTTTCTGAATTCAGGGCAAGAAAGACTTCATGAAAAGATAGGGAGCTGACCACAAAAGAAAAGACATGAATTCTACTTGTCAGAAGACATCATGAAGAAAGTGAAAAGACAAGCCATGAACTGCAAGAAAATGTGTGTAAACAAGTATAACTGACTAAAGATGAGTATCAAGAATATACAAAGAGCTCTACAAATCAAAAAGAACACAACTCCAAAGAAAAATGGGCAAAGGACATGAACAGACACTTTTAAAAAGAGGGAATGTGATAAATATATGTAAAGGTCTCAACTTTATTAGTGATCAGGGAAATGCAAATTAAAACGCTGGTGAAATACTATTTTACATTCACTCACCTGGAAAAATCAAGAAGTGTGACAATACTAAGTGTTGGTGAGGATGTAAATTAATAAATCTTACCCATTGCTGGTAGAAGTGAAATTGGGACCACCAATTGGGGAAATAGTTCTAGTGTTTTATTGTAAAGTTGGATATTTGTATATACTCCTAGGTATTACATCTTGTGTGATGTCTGCATGCATACACCAGGATACAAATTGGGTTCTTCTCAATTGTTTCCAACCCCAAATTGAAAAAAAAAAAAAAAAAAAAAAGAACCAACAAATCACCAAGTGGCTTTATCACTAGGTCAATAAATTGTGGTATAGCCACATAGTGGAATATTTTACTGCAGTGAAAATGAATTACAGGACTATACAGCACTGTGTATGTATTATAGAAACAACTTTGAAAGAAGAAAATTGCAGAAGAGAACTTAACAGCATGATACCATTTGTCTTAGTCCATTTGGGCTGCTATAACAAAATACCATACGCTGGGTGGCTTATAAACAACAACAATTTATTTCTCACAGTTCTGGAGGCTGGGAAGTCCAAGATCAAGGCACCAGCAGATTCCTGTCTTGTGAGGGACTGGTCTCAGCAACTGCTGTGTTCTCACATGGTGGAAGTGGCTAGGTAGCTCTGCAGGACCTCCTTTATAAGGGCTCTTATGAATCCCACTCATGACCAAAGGGCCCATCTCCTGATACCATCACTTTGGGGGTTAGAATTCTAGCACATGAATTTTATGGAGTCACAAACACCCAGACCATAGCACCATTTTTATAAAGTTTCAGAGAAGCAAAACAAAGTGATGTATTAGGGATACAAAGAAGCGATTTAAAAAACTATTTTAAAAAGTGAGGGTATGACAGACACAAAGGTCAGGATAGACGTTGGGCGTGCAGAGGGAGAAGGGATAAGGAAGGAATCCATAGGTGGGGAGCATCTGTACTAGGAATGTTCCATTTCTTACGTAGGATGGTTTTGTCATGGGTAGTAATTACATTATGTTTCCTAACTGTGTGCGAGAGAGAAGGAAAGAGAAAATCAGTTGGGGAAGACTCAATGCAGAAGCGGCCTGCCTGAAAAGTCACAGCAACAGGCAAAAATAAAACAACCTGGTAAAAAACTCAGGCTCCACCTGCACACAGATAAGCAGACAGGGTCCAGCACAGAAGCCTTTTGTTCTTTGTATAATTAGGGAGCTCCCAGGAAAGTTTTCTCCCCTTTTCAGGCATATACATGGTGGGAACTTTCACAGGGAGGAGGGGGGCTTACCTAAAACAAACCCACAGTTATGCAAACAAAAAAGGCGGTGCTTTGTGCTTGCATAGATACATAACCACAGCTGCGTAAGACAGCTTTACTGATAAGAGAAGTTACTCAAACTACTACAGAGATAAGAGATTTTCTTGCAAAAGCTTTTGAATTCAGCTGTAACAGGGCAATCCACTTGCATACTCAGCTCACTGTGGAGAGCTTTCTTCTTTCGCTTATTAAACTTTCGCTCCCACCTCACCTTATGTCCCGTTCCTTAATTTTCTTGGAGTAGGACAAAGAATCCCGGGTATCAGTCCAGACAAGGAGAAACTGCTACATTAAGGTACATTGGCAAGACTGCAACATGTGTATTCCATGTACTTTTTCATAAGTTATCTATTACGTAAGTGTAGATTTCATTTTCTATATATTTTTAAAAATAAAACAACTCTGAATTGTTCAAGATTTTAACCCCTGATTGTGCCTCCCAAGGCTTCCTAATCTGGTCTCCATTTACCCCTCCAAGTCACGCCTCTGTTCCAAACCGTTCAGCTTCTCCAGCCACTTTAGGCACCACCTCTGAGCCTTTGCTGTTTCCATGACCTTCCCCAAAACGAATAACCTCCTTCGCCCCTCTCCGCCTAAAAGACCCACAGATTCCCGGGCCTCTAAGCGCCCCGTTTCGTCCCATTCTGTTCTCGGACGCGCTCACTGCGCCCGCGCCACTGTCGCCACCCCGCGCGCCTCTGCCGTTTGCAGCCCGCGGCGCTTTCCCCTCCGCGGTTCCTCCCCGAGCCGCCCCCAGTGCCCAAGCTTCCGCGGCTCCGCCGACCAGGGGCCGCGCCGACTGGGAACTCGCCAGGGGCGTAGTCCCCTGCAAGGCCTGGGGGCCGGCGAGGCCGCAGAGGCGGGATGGGCCTGAGCCCGGGCGCCGAGGGGGAGTACGCGCTCCGCCTCCCTAGGATTCCCCCACCCCTCCCCAAACCCGCCTCGCGAACCGCCAGTACCGGGCCCAAGGACCAGCCGCCTGCGCTCAGACGTTCAGCTGTGCCCCACTCAGGTCAGCCCCAAGAATGCGGCTGAAGGACAATCCGCAATTGTCCTTCAGGTCCCAGCGGGCGGTTACCCTCAAAGCTCCTTTTCTTAAGACATTTGGCGATTGTGTTGTCTGTTAGCCATCATGAGCGAGTATTTCAGAACGACCGCTTGTTATAAAGCTAATCAAAGCGAGCCAGGCAGCCACTCCCTCCTTCCCGCTATATCTCATATGGAAGTGAGGCAGTGGTGGCAGCTCCGGAGGGTGGTGTTAAGACCGGCTCTGGCTCGGCAGAGGTTCCTCCCATCGGGCTTAGGATAGAGGCGAGGCGCCCTTCTTCATCCTCTCCCCGATTCCGTTCCCAGGAATCCCAAAGTCTCTCTTTGGCAGAGGAACTGAACCCGCTCCAGCACCTAGTTCCACAACCCTCTCCATTCATCCCAAGATTTTCTGAGGCCTAACCAGGGGCCAGGCACGATGCTAGACTAGAGCTCTGAGCCCACTCTCCGTAGCGGTCAAGGTGCTTGCTCGAACTCTCCTTTCACAGGTCTAAATAGCATTTCCCCCCTTGAATTAGAAGAATCCGTGGGATTCGCAGCGTTGGTCCAGCTCCCAGCCAAGCAGCCTCCGCCGGGCACATTAGAACAGGGCAGAAGCATCCAGCAAGGGTAAGAAGATTGTAAGGTTGGGGTCTTTGGGTGGAAGAAATCTTTTGGAGAATTGACTTGGAATGCAGTTCTGTAAAACAAACCCAGAGGTGGTTTTTGTGTGAACCAGCCAGCCGGTACCCAGCAAGGGGAAGGCTGGTGTGATCCTGGGTGATAACAGATGGTACTGGGCTTGGGACCTGCTGGCCACAGGCATGCGTTGCAGCTGTTTCTAGCCACAAGGCCATTCTCTAGACCCCAGAGAAATGAATGGCTTTAGCAGGAGGCTTACAGTATTGTCCTTGGTCTCACTAATCAGTGAACAATGAGTCGGCCTTTGGCAGATTTCCTGAATTCACTTTCATTAACAACATGATGATTGCTGCTTTAAAAAATTCCGAGGGGCTGAAATTTTGGAGAGGAGCTCTACTGAAAATGAGGGGTGTCCCCTCTGCCCCACACACTATTTTTTTCTGGAGAAGAGTTTAAAGCATGGGAAAAGGTAAAGAAAAAGTCATTTCTGAGTTGGTGGTATACCAGATGTTTACATGTGCTGTGTCCTTTCACCTTCTTGACCACTGTGAGACACATTTTCATCTCTATTTTTAAAGATAATCAAGCTGAGAGTCAGACATTAATTTACTAGCTCAAGGTGGGACAGCAATCATGAAAGCTAGGATTCAAACCTAGATCTTTTGGCTTCGAAGTATTTTACTCTACTATACTACCTTAATTTAATATGCTTGAAAGCATATTCTTGCCTTTCATTTCTGTCCTCTCCTGTAACATTTTGTTTCAAGGGAGAAATATACTGATTTCATTCATATTACTTGCAGTTGCAGTGTTGTGGCTTATCAAGCTTTCTTAGAAATCTGGGGCTAATTATTGGAAGAAAGAGTTCAAGGGGTTTGCCTCTGGGCAGTAGGGCTGGGATGAAAAGGGAAAGGAGGAAGGCTCCTTGCATTTCATTATAAATTCTTATGTACTGGAAACCATGTGCAAGTATCACTTTGATAAACATTAAAAAGACATTATTAGCAAATTAAAAAATAAAAACCCCCAAAACTGCTTCTTGCTATCATTAGCATTTGAACAATTGTCAGAAAACCAGCAAACAGCAATTCTTTTGTATGAAAGCTAATGGGTTCACAGAAACAAACGGGGGGAAATGTTCCCTACAGTCTCCAAACCAAAAGCCATCTTAAAAATCACAAATCTGTAATACAGATTTTCCAATAATTATGAAATAGTGATATTTGTTAACTTTGTGATTGCAAAATCATTTAGGGAGAAGGCTGTAGTTAGCTTGGAGACCACACCCAGCCAGAAAGCAGACTGGAGTTCAATTCCAAAGCCTGAGAATGAAGGCAAGTTAATAAAGCAAGCAGCTGAGGTAGGTGTAACAAGAATTCTCAAAGTGACTATCTTTAACCTCCTGGCAACTTCTCTACATATTGTATTTTACTTTGTTTCTAGGGGTGTCCAATCTTTAGGCTTCCCTGGGCCACACTGGAAGAAGAAACGTCTTGGGCCACACATAAAATACACTAACACTGACGATAGCTGTTGAGCTTAAAAAAAAAAAAAACCCACAAAAAAGTCTCATAATGTTTTAATAAAGTTTACAAATTTGTGTTGGGCCACATTCAAAGCTGTCCTGGGCTGTATGTGGCCTGTGGGCTGCGGGTTGGACAAACTTGGTTTAGATGGTCTAATAAATATCCTGATTTGGGATGTTGGTTATGCTTTGTTTTAAAGCAGTTTTATTGAGGTGTAATTGACATATAGTAAACTCCACATATCTAAAATATACAATTTGATAAATTTGGCATATATATATGCCAGTGAAGTGTATAGTTTGATACATTTTGACATCTATATATATATCCTGTCAAATCTTCACCACAATCAAGATAATGAATAATCTCTGTCATTTACAAAAGTTTCTTTGTGCCTTTTGTAATCCCTCTCTCTTCCCATACCACTCCCATCCCCAGGCAACAACTGATATGCTTTTTGTCACCATAGATGTGTTCACATTTTTAGAGATTTATATGAAATCATATTGTATGTGCACTTCTTTGTCTGTCTCCTTCATATAACTATATATATTTTTTTCGAGATGGAGTCTCGCTCTGTCGCCCAGGCTGGAGTGCAGTGGCGTGATCTTGGCTCACTGCAAGCTCTGCCTCTTGGGCTCACGCCATTCTCCTGCCTCAGCCTCCCGAGTAGCTGGGACTAGAGGCACCTGCCACCATGCCCGGCTAATTTTTTGTATTTTTGGTAGAGACGGGGTTTCACTGTGTTAGCCAGGATGGTCTCGATCTCCCGACCTCATGATCCTCCCGCCTCGGCTTCCCAAAGTGTTGGGATTACAGGCATGAGCCACTGCAGCCAGCCCATATAACTATTTTGACTGACATCCATGTTGTTGCTTTTTATCAACAGTTCATTCCTTTTTATTACTGAGCAGTATTTCATTGTATGGATATACCACTCTTGTTTATGTGTTCACCTGTTGATTGAGCATTTGAGTTGTTACTAGTTTTTGACTATCACAAATCTGCTTGAACATTTATGTACGAGTCTTTGTGCAGACTGTATATTTTTTCCTCTTGGGTGAATATGTAGGAATGAAATGGCTAGGTCATGTGGTAGATGTATATTTAATTTACTGTTTTCCTTAACATTTTTTTTTTCTTTTTTGGGGCTTTCCAAGCCTGCCAGACAAATTCTAAAAGAGCTCTAACCTTAACTTACTGTTTTCCACAGTGGTTGTATCATTTTACATTCCTACCAGCAGTTTATAAGAGTTCCAGTTCATCAGCATTTGGCATGGTCAAAATCTTCTAAATTTTAGCTATTTTAATAGATGTGTAGGTATCTCATTGTGGTTTTCATTTGCATTTTCCTAATGACTAATAATGTTGAACGTCTTTTCATGCGTATATTTGCCATCCATATATATAATCTTTGGTGAAGTGTTCAAATCTTTTGCCCATTTTTTCCTATTGGTTTGTATGTTTTGAGAGTTCTTCAGAAGTTCTGTATACAAGTACGTCATCAGATATATACTTTATAATATTTTCTCTCCATCTGTGGCTTGTCTCTTCAGAACAGGTTCTTAAATTTTGATGAAGTCCAATGTGTCAGCTTTTCCTTTTATAAAACGGAAATGTAATGAAATACTGCTCAGTAATAAAAAGGAATGAACTGTTGATAAAAAGCAACAACACGGATGTCACTCAAAATAGTTATATGAAGGAGACCGCCAAAGAAGTGGACATACAACATGATTTCATATAAATCTCTATGAATAGTGCCTTTGGTGGTGTATCTAAGAGACCTTTGCCTAATCCAGTGTCACAAAGATTTTCTCCTGTTTTCTTCTAGGTATTTTATAGTTTTGTTTTTTACATTTACATATTTGATACATTTTTATCTGTATTTTTATTTCAATAGTTTTGGGGGAACAGGTGGTGTTTGGTTGCATGCAAAAGTTCCTTCGTGGTGATTTCTGAGATTTTAGTGCATCCATCACCTGAGCAGTGTACACTATACTCAATGTGTAGTCTTTTATCCCTCACCCCACTCCCACCCTTCCCTTCTGAGTCCCTAAAGTTGATTACATCATTCTTATGCCTTTGTGCCCTCATAGCTAGCCCCCACTTATAAGTGAGAGCATATGATTTTTTTGTTTTCCATTCCTGAGTTACTTCACTTAGAATAATGGTCTCCAGCTCTATCCAGGTTGCTGTGAATGTCATTGTTTCATTCCTTTTTACGGCTGAGTAGTATTCCGTGGTGTGTGTGTATGTGTGTGTGTGTGCATATATATATATACCACATTTTCTTTGTCCACTCATTGGTTGATGGTCATTTAGGCTGGTTCCATATTTTTGCAGTTGTGAATTGTGCTGCTATAAACATGCATGTGCAAGTGCCTTTTTCATACAATGACTTCTTTTCCTCTGGTTAGATACCCAGTAGTGGGATTGCTGGATCAAATTGTTGTGCTACTTCTAGTTCTTTAAGGAGTCTCCATGGTGTTTTCCATAGTGATTGTATCAGTTTACATCCCCACCAGCAGTGTAAAAGTGTTCCCTTTTCACCACATCTATGCCAACACATATTATTTTTTTTATTTTTAAGTTATGGCCATTTTGGAGGAGTAAGGTGGTATTATTGCATCGTGGTTTTGATTTGCATTTCTCTGATAATTAGTGACGTTGAGCAGTTTTTTAATATGTTTGTTGGCCATTTGTATATCTTCTTTTGAGAATTGCCTGTTCATGTCCTTTGCCCACTTTTTGATGGGATTGTTTTTTTCCTTGCTGATTTATTTGCTTGATTTCCTTGCAGATTTTGGATATTAGTCCTTTGTTGAATGCATAGTTTGTACAAATTCTCTCCCACTCTGTGGGTTGTCCGTTTACTCTGCTTATTGTTTCTTTTGCTGTGCAGAAGCTTTTTGGTTTAATTAGGTCCCATCTATTTATCTTTGTTTATGTTGCATTTGCTTTTGGGTTCTTGATCATGAACTCTTTTCCTAAGCCAATGTCTAGAAGGGTTTTTCTGATGTTATCTTCTAGAATTTTTATGGTTTCATATCTTAGATTTAAATCTTTGATGCATCTTGAGTTGATTTTTGTAGAAGGTGAGAGTTGAGGATCCAGCTTTATTCTTCTACATGTGGCTTGCCAATTATCCCAGCATTTTTTGTTGAATAGGATGTCCTTTTCTACTTTATGTTTTTGTTTGCTTTGTTGAAGACAGTTGGCTGTATTTTGTTTTATTTCTGGGTTCCCTATTCTGTTACATTGGTCTACATGCCTGTTTTTATACCAGTACCATGCTGTTTTGGTAACTATAGCCTTGCAGTATAGTTCAAAGTCAGGTAATGTGATGCCTCAAGATTTGTTCTTTTTGCTTAGTCTTGCTTTGGCTATGTGGGCTCTTTTTTGGTTCCATACTAATTTTAGGATTGTTTCATTCTAGTTCTGTGAATAGGTATTTTGATGGGAATTACACTAAATTTGTAGATTGCTTTTGGCAGTATGATCATTTTCACAATATTGATTCTACCCATCCATGAGCATGAGATGTGTTTCCATTTGTTTGTGTCATCTGTGATTTCTTTCAGCAGTGTTTTGTTTTCCTTGTAGAGATCTTTCATGTCTTTGGTTAGGTATATTCCTAAGTATTTTTTTTTTTTTACAGCTGTTTTAGAAGGGGTTGAGTTCTTGATTTGATTCTCAGCTTGGTCATTGTTGGTGTACAGCAGGGCTACTGATTTGTGTACAATAATTTTGTATCCTGAAACTTTGCTAAATTGATTTACCAGTTCTAGGACTTTTTGGATTAGGCTTTAGGGTTTTCCAGGTCTATGATCATATCAGCAAACAGCAACAGTTTGACTTCCTTTTTACTGATTTGGATGCCCTTTATTTCTTTCTCTTGTCTGATTGCTCTGGCTAGGACTTCTAGCACTATGTCGAATAAATGTGGTGAAAGTGGGCATCCTCGTCTTTTTCCAGTTATCTGGGGGAATGCTTTCAACTTTTCCCCAATCACTATAATGTTGGCTGTGGGTTTGTCGTAGATGGCTTTTATTGCCTTGAGGTTTGTCCCTTTTATGCTGATTTTGTTGAGGTTTTTAATCATAAAGGGATGCTGGATCTTGTCAAATGCTATTTCTGTGTCTATTGAGATAATCATGTGATTTTTGTTTTTAATTCTGTTTATGTGATATATCACATTTATTGACTTGCATATATTAAACCATCCCTGCATCCCTGCTATAAAACCCACTTGATCATGGTGGATTATCTTTTTGATATGCTGTTTGATTCAGTTAACTAGTATTTTGTTGAGGATTTTTGCATCCGTGTTCATCAGGGATATTGGTCTGTAGTTTTCTTTTTTTTTTTATGTCCTTTCCTGGTTTTGGTATTAAGGTGATGCTGGCTTTATATAAGGATTTAGGGAGCATTCCCCCTTTCTCTGTCTTTTGGAATAGTTTCAGTAAGATTGATATCAATGCTTTGAATGCCTGATAGAATTCAGCTGTGAATCTGTCTGGTCCTGGACTTTTTTTTTTTTTTCTGTTGTTGGCATTTTTAAAAATTACTGTTTCAATCTTGCTACTTGTTATCGTCTGTTCAGAGTTTCTATTTCTTCCTGATTTAATCTAGGAGGGTTGCATATTTACAGGAATTTATCCATATCCTCTAGATTTTCTAGTTTGTGTGTGTGAATGATCTTTTGTATTTCTGTGGTCTCAGTTTTAATATCTCCCATGTCTTTTCTAATTGAATTTATTTGGATCTCTTCTCTTTTCTTGGTTAATCTCATTAATGGTCTATCAATTTTGTTTATCTTTTCAAAGAACCAGCTTTTTGTTTCATATATATATATGTGTATATATATATATATATATATATATATATATATATATATATACATATATATATATATATTTTTTTTTTGCTTCAATTTCATTTACTTCTGCTCTGATCTTGGTTATTTCTTTTCCTCTGCTGATTTAGGTTTGGTTTATTCTTGTTTCTCTAGTTCCTTGAGGTGTAACCTTAGATTTTTTTTTTTTTTTTTTTTTGGTGTAGGCATTTAATGCTATGAACTTTCCTCTTAGCACCACTTTTGCTGTGTCACTGAGCTTTTGATAAGTTGTGTCACTATTATTGTTCAGTTCAAAGAATTTTTAAATTTCTGTCTTGATTTCATTGTTGACCAAATATCATTGAGGAGTAGATGACTTAATTTCCTTGTATTTGTATAGTTTTGAGGGTTCCTTTCAGAGTTAATTTCTAATTTTATTCCACTGTGGTCTGAGAGGGTACTTGATATATTTTCGATTTTCTTAAATTGATTGAAACTTGTTTTGTGGCCTATCAAATGATCTATCTTGGCGAATGTTCCATGTGCTGATGAAAAGAATGTATATTTTGCAGTTGTTGGGTGGAATGTTCTGTAAATATCTGTTAAGTTTATTTGTTCTAGGGTATTGTTTAAGTCCATTGTTTCTTTGTTGACATTCCGTCTTGATGACCTGTCTAGTGCTGTCAGTGGAGTACTGAAGTCCCCCCACTATTACTGTGTTGCCATCTATCTCATTTCTTAGGTGTAGTAATAATTGGTTTATAAACTTAGGAGCTCTTGTGTTATGTGCATATATATTTAGGATTATGATATTTTCCTGTTGGACTGATCTTTTTATTATTATATAATGTCCCTCTTGGTCTTTTTAAACCGTTGTTGTTTTAAGGTCTGTTTTGTCTTATATAAGAATAGCTACTCTAGCTCACTTTTGGTTTCCATTTGCTTGGAATATCTTTTTCCTCCCCTTTTAAGTTTATGTGTCCTTATGCATTAGGTGAGTCTCTTAGAGACAGCAGATACTTGGTTGGTGGATTTTAATCCATTCTGCCATTCTGTATCCTTTAAGTGGAGCATTTAGGCCATTTACAGTCAATTTTAGTATTGAGATGTGAGGTGCTGTTTTAATCATTGTGCTAGTTGTTGCCTGAATATCTTTTTTTTTAAAAATTGTGTTATTATTTTATAGGCTGTGTGAGATTTAAGGAGGTTCTAATTTGGTGTATTTTGAAGTTTTCTTTCAAGATTTAGAACTCCTTTTATCATTTCTTGTAGTGCTGGCTTAGTTGTGGTGAATTCTGTCAGCAGTTCTTTGTCTGAAAAAGACTTTATTTCCCCTCCACTTATGAAGCTTAATTTTGCTGGATACAAAATTCTTGGCTGACCATTATTTTGTTTGAGATGGCTAAAGATAGGACCCCAGTCCCTTCTGTTTTGCAGGGTTTCTGCTGAGCAATCTGCTGTTAACCTATTAGGGTTTCCTTTCTAGGTTACCTGACGCTTTTGCCTCACAGCTCATAAGATTCTTTCCTTTGTCTTGATTTTAGATAACATGATGACTATGTGCCTGGATGATGATCTTTTTGTGATGAATTTCCCAGTTGTTGAGTTTCCTGTATTTTGATGTCTAGATCTGTGGTAAGGCCAGGGAAATTTTTCTCAATTATTCCCTCAAATGTGTTTTCCAAACTTTTAGATTCCTCTTCTTCCTCAGGAACACTAATTATTTTTAGTTTTGGTCATTTGAGATAATCCCAAATTTCTAGGAGGCTTTGTTCATACTTTTGATTATTTTTTTCTTTTTTTTTATTATTATACTTTAAGTTTTAGGGTACATGTGCACAACGTGCAGGTTTGTTACATATGTATACATGTGCCATGTTGGTGCGCTGCACCTATTAACTCATCATTTAGCATTAGGTATGTCTCCTAATTCTATCCCTCCCCGCTCCCCCTACCCCACAACAGTCCCTGGTGTGTGATGTTCCCCTTCCTGTGTCCATGTGTTCTCATTGTTCAGTTCCCACCTATGAGTGAGAACATGCGGTGTTTGGTTTTTTGTCCTTGCGATAGTTTGCTGAGAATGATGGTTTCCAGCTTCATCCATGTCCCTACAAAGGACATGAACTCATCATTTTTTATGGCTGCATAGTATTCCATGGTGTATATGTGCCACATTTTCTTAATCCAGTCTATCATTGTTGGACATTTGGGTTGGTTCCAAGTCTTTGCTATGATTATTTTTTTCTTTGTCAGATAGGAGGCCTTAGAAAATAGGAGTTTCTCTAAGTGGGCACCTGTTTCCGGGAGAAGGGCCAGAGCTGGGTTGCCAGCCTGTGCAGATGTACGGGGAGCTTTGAAATGAACATTTATTCTAAAGGGACAAACAGAATTCAGAAGGTTGATTATTATTATTATTATTATTTTTGAGATGGAGTCTTGCTCTGTCACCCAGGCTGGAGTGCAATGGCACGATCTTGGCTCACTGCAACCTCCATCTCCCAGGTTCAAGTGATTCTCCTGCCTCAGCCTCCCCAGTTGCTGGGATTACAGGCATGTGCCACCATGTCTCACTAATTTTTGTAGTTTTAGTAGAGGAGGGGTTTTGCCATATTGGCCAGGCTGGTCTTGAACGCCTGAGCTCAGGTGATCCACCTGCCTCAGCCTCCCACAGTGCTGGGATTATAGGCGTGAGCCACCACACCCAGCCCAGAAGGTTGATTATTAAGCTATTCAAGGAGATACCAGAGAAAGGTGAAAACCAAGTTAAAGCAATTTTTTAAGACAATACAGCATATGGATGAAAAATGCTCCAGAAAAATAGAAATTATAAATTAAAAGCACAACTTATGGAAATGAAAGACACACTTAGAGATATACAAAATGCATGGGAAATAGAACTGAACAAGTATTAATAAAAGAAAGAGCTTGAAGACAAGGCTTTCGAATTAATCCAATCACACAAAGGCAAACAGGGCAGCAAAATCTTCACCTAGAATTGAAGGTACCAGCATCAACTGGGATTGGAGGCGGCTCTGTAGCATACAGACAGCTACTCTGTGGCTCATGAAGTTAGCAGAACTTCATGAAATGCTGGAGAGATGTTAAAGAAAAGAAAAAGGGAAGGATGGGACTGTAGAAAAGACCCCAGTATAACCGCAACCTTGGCTGCACCTTAAACTCACCTAAGGAGCTTTTAAAACTCTGGCACCCAGGCTATACTCCAGACCAATCTGAACTTTTTAAAGCTCCACAGGCGATTTCAATTTGTAACCAAGGCTGAGAATCAATACTCAATATAATCGATTTACAGTGGGAGGAAATTTAACAAGAGAGTGGATAACTGTTAAGTCTCTGTGAATCCCATTTAGTTTTATACCTTACTACCTCATCCAGTGGCAATATTGCAGATGAGAGAGTATTAAAATGCAAAAGAAAATACTTAAAATTCCAAAATTCCCTCCTCTTTCCTTCTCCAATCCCTGAGCCTTCTGTTTTCTGTACCACAAAGCTTGTTCGACATCCTTGATGAACAGAACTTGGGTTTTCTGAGCTTTCTTCTGGCTTAGATTGGCCTCACAATGAATTGGGTTATCTTCTTGCTGTCAGTTTTCCAGGAAACAACAACAAGGATTTGATTGATTGCTTGTTTGTTGTCATAGGGAATGACCTAGCCATGTTGAGTGGGAAGTAACTGGCTATTTGGTTGGTGGGGAAATATGTCCAAGGTGGAGGGATGGTGAAGAACGGACCGCATGTTCCTACAAAGAACAGACGTGACCGTCCAGCTGGCTTGGCCGACTCTGAGAGCCCTGCCCTCCACTAGATATGGTGGATGGTGGGTGAAAGGCATTGGTTAGGACTCTAAGGTATTGGGGTCTGTGGTCAGGTAGAGTGAGATGGAATCAGGGGTTAGTTCAAGAGTAACATAACGTGTCAAGTGGCTTTCCCTCTGGAGTGACTCAGAAAAACCTGTCCCATAATCTTACTGTTACTGCCATTTCCTTCACCCTGATCAATGCCAGAAATAATAGCCTGAGTTGGATTGATTTGAGCTCTGGCGCCTGTTCTTCACTTCTTGTTCATCTTTTGTCCATGGGCATTTCTGTTTTTCTTCCTGACCAGTGTCAGGACTTAGATAGTAATGGTCCTTAGATTACTGTAACAGTGAGGATGGGCCTATGGGGTCTCCTGTGTCATGTGTGTATAATAGCAGAAATGGCCTCAGCTTAGCACATATGTTCATATAAAGAAATTAGGCTAAATAACTTCTCTTCCTCTCTCATTTACCTATGTCTGAAAGGAAAAAATAATTAGACAATCTATGAATCAAAAATCTGTATATACCTAAATTATAAATTAAAGGCAATTTAACTGTTTACCTGCATCTGCACATGCAAATGTTGAACCTGACTTGATTTTTTAAAATGAGCTTCAAAATATTTAAACTTCAGACTTTCTTATGAACATTTTAAAACAGTTTCTCTGATCCTTTGCCATTTATGAAGACAGAGGCATCTGCTTAAAGCAATATAGTCTTATTACTATCTGAATCACAAAGAAAATACTATTTGCTATTGTTCCTTTTTAGTCTTCTTCAAAGGACGAGAAAGAGCTCTCCTCCACTTTGCCTTTCTTCACTTACTCTCTTGGCTGCTTTCTGCTCCTCTGTATCCATCTACATCACTCACATGCTGTCTTCCCAACTCGTAGCACTCAACCTCTTCTGTATACTACCGGCTTCCGGGATTTATGGTGGGGGATATCCCTACTGCTTTCCCTGGGCTTATGGCAAAAGAAAATGAAGTCCAGTTTGAAGTCTCCTGCAATATCATTCTGCTTTCTGGGTGAGAAGCCTGGTATGGGGAGCCCTCTAGTGGATATGTGGCTGCCATTACATTTTCCCTTTAAGGCAGAAGAAAGAGTTGGTTTGTTGGCAGGGGCAAGGGAGTAGTTCTGGTCCTAGCTCGACCATGGACTTGCTGTGGGACTTTAGACAAAGCACTTCCTCTCTCTTGGCCTCAGTTCCTTCCATGAAATATTGTAGTGTATACTGTTTGCTTTGTGCCCACAAAAACTCATTGCTGCAAGTGGGCAGGACTTGTGGAATGGCTGAGTGCAGATCTCAGCAAATCCTCTTTTCCCAAAACAATTATGAAGCCAGACAAAATTGCCAAAGACAGTCATTTAAAGACTGGAAATTTGACCAAAGCCATACAACAGATTGAGAAGGGTTAATTTAAGAAAGTCCATCCGTGGTCGGGCGTGGGCTCACGCCTGTAATCCCAGCACTTTGGGAGGCCAAGGCGGGCAGGTCAGGAGATTGAGACCATCCTGGCTAACACGGTAAAACCCCGTCTCTACTAAAAATACAAAAAATCAGCAGGGCGTGGTGGCGCGAGCCTGTAGTCCCAGCTACTCGGGTGGCTGAGGCAGGAGAATCCCTTGAAACCAGGGAGGCGGAGGTTGCAGTGAGCTGAGATCGCGCCACTGCACTCCAGCCTGGGTAACAGAGCAAGACTCCGTCTAAAAAAAAAAAAAAGAAAGTCTATTGGTTCTCAGAAAGAACAGTGGAAGTCTGTAGTGTTTTAGCATTGCCCCTTCACCTCCAGCTCTGCGGTTGTGGTAAGGAAGTTCTATCCAGGTGGGTGGGGCTTGTGGGAGGGAATGGCGTGGCAGCAGAGGGTGACTGACTTTACTTCCATGCCCAGGGTTGTTGAAAACAAGAGTTATCTCAGTGACAATCATGGAAGACCAAAATTGCAGCTAGCTTGAGGTTGCAGTACTGGTTAGGACAAGCAATAGGCCAACAGGCCTGCCAAAAATTTAACATGGAAATCCAGGTAATGATACAACTAAAGAGGGTCTTGAAAAGCTGCCACATGTGTCTGGTGGTCTAGAAGGTATGCACAAGGCTGCATACACATTCACATTCAGGACAGACTGGAGACTCATAAAAATCTGGAACTTTGAATGAATTCTCCAAGCCACACAGAGATCCACTGACAAAAGGTAAAGCCTTCGCGGCACAAGGTGTGGCTCAACTTCTGGCCATTAAGCTATGCCGATCTAGGAAGCCAGGCTTAAAAACAAGAAGCCGGGCACTGTGGCTCACGCCTGTAATCCCAGCACTTTGGGAGGCTGATGTGGGCGGATCATGAGGTCAGGAGTTCGAGACCAGCCTCGCCAACATGGTGAAACCCTGTCTCTACTAAAATACAAAAATTAGCTGTGCATGGTGGCAGGCACCTGTAATCTCAGCTACTCAGGAGGCTGAGGCAGGAGAATCGTTTGAACCTGGAAGGCGGAGGTTGCAGTGGGCCGAGATCACACCATTGCACTCCAGCCTGGGCGACACGGCGAGACTCTGTCTCAAAAAAATAAATAAAAATAAAAACAAGAAAAAAACTCTAAGCAGATATCTCAGTGGTTACATGCTGTGAGACAAACAGACATCACAGAATCAGTCCAGGTGGGTCACTAAACAAACAACAAACAAACAAGCAAACAGCAACAACCGTCCGCCCTGGTTGGGTGGGGAAGGAGATCAGAGCCCACAGTTGCTACGGTATGTTACCTAGAACGTCCAGTTTTTCAACAACAAATTATGAGACCTGCAAAGAAACAGGAAAGAGGGACCCATACACACAAAAACAGTAGAGACTGTTTCCTAGTGGGCCTACATGTTGCATGTAGCAAATACTTCTAAACTGCTATTTTGAGTATATTTAAAGAAGTAAATAAAATCAAGTTTAAAGAATTAAAGGAAAGTGGAATGACAATGACCGATCAAATATACAATATTAATAAGGAGGTAGAAATGATAAAGAAGCACCAAATGAAAATACTGGGGTTGAAAAACACAATGGCCAAAATAAAACATTCACTAGAGTGATTTAACAGCAAATTTGAGTTACCAAAAAGAAAAAAGAATCAGCAAACTCAAAGATGGATCAACAGCAACTACCTAGTATGAAGAGTAGGAGGAAAAAGAAAAAGAAAAATGAACAGAGCCTCAGAGGCCAAGGAGACACCATTGAGCAAACCAACAAATGTATAATTGGGGTCCCAGAAAGAGAGATGATAAAAAGGCAGAAAAAAATACCTATATAAAAGATAACTGAATACTTTCCAAATTTGATGTAAAACATTAATCTATACACCCAAGAAGCTCTGTGAATACCCAGACATATCATTCAAACAGATGAAAGCCAAACACAAAGAGAGAATCTTGAAAACAGCAAGAGAAAAAAAGACTTATTGTATACAAGAGATGCACAATAAAAAACAATAGTCAACTTTTCATCAGAAACAATGGAGACCAGAAGGCAGTGGGATGACATATTAAAAATGCTGAAAGAAAAAAACCTGTTAACCAATAATTTTGTATCCAGTAATGTATCTTGCAAAAATGAAGGTGAAATAAAGATAGTCCCAGATGAATGGAGAATGAGAGAATTTGTGGCTAGCACACTTGCCTTAAAATAAATAGCAAAGAAAATTCTTTGGGTGGAAAGAAAGTCACACCAGATAGCATTCTAAGCCACATGAAATACAAAGCACCAGTAAAGGTAATTATACAGAAGAATCTAAATATATATTTTATCATTTATGCTGACCAATTTGAAAGGTAATTGAATAAAACTAGTTATAAATCCTATTCTTGGTCTTATAACATGCAAATATATAATAAATATAATAGTAATAGCACAAAGGAGAGGGACTGAAATGAAGCTGTATTAGATCAATGACACCAGACAGTAAGTATCTTAATCAACAGGAAGAAATGGAGAGTACCAGAAATGGTAAAATGTAGTTAATATAAATGACCATAAGTATACTTTTTCCTTTTTCTCTTAACTAATTTAAAAGACAAAAATTTGTATAAAGCAATATTTGTAACACTGTCTTCGGTTTATAACATATTTGGATGTAATATATCTGACAATAATAACATAAAGGAGGGAAGAAGGAATGGAGCTAATTTTAAGTTTCCATATTTTACAGGAATCAAGTTAGTATTAATCTGAAGTAGATAGCAATAAGTCAAGATGCACATTGTAATCCCTAGAGCAACCACAAAGAAAACTATTAAAAATGTTATTAAAAAGTTAACAGAGGAATTAAAATGATCATTAGAAAATACGTATTTGATACAAAAAAGAAGGCAAAAGAGGAACAGAGGAACAAAAAAGACGTGATGTACAGAAGATTGACAGTAAAATTATAGTCATAAATCCAACTTTATTAATAGTAACATTAAATGTGAATGAATTAAACACACCAAAAAAAGGCAGAGATCATATGACTTGATAGTACAAGATCCAGTTATATGCCATCCACAAGAGGCACACTTTAGATCTAAAGTCACAAATAGGTTGATATAAACAGTAGCCGTAGCAGGAGTGGTTGTACTAATATCAGACAAAATAGATTTTAAGAGAAGAGGTATTATTAGAAAAAAAGGGTCATTCTATAATGACAAAAGGTGAATTCATCAGGAAGATATAACAATTATAAACATATACATATCCAACAAAATAATCCCAAAAAGTATGAAGCAAAAACTGATAGAAATAAAGGGATAAATTGGGAATTCAGAAATAATAGTTGGGAGACTTCAATACCCCACTCTCAATAGTGGATAGAACAACTAGACAGAAAATCAGTGAGCAGATAGAAGATGTAAGCAACTAACTGACATGATCTAACTGACATTTATAAAACATTTTACTCAACAACAGAATACATATTCTTCTCTAGCACACATGAGTGTTTTCCAGTGTAGACCCTCTTCTAGGCCATAAAGCAAGTCTCAGTAAATTTGAAGGGATTGAAATCCTGCAAAATATTTTATCTGATCACATGAAATTAAATTAGAAATTAATAGCCAAGTGATATTTTGGGAAATTTACAAGTATTTGGAAATTAAGCAACATACATCTAAATAACCCATGGTCAAAAAAAGAACAAGGAAGTTAGAAAATATTTTGAGTTGAGTGAAAATGAACACAGAACATATCAATTTTATGAGATGCAGCTGAAGTGCTTAGAGGAAAATTTATAGCTGCAAATGCCTGTATTAGAAAGGAAAAAATATCTCAAATCAATAATCTAAGCTCCTACCTTAGGAAACTAGGGAAACAAAGCAAACTAAAACCAAAACAAGCAGAAGTAAGAAAATGATAACAACTGGAGTAGAAATCAATGAAATAGAAAACAGAAATCAATAAAGAAAATGAATGAAGCCAAAAGATAGTATTTTGGAAAGGTAAAATAGACAAACTTTTAGCTACACTAACCAAGAAAAAAAGAGAGAGCACTCAAATTGCCAAAACTGGGAATGTAAGAGGGGGCTCACTATCAATCTTATAGACATAAAAGGGAACACTATGAAAAACTTTAAGCAAACAAATTAGACAACTGAGATGAATTGGGTAAGTTCCTAGAAAGACACAAATTATAAAACTGGCTCAAGAAAAACTAGAAAATCTAAATTGAATTAGTAAATAAAAATCTTTTCACAAAGAAAATCTCATGCCCAGATGGCTTTGCTCAAGAATTCTACCATGCGTTTAAATAAGAAAAATTACCAATCTTTCATAAACTCTTTCTGAAAATAGAGGAAGAAATGCTTCCCAACTCATTCTGTGAGGCCAGTATTACCTTGATACCAAAGCCAAGGTATCTCAAAAAAAGGAAGCTACAAGACTAATATCTCTATGAATATACATGTAAAAACCCTCAGAAAAATGCTAGCAAATGGAATCCAGCATGAATATAAAAATGATTATACACAATGACTAAGATTTATCCCAGAAATGCAAGTTTGGTGTAACACCCCCAAGTCAATTAATGTAATATACCAGGGCTGGGCGCTGTGGGGCATGCCTGTAATCCTAGCCCTTTGGGAGGTGGAGGCAGGCAGATCAGTTGAGGTCAGGAGTTTGAGATCAGCCTGGTTAACAAGGTGAAACAAACCAAATAAATTACCTGGGAGTGGTGACGCATGCCTGTAATCCAGCTACTTGGGAGGCTGAGGCACGAGAATCACTTGAACGCAGGAGGTGGAGGTTGCAGTGAGCCAAGATTGCGCCACTGCACTCCAGCCTGGGCAACAGAGTTAGACTTCCTCTCAAAAAACCAAAAAAAAAAAAAAAACAACAAAAAAATATCATGTTAATAGAGTAAAGGACAAAAATCATATGATCATCTCAATACCTCTGGAAAAAGCATTTGTCAAAATCTGCCATTCATGATAAAAAAAAATTCTCTTGAACTCAGTTAAAGGGAGTTTCCTCAACTTGAAAAAGGGCACCTATGAAAAATTCAATGTATGTAGAAAATCCTAAGGAGTCAATCACATACAGGTATACTTCAGACATATTGTGGGTTTGGTTCTAGACCGTCAGAATAAAACGAATATTGCAAGAAAGTGAGTCGCACACATTTTTTGGTTTCCCAGTGCATATAAAAGTTATGTTTACATTATTCTGTAGCCTATTAAATTTGCAATAGCATTACATGTAAAAAAGTACATGCTTTAATTAAAAATACTTTATTGCTAAAAAATGCTAACAAAGCGAGCACACGCTGTTTGAAAAAAGGCGCCAATTGACTTATCTGACGCACGGTTGTCACAAACCTTTAATCTGTAAAAAATGAAATATCTGTGAAGCACAATAAAGCAAAGCACAGTAAAATGAGACATGCCTGTACTTACAAAACTATTAGAACTTTTTTTTTTTTTGAGGCAGAGTCTTGCTCTGTCACCTATGCTGGAGTGCGGTGGTGCAGTGGCACGATCTCAGCTCACTTCCACCTCTGCCTCCCGGATTCAAGCGATTCTCGTGCCTCAGCCTCCCAAGTAACTGGGACTACAGGCGTGTGCCACCACTCCTGGCTCATTTTTTTTTTTGTATTTTTAATAGAGATGGGGTTTCACCATGTTGCCCAGGCTGGTCTTGAATTCCTTGCCTCAAGTGATCCACCCACCTTGGCCTCCCAAAGTGCTGGGATTACAGGCATGAGCCACCGCGCCTGGGCCACAAAACCATTAGAATTAAATATGTTCAGCAAAGTTGCAGAATATAAGGCTAATGTACAAAAATCAATGGAATTTCTTTATATTACAAGTGAACTACCTGAAAATGAAATTAAAAAAATAATTCTATTCATCATAGCATAAAAATACTTAGGAATAACTTTAACAAAAATGTTAGGCTACAAAACATTGGTAAGGGAGATTGAAGATTTAAGTACACACAAAAAATTCCATGTTTGTGGATTGCGAAATATCTGCAATCTTAAGGTGGCAGTCTTCACCAAATCGATCTACAGATTAAACACAATCCCTGTCAAAATATTTTTTTTGATAACCATTGATGAAGTGATCCTAAAATTTACATGGAAAGACAAAGGACCTGGGATAGCCAAAGTGATACTGAAAAAGAACAACGTTGGTTAAGCAAAATGTGGTGCCTCCATATAATGGAGTAACTGACGCATGCTGCAGCAAGCATGAATCTCAGCAGCATTACGCTGCTCATGTAAATTCAACTTCCTCTCTCTAATGTCTCTGTGTGTGTGGATATAGGATTATTTACTTAACTGGTCCTTATTGATGGCTGTTTGGGCTGTTTTTTTCTTTCCTTTTTTTTTCTTCAACTTTTAAGTTCTGGGGTATGTGTGCAGGATGTGCAGGTTTGTTACATAGGTAAAATTGTGCTATGGTGGTTTGTGCACAGATCAACCCATCACCTTAGTATTAAGTCCAGCATCCATTCACTATTGTTCCTGATGCTCTCCCTCCTCCAACCCCCACCCTGACAGGCCCCAGTGTGTGTTGTTCCCCTTCCTGTGTGTCCACGTGTTCTCATCATTCAGCTCCCATTTATAAGTGAGAACATGCGGTGTTTGGTTTTCAGTTCCTGTGTTAGTTTGCTTAGGATAACGGCTTCCAGCTCCAACCATGTCCCTGCAAAGGACATGATCTCATCCTTTTTATGGCTGCATAGTATTCCACATTTTCTTTATCCAGCCTATTAATGTTTTTTAAAAACAATTTTGTTTAAAAAATTAAGTTCACCTGTAATCTTAAATCAGAATTTCAAAATGTACTGCATTTTATTACATAAAAGTACAATTGGTAAAATGATTTACTACTAAAATTCAAAATGTTTTCGTCTCACTGTCATGTAGAAGAATATTACTCTGAACACTTACCTCTTGCTTCACTCAAACAATGTTATAAGTCAACCACAAAGAGCCTCTCCACTTAGATTTTCATTGCGCACCTTACATTTATTTCAATGTCTTTACTCTTCCATGGAAATGGTCATAAATAATGCCCAACTAATGAAAAAGAATCTATCATAGATCTGATGCAACAATAATGGATCACATGCTTTCACATAAACAATAGGAATGAAGGAACAGCATGAAGTAATTTGAGAATTAAATTACATTTGCTTTCAACAAGCTATAATTTTTTCAAGGGAAAACAAATACTTTGTAATTATAACTCTTCAAAAAAAGTCTTCTGTTTCTTTTAAAGTTATATACAAAAAAAATCTGACAGTTTTGGCTTTGAATTATTTTCTGTACTCAACACTCTGATTTAGTGTAATGTATGAAGTGTCTATACCTTAGTTCTTTCTACTGTGAATCCTCTGATGTTTATATAGACTTAATGTTTGATTAAATATTTTTTTCACATTTACTGCATCTGCAAAAGTATCTTTTAGTATGAACTCTCTGGTGTTCTTCATGCTGGAGTTTTTAAACAAATGTGTTTCTACATTCATTTCATCTGTAAGGTTTCTTTGCAACATAAATTCTCTGATGTTCAACAAGGTTTGAACAACTGCTTTGGTGTTTTCCTCTAGTATAAAATATGTACAATAAGGTTTGTAATACAAGTAAAGGCACTACAGTCCTCTTTATATATGTAATGTTTTTCTTCAGAATAAATACTCTTATTCACTTTAAAGGCTTATATTTTCTGAAAGTTTTTTTTACAGTAATTACATTTATAATGGTTTCATTAAGTATGAATTCTCTGATTTTGAGTAAGATGTGAGCAGATAGCAATGGCTTTTCCACATTCTTTATATTTGTACAATTTTTCTAAAGTATAAATGCTTTCGTGTGCAATAAGGCATGAACATTAATTAAAAGTTTTGCCACATTATTTATATTTGTAGGGGTTTTCTTTAGTATGAATTATCTTACATACAGTAAGGTGTGACATCCATTTAAAGGCTTTGCCACATTCTTCACATTTCTAGGATTTCTCACCAGTATAACTTATTTTATGTTTAGAAAAGTATGAGGTGTGGTTAAAAGCTTTTCCACATTTTTCAGATTTGTAGAGTTTATCTCCGGTATGAATTATCTTATGTTTACGGACCTTTAAAATGCTTTGCCATATTCAATCATAGGGTTTCTCTCCAGTATGAATCTCTTATGTATAATAAGAGTTGAAGACTGGTTAAAAGCTTTACCACATTCTTTGCATTTGTAGGGTTTTTCTCCAGCACGAATTATCTTATGTTTACTAAGGCTTGAGATGCACTTAAAAGGCTTTGTCACATCCTTTACATTTATAGGGTTTCTCTCTACTGTGAATTCTCTTATGTTCATTAAGGTTTGAAGACCAGTTAAAGGCTTTGCCACATTATTCACATCTGTAAGAATTCTGTCTAGTATGACTTCTCTGATGTTGAGTTAGGTGTGAGAGCATGTGAAATAATTTGCCACATTCTTTTTTTTTTTTTGAGATGGGAGTCTTGCTCTGTCACCCAGGCTGAAGTGCAATGGCGCGATCTTAGCTCACTGCAACTTCCACCTCCTGGGTTCAAGCTATTCTCCTGCCTCAGCCTCCTGAATAGCTGGAACTGTAGGTGCGTGCCACCAAGCCTGGCTAATTTTTTTGTATTTTTAGTGGAGATGGGGTTTCACCATGCTGGTCAGGCTGGTCTTGAACTCCTGACCTCAGGTGATCCACTCACCTTGGCCTCCCAAAATGCTAGTATTAAAAGTGTGAGCCACTGCACCTGGCCAATTTGCCGTATTCTTTACATTTGAAAGGTTTCTCTCCAGTATGCCATGTCTTATGTCTATTTGAATTCGAAAATTTGCTAGAGACTTTCACATATGTATTACATTAAAATATTTTGCTCTGAGTAGTTGACAAATTAACGACATTAATGACATTAATTAAGTCCATTATGACCTCCTTTGTGCACTTTGCACTCACCCACACTTTTACAGCCTTTCCTTAATTGTAAATTCTCATGTTCACATTTTCCATATCTTTTTAGTATCACTTTTGGGAATGAATCTTTTATACCCTGTTTTGGCCAAAGGTCTTGGGTGAAATGAGAACATGTAACTGGGTGTTTCGCTACCATCTTGTGTCTCTCCATATTCCAGGGCTCTTTTCTTTGCTCCAGGTAGTTGATCAGGTCTGGCTTAGAGACAGCAATACCATTTCTAGGCTTCCAGCGGAGTCCTAACATCTTAGCTATGGATTTCCAAAGACCTGCAGGTCACAGGGCCACAGAAGCTGGGTCTCTAGGAGATGATAACACAGCAGTGAAGGTGCAACCTGGAGCTCTGGTCAAATATTTTTTAAAAAGATGGATGCTTATGTACAACTCTATGCCTACCTATTCATGTATATTCTCATTCTCTCTCTACCTGTCTCTCTCTCTCTCTCACACACACACACACACACACACACACACACACACACACACACGATAATAGAGAAGTTTGCATTTGCTGGGCAAGCAGGACTGAAGTGGCTATTAGCAACTGGTGGTGTGGGTGTGCAGAGGATGGGGGCACCCTCTGGGCTTCAGGTGGGTCACGTGGGGGCCCTGCAGAGGGAATCAGGGTGCCAGCAGGGGCAGGAGGCCTTGAGGATCCTGGGTCTGAGGTAGAACTCTACTAGATGTCCACACACCCACACTACTGACCATCATCCTGCCCACCCCAGCCAGAAACTGCAGGAGAACCCCTTTGTCTTGCAGTACAAGAGAAAGCCAGCACCCTTTACTGAGAAGGTTTAACATCTTACTTGCTTTAAGGAAGAAATGCTTAAAACAAGTTTAGTCATCTATCACAGGGTATATATTGGAGGATACATTCACAGCTGAGAGGCAATACATTGATAACTGGCACGGGTATCCTTGATGGCTTTAGTAATGTGAGTGGGGTAGGAGAGGAGGGGACTTCTTTGGTCCTCAGTGTGAAGAGAAATTTCTTTAGCTTGGGTTTCTGTGAAGTGATGAACCACACTGAGGGGATCTTTAGGCTGAGCTGTCCCTGATCCTAAAACAAGGTCTCTGGAGTTCCTTGAGCATGTGCCATTTATCTTTTATTTTTCCATTATAGGGAAAACCAAGACCCAGACCTGGAGACCTGATTGAGATTTTTCGAATTGGCTATGAGCACTGGGCCATCTATGTAGAAGATGATTGCGTGGTCCATCTGGCTCCCCCAAGTAAGAGTGAATAGTCTATTGAAATACTGATATTGAAGTTAGCAAAGTAAATAGAAGCACAGTTAATTACTGTGTTCCTCAGTTACTGCCATTCTTTAGCAATGGGACCCCTTGAAGCATGACTGGACCTTTGCTTACTGTGTGACAGAGCTTGGTCTCTGTTCACCAAAAACCAATGAGTGTCCAGGCCTAAGAGTGATACAAGTGTAAAGAGCGTGGCCCAAGTTCCCTGACCTCCTAGAGGGCCCTTTGTTTAAATACACACATTTTAGAACTTGAGCTCCATTTTGTATTGACAAAAGTTGAGCATCTATCCTCATCTTTCTGAGGATTCCCCAAGGAGGGTGCAGATGCTCACATGTTCTGATCGTCATTTGTTTTCTATAGTCCTCAGACACTGCATCTGGCTTCTTGATCACCTTTGGCACCTTCGTCCTCACCTTGTCTCGCTGCTGTTCCAACATGCTCCTTGCTGTTTCACCCTAAATGTAGATACAGCCCTCTTTTCATTTCTCACAGCTGCTTAACATATGGCTGAGATTCAATTTGTGTTAATTAAATCTTAGTGGAGATTTGATGGGGGAGGAGGTGATGATAGTAGAGGAAGAGTACAGCAAAATGGGAAACAACTTAAAATTGGGTATCTAGAACTGCTGGTCACAGTGGTTATCTCAGGAGATGAGGCCTGATAAGGGTTGGGGTTTGGGAGAGGAAGGGGTAGGTAGACCCTGTTGAATACCATTGAATGCACTTTGAATGCTGTCTCCTGTGCAGGTATTGCCAGTTCAAAGTTGAATTACAGAAGGGCACTATACCAAAGGCCTTTGGTCCTAACTTGTTCTCAGCTGTCATCCCTGTGTCCTGTCCTCTTCCTCTGGCCCAGTCTCTCACCATGCAGGGATGTTCCCATGGAGCAGAGCCCCTTTCTCATTGCCTCTCTTCTCTGCCCCATCCACTCATACCCTTCCCACTTCTTGTCTCAGAACCTACTCAAAGAATGTAGAAATTCATCTCTTCTTTCCAGACTAAGTCCAGGAGTTTCCCTCTTGTACAACCACAGAGATACTTATCAGTTATGTCTTCCCCCACCCCTATCTTGCTCTCTGAAAATGAATTCTGCCATTTCTGCTCCTGAATGCTGAATTATCTATTGCCAGCTTTTATAAAATCAGCAGATTTTCTTCAAATTTGTAAGAAAAGATCATGGAGCATTTCTTGCCCTTGGACAACTTATAAAGGGAAGGGTATACACATTCGCATATCAACATGGTTGTAGCAGTGCTACTTTAAATGACTACCCACCCAGCTTTGGGCAGGTTCCTGACCCTCTTTCAGTCTCTGTCTCATCTCAGGGCTGAATATGATAATGTAGCACCTTTCAAACATTTCTTTTTTCAAAGCTGTGGAACCCTGTTTTCAAACATACCCTTAATGAGAATCCCCGTATTTGAGTAGAGGTCAGTCAAGTGGCTGTAGGTGGAAGCTGGCAGGAGCAGGTGCCATTCAGAGCCCTGCTTGGCTGGCTTCCCCTGTGTCCCTGTGGCAGCCCAGAGGGAGGCGTGACATGGAACCACCATAATCATGTATGTGATAGCCTTTTACCCATGAGCTGACACTTACATAGAGAGTGCTCTTTACATGTTTGTGAAGATTACTGAAGTCTTCTCAGGAAATGAGACTCAAATCCTAGGACTTGGGTAGGTCAGTGCAACACAGTCTGGGACCACATGGGAAGGTGCTCCAAGAGTTTAATGAGAAAGAGACTCCTGTGCGGGTTGAGAGCAGGGAGTGAGGCGCAGGGCAAAGGGCTTCTCAGGAAAGTTGATTCTCTGCGGTTCTTTGATTCCAACTTCCCCTCTTCTGCCACCCTTCTACTGATGGTGCCAATGAGACTCCAGGGGAAGCAGCTTACTCAGAGTCTTAGACTGTGCTCTGCTTTGCTACTCCTTGTATTTCCCAACCTTTGTTTGTCTTTGGTCTCCAGGTGAGGAGTTTGAGGTGGGCAGCATTACTTCCATCTTTAGCAATCGGGCCGTGGTGAAATACAGTCGTCTGGAGGATGTGCTGCATGGCTGCTCCTGGAAGGTCAATAACAAGCTAGATGGGACGTACCTGCCCTTGCCGGTGGACAAGATCATCCAGCGTACAAAAAAGATGGTCAACAAGATCGTGCAGTACAGCCTGATTGAAGGGAACTGTGAGCACTTTGTCAATGGCCTCAGATATGGCGTACCCCGGAGCCAGCAGGTGTGACCCCATTTGCTCTGATGATGGCTTCTTCCAGAGCTTTCTTGGGGTTTGTCATTTCATTAGTGATCAGAATGGTAATCAGGGCTTTCATTATATTATTCGTTATACTAGTAGGGCCTTCTATTTCTGCAGGACTTTATGGTTCAGGAGGTATTTTCACCTTTATTAACCCAGGGAGGAGTAGAAAAGGCACTGGGCTAATAGTAAGACCAGCGATTGGAGCCCCAGCTCAACTATTAACTAGAGGGGTATCCTTGGTCAAATCAGTATATTTCTGAAAGCTTTTCTTTCTTTTCTTTTTTTCCCCTCTTTCTTTGGAGACAGGATCTCACTCTGTCACCTAGGCTGGAGTGTAATGACATAATCATGGCTCATTGCAGCCACAACCTCCTGGGCTCAGGCCGTCCTCCTGCCTTAGCCTCCTGAATAGCTGGGACTTCAGGTGTGCATCACCACACCCAGTTAATTTTAATTTTTTTGTTGAGAGGTGGTTTTGCTATGTTGCCCAGGCTGGTCTTGAACTCCTGGGCTCAAGTGATCCTCCACTTCGACCTCCCAAAGTGCTGGGATTACAGGTGTAAGCCACCGTGACTGGCCAAAGACCATTTCTTCCTTAACAAAGCAGGGATAAGCAGAAGCAGATACTCTGTTGATAAAATTGCAACCTAGTACTTTGTGGGCCACATCTTGGATACACACACACACACACACACACACACACACACACACACACACTTTTTGTTTGAATTACTTGCCAATATTTAAAAATATAGAAATTTTATATAAAAAGATGTAGGTTCTCAGCTTCTCTCTCTCTCTCTTTTTTTTGAGACAGAGTTTTGCTCTGTCGCCCAAGTTGGAGTGCAGTAGTGCAATCTCGGCTCACTGCAACCTCCGCCTCCTGGGTTCAAGCGATTCTCCTGCCTCAGTCTCCCAAGTAGCTGGGATTACTAGGTGTGCGCCACCACGTCTGGCTAATTTTTGTATTTTGAGTAGAAATGGGGTTTTGCCATGTTGGCCAGGCTGGTCTTGAATGCCTGACCTCAGGTGATCCACCCGCCTCGGCCTCCCAAAGTGCTAGATTACAGGCATGAGCCACTGAGCCTGGCCCTCAGCTTTCTTTTTAACATACAATTGATCAGGCCACTGGGCTGGCATTCCTACTTGCTGACACTCTGTAGGGACATGCTGTGGCTTTGCAGGGGATAAGGGGTAGGTATGTCACCCACCTGCCTCACTCACATTACCTGCCTGGCCTATACTGCATTTGGCTCTGTCACTTCCTCCCATATAGAGAAGTAATAAATTCATGTAGTTCAGTGCATGTGAAATAACTTTGAATCCTAAATGTATGTGAAAACTTGGGCTATTCATGTTAATAGGTGATCCTTACTAAAACTCCATGAGATGAGCAGAGAAAGCATTTATTATCACTACTCCCCTTTTTTTTTGAGACAGAGTCTTGCTCTGTCACCCAGACTGGAGTGCGATGGCGTGATCTCGGCTCACTGCAACCTCTGCCTCCCAGGTTCAAGCGGTTCTCCTGCTTCAGCCTCCCGAGTAGCTGGGACTCCAGGTGCACGCCACCATGCCCAGCTAATTTTTGTATTTTTAGTAGAGATGGGGTTTCACCATGTTGGTCAGGATGGTCTCAATCTCTTGACCTCGTGACCCACACGCCTCAGCCTCCCAAAGTGCTGGGATTACAGGCGTGAGCCACCACACCCAACCTATTATCCCCCTTTAAAGAGATGGAAAAAATTAAGGATTAAAAGAAGAACATAATTATTCTATTTTTTTTCTATGTTTCTTCTGTTGTCTAAGCAGATTGGGCTCACATTCCAATGTTAGTCTCTGCTTTTGCCAGCCCATCCTCAGTGACCATTGGCAGCCTCCCTGCTGTGCCCTTTACTTTCTGCACCTTCCTCCTCTCTGCTCTGCATCCTCTCCAGCCTGCACTCCATTCTTGTGAGGCTTTTCTCTAGTGTCCGGGGCTTGGTGGGCCCTGGTGTGAGAAACCTCCCGTCCCGTGAGAATTTGCACATGAAGACCCCAAGGACTGAGGGCATTACAAGAAGTCCTCTGAAGAAGCTTGGGCCTAGGAGTCATGAGGCCCAAGAACCCAAGAGCTAAGTTTGGACATGAATTCACTGTATGGCTCTGTCCAAGTGAGTTCCGCTCCCTGGCTCTTGGATCCCCTGTTTGTAGAATGAGGGCCTCAGTGGCTGTGGTGCTGTGAGATCCTTTGCCTCTGAGCCCCACACTGGAAGCAGACCCTGGGCCAAATGGCACAGAGGGAGGAAGGGGTTGTCTGTCTCCAACAATCCTGGCTTTTCTTGGTCTCTTGTCACTCTAGGAGTTTTGAAAATATAAGATAGCATGGACTGCTTCTTCTCTTGGGAATAGACTCCAGACAGGCTGGTTGCTGAATGGGTATGGTGGGGTGGAGGTAGGGGAGGGTGCAAGCCTAGGATTGGTACTGATTGTCCTGTGAACTGATGTGCTTTGCAGGTAGAGCACGCCCTGATGGAAGGAGCGAAGGCTGCTGGAGCAGTTATTTCAGCTGTAGTGGATAGCATAAAGCCCAAACCAATAACTGCCTGAAGGTGATGAAAACTCCAGCTAGAGGAAGAGTTACTGACACAAGCAAAAAGAACATGCTTCCTTCCCTTGCCTTCTCTCAATGGCTCCGATTAAGAAAATTGTGAACTTCTGGAAGAATCTACAATGTATCCAATTACCCTTCCAGAAATACATCCAATATATACGAGCATAGACCCACAGACTCTCAGGATGGGAAGGATCTGGTATCTAGTGTGTATCTCTTATGCGCCAGGCACTGTGCTAGGCATTTCATATACGGATCTAATTTCACTCTCTTTGTAGGATGGGACCTTGCTTGTGTCTTAGGCTGACCTTGGTCTCCGATGCTTGAGTGCCATCAGAAACATCCCAGAAACCTCTGCTTGAATATTTCCAGTAACGAAGATGTCTTTTTCCAGATGTTCTTTTTATTTAACTAAAATGTCTCTAGCTTCTTTCCATTTATGATAATCCTGCCCTTTTCGACCCACAGTGTAGCTCAGAGGAGGAGGACCTTAAGAAAAACTGAGATTCGTTATTCAGGGCCCATGGTACCTTAATCTAGAAACACATATCCCAAGAAATATTTTCTTTTTAAAATTATACATCAACTTTATGCCTTATTGTTTAAAAATCTTCTATCAAAAGTATCATCGATAAGACAATTTATCTTGCTTTTGTACCTCATAATTACCCTAAAATGTGAAGTTTCTAGTCTCACTGATTTCAGATGAATATTTAAAATAATTTGATAAGTTTAATCAATTGAACTCTACTGTGTGAGTGAGGGAGAGAAAGGAGTTATTTTTGTGTTTTGAAGAAAGTTGACAGGATGGAAGATCTGAAATTATGGCTGGGGATTGTAGTGATAGCTGGTAGCTGAAACCACCCAAAAAAGCTAGAAAAGTGTTCTCTTATGCCTCCAGAGATACCTAGAAAATATGAAGAATGTGGAAAAGAGCAAGATGGAACCCTCAGAGTGTTTCAGATAAGGTCTGTTGGTATCTCCATAAGCTTTTCTCCTATTTGGAGAAAATAGACTCTCACTGAAACTCTTCAATGTTTTTACCCTCCATCCTTTTCTTAGCAATCTAAACTCAATGGCCTCCTGTTCCCCAACACTGCAGTCTGGGCATCTGACTTTGTCTTCCCTCTGCACTCATTTCTGTGAATCATGACCAGGATGAAACTGATATCCCTAGTTCCTCTTCCCCATTTCTTCTCACACTCCCCTGCCTGAGAATCAGTTGAGTTCCCAATACCTCTTCCTTCAGTCTCTATTCATTATATGGTCTAGGTTGAGACTTCCTTGGAAGCAGAACCTGAGTACCAGGAACTCATATTTTATAAAGTATATTTATTCCTTTTAGCTGCAAACTAACCCAGCCATGTTTTAGTGAATGCTTTAATCTGAAGATGACTTTGAGCTCATTGACCATATTAATCTTTCATCAAACAAACTGGATGTTGTTTCATTAACAAAAAACTCCTCCACACCAAGGAGTGTTTAGTAACTTCTGCACAGAGGACTCATCCATCTCTTGCTTATGTTTGGGACAGAAAGACACTTCTCTGGCTTTTTACTGGCTTGAACCCAATGGGACAGAGACTCTCTAGAAAGTTTCAGGGCTCACATTCACTTGTTTGTCCAAAAAATATTTTTGAGTGTCTCCCAAGTGCCAAACCCTGGCTACTCCCACCTTTGCCTGAGCCCATGAGCGGTAGTCTGGGGGCTGGATGTGAGGAGTTCTGAGTTGGCTAGGAAGACACAAGGCACAATGGACATGGGGCAAAGTCCACTTGCTGGACATTGGTCCCTTCCACTTCCAAGCTGTCCATCAGGCTGAGAGATCTGGAATGCATACCCCACACTTTGAAGATGAGGAAGGGCGAGTTTCTCAAAGTGTGTGTGTGTGTTTCTCTTTTAATCTGTAATGGTTTCTGCATTTTGAGGTAGAAACAGAAATCTCTTTTTTGAGTGGGACCACTCGGGTGCGGCTTCTTAGTCTTGTTGATATAATAAAGCACATGCCCACTCCTCATGGAGTGGAGAGGAGAAAATTCTAAGGGAACGTACTCTGAATGCAAATGTTTCTGAGATTAAACACTAGTCACTTGTTTGTGTGCTTATTTTTCACTTTTTGGGAATGGGTGGGTGATTGGGGCAGTGGTGGTATTGGTTCACTTGGGCATGTCACATGGAGAATCAGAGAACTTGAAAGTGCTGGGTTCCTTAATGGTAGGGAGGCCCAGTACTAGTGACACATGATCCAGCAGGGGGCTGCGCACAATCCAGTTATTTTGCTTAATGATAGAAAAGATAACTTTAGGAAACAAACACCTCTGCAGAGATTTTAGAGCCATAAAGGAATCTGGTTTTGCTGCCTAGGGGTGGAGAACATGTCAGCCAGAGATGCCAACTGAAAAAAAGGGAATGGACCCCACCATAGGGGCAGCAGGGCAGAGGCGGCAGGGGAAAAGCCAGAAGGGACCCTTGGGTGACACCAGGAGTAGAAAGAAGCTGCTCTCTAGTTCCCAGTTTTAAGTTATTGTCACATACTCCCCTTTTGTTATCTTCAAGCTTTGTTATTCGCTGTTCTTGGGGAATAAAAGGAGAAGTATGGTTTGTGGTACCCAAAAAGTTTGTAGCTATGGAGAGAAGAGGCTCAGGACCAGTGGTGGTCCATAGGAAACAAGCAGACCAGAGAGGCACCATGTTGGTTGAAAATGTAAGCTACCTTTGGTATCCTCTGGAATATTTTGGGAAAGAACTGGATTTCCTGCAGTCATGTAGGAGCGGGGCTTTGTCAAAGAAGGAAGATTTTAAAGGGAAGGGTGATTCCTGACTCTGTAGGACTTGGGTCCTTATAACCCACATAGGCAAGTACAGCACAAAGGGCATAGGGGCTGGATATATAGCATTCTGGTGATCATAGGCCATTTTGATCTCCACACTGTTCCTCTAGAAACTTCTTATCACTTTAGGAGAACAACCAATGGTAATCCAAACTCTAAGAAGGCTATCTGAGCCACTTAAAGTTCTGTTCTCCCAAAGTTTCTGGTCGCATTATTTTCAAAGCCAATTTTCAGCTGGGCAGAATCTTTACTAGGAATCCAACTATTTGTGAACCCCATGCTGCTGCTTCTTGGCAGACAGCAAAAGTGTATTTTTTTTTTCCAGGAGTATGGTGGTATTTACTTTGTTTTAAAAATATTCTTGTTGGGGGTTCTGGCAAGATGGTCGAATAGGAACAGCTCCAGTCTGCAGCTCCCAGTGAGACCTATGCAGAAGGCGGGTGATTTCTGCATTTCCAACTGAGATATCCTGTTTATCTCATTGCGACTGGTTAGACAGTGGGTGCAGCCCATGGAGGGCGAGCATAAGCAAGGTGGGGCATCACCTTACCCGGGAAGTGCAAGGAGCAGGAGGCCTCCCTTTCCCAGCCAAGGGAAGCCATGAGGGACTGTGCTATCCCACCCAGATACTATGCTTTTCCCATAGCTTTTGCAATCCGCAAACCAGGAGATTCCATGGTGAGCCTACACCACCAGGGCCCTGGGTTTCAAGCACAAAACTGGGCGGCTGTTCGGGCAGACACCGAGCCAGCTGCAGAAATTTTTTTTTCATCCCCTGGTGGCGCCTGGAACCCCAGAGAGTCAGAACCGTTCACTTACCTGGAAAGGAGGCTGAAGCCAGGGAGCCAAGTAGTCTCGCTCAGCAGGTCCCACTCCCATGGAGCCCAGCAAGCTATGAATCACTGGCTTGAAATTCCTGCTGCCAGCACAGCAGGAATTGACCTGGGATGTTGACCTGGGATGATTGAGCTAGCAGAAGACAAGAAAAAAGTAACATCAGAGTGGAACTGAAGGAGACAGAGACACAAAAAACTTTTCAAATAATCTGAATCCAGGGGCTTTTTTTTTTTTTGAAAAAATTAAGGAAATAGACTGCTAGCTAGACTAATAAAGAAGAAAAGAGAATATCAAATAAACACAATAAAAAATGATACAGAGTTTCATTTGCATCCTTGTGAAGAGACCACCAAACAGGCTTTGTGTGAGCAACAAGGCTGTTTCACCTGGGTGCAGGCGGGCTGAGTCCGAAAAGAGTCAGCCAAGGGAGATAGGGGTGGGGCTGTTTTACAAGATTTGGGTAGGTAAAGGAAAATTACAGTCAAAGGGGGGTTGTTCTCTGGTGGGCAGGGGTGGGGGTCACAAGGTGCTCAGTGGGGGAGCTTTTTGAGCCAGGATGAGCCAGGAGAAGGAATTTCACAAGGTAGTGTCACCAGTTAAGGTAAGGACTGGCCATTTTAACTTCTTTTGTGGTGGAATGTCATCAGTTAAGGCAGGAACAGGCCATTTAAATATCACTTCTTTTGTGATTCTTCAGTTACTTTAGGCTATCTGGATGTATACGTGCAGGTCATAGGGGATATGATGGCTTAGCTTGGGTTCAGAGGCCTGACATTCCTCTCTTCTTATATTAATAAGGAAAATAAAACATAATAGTGTTGAAGTGTTGGGGCGGTGAAAATTTTTGGGGGTGGTATGGAGAGATAATGGACGATGTCTGTCGGGGCTGCTTCGAGCGGGATTAGGGGTGGCGTGGGAACCTAGAGTGTGAGAGATTAAGCTGAAGGAAGATTTTGTGGTAAGGGGTGATATTGTGGGGTTGTTAGAAGAAACATTTGTCGTGTAGAATTATTGGTGATGGCCTGGATACGGTTTTGCATGAATTGAAAAATTAAATGGAATAAGAGAAGGAGAAAAACAGGTATTAAAGGACTAAGAATTGGGAGGACCTAGGACGTCTAATTAGAGAGTGCCTAAGGGGGTTCAGCATAATTACTTGCTTGGTTGGCAAGTTTTTGGGCTCTATCCTTGAGTTTTTTTATGTTGTCATACACCAGGCCAGATTGATTTAGGTAAAAACAACACTCTTCATTTAAGAATATACAGTCTTCCTTTTTCAGTAGTGAGTAAGTCAAGGCCTCAGCGGTTTTGGAGGACAACTGCAGCTAAAGAGTCAACTTAGGCCTGGAGGACTGATAAAGTTTGTGATATGTCTGTGATGCTAGCAGAGAAGTCATTAGAGACGCTACAGAAGGTCATGACAGAGGTTGAAATGCCTGTTATTGCAGTACCGAGAGCAATAGGGGAGGCAGAAAGTCCTAAACCGACAAGCAAGGGAATTAGTGGAATAACTCTTTTTTGTCATGTTGGTGTCATGAGGGGAACAGGGAACTCTTTGGTTCTATTTGCAAATTGAATTTTGGGGGTAAGGAAAACTAGTGTGCATGTGCCTGTCCAATTAGCAGGTAGACACATGTAGGTAGAGGATCCACAGAGGAAGAAGAGACCTTGTGTGAGGCAAAACTGGAGACGCAAAGTAAAAAGATGAGAAGGAGGGCTGAAAGGGGTGTCTTTTACCTAGACTCCTAGGGATCGAGCTAGGGCGGCAGCCATCAGAGGTTGTAATGGGGACTAATGGGGTAACAGCGTAGAGGGGAAGGTTTGATTTTCATGGTGTAGGAGAAAACGTTGAGTGTCTATGAGCAAACTTTTACTGTTATTTACGGGGCTGGGTATAAGCAAACAAGAAGAGGGCCTGGGAGGAGAGTCTGACGAGCAAGGGGAAGGTAGCCAAGAATGGAGTGAAATACTGGGTAAGTGTCTTCCTAAGCAATAATTACTGCTAATGTTTTTAAGTTTGCCAGTATTGATAGAGGGCTTGTCTGTAATACAGAGCTAGAAGGCTCCAGTTGTTTCAGTGATGTGCGTAGTTGGGCTTTGGAGATGAAGAGTAAAGGAACATCAAGAAGGTGAAAGGTTACCTAGGGGAATTCCAGTGGGTCTTTGCCAAGATATACATAAAGGAGTGGCCACAGGAATAGTAGTTTGTGTTGTGAGAGATCTAAATATGGGGGGAGTAGAGTTGATATAAGGAGAAAGGTTTTTTAAGTAAGTGCGGAGGAGGGCGGCAGCTTGCTGATATGAAATGTCTGGGGAGGTCTTGCTGGACCTGTCTAGAAAGTAAATGAGTTCTTCTGGAGGGTAAAGGTGAGGGCTGTTAAAGGAAGTTCAGAGTGTAGGGAGACAGGAGATGTTGCCTAGTCTGCATGTAAGGTGAGGACAGCTGTGTAGGCGCTGGAAGAAAGGGAAATGCAAAGCCAGCAGTTGTTCACTAAGGAGGGATTAGAAACAGCTAGGAGAGAATGAGTGAGGTTGATAGTGTGGTGGAGGTAGCTGGGGAGAGGTAGAGGGTGGCATAAGAATGGGAATGAGGATAAGAGTGAGTATAAAAGTAAAGAATAGAACTTCATCAGGGTGAAAGTATTGGAGGGTCCCCTGCCAGCAAAGATCATCTATCCTCTCTAAGAGGGAGTTAAGAGTTGCCAGTCCTGGGCAGTGGCAAGTCCCCGAGCTTGATGTGTAGGGAAGGGAGGGGGCTTGAATAATCCCTGAGGAGTAGCAGAATAGCAGATGGAACACTGAGAAGTTATTTCCTTGAGGATAGGTTTCCATGATGGAAAGAAAATGAGACGTTCTAAGAGGCGGGCTGGTGGCTTTTACTATAGCATAGCCTGCCTTTGCTGGTGTGTGGCGATTAGGCCTGGGGGAACTACCATCAATAAACTAAATGTGATCAGGGTAAGGAACAGGGAAGAAGGAAATATGGGGAAATGGGGTGAATGTCAGGTGGATCAGAGAGATACAGTCATGAGGGTCAGGTGTGGTATCTGGAATAATGTGGGAGGCTGGATTGAAGTCCGGGCCAGGAACAATGGTAACTGTGGGAGACTCAACAAAGAGTGAGTACAGCTGAAGGAGCTGGGGAGCAGAAAGTATATGCGTCAGGTATGAGGAAGAAAATAGATTTCAGAAGTTATTAGAACTGTAGAGAGTGAGTTGAGCATAGTTTGTGATTTTTAGGGCCTCTAAAAGTATTAAGGCAGTGGCAGCCACTGCATGCAGACATGAGGGCTAGGCTAAAACAGTAAGGTCAAGTTGTTTGGACAGAAAGGCTACAGGGTACGGTCCTGGCTCTTGTGTGAGAATTCTGACTGCATTAACCATGCCTAGGATGGAAAGGAGTTGTTGTTTTGTAGAAGGGATTGGGGTTTGGGAGATCAGCTGGACAGGATCAGCAGGGAGAGCACGTGTGTTTTTATGAGAATTATGCCGAGATAGGTAACAGATGAGGAAGAAATTTGGGCTTGACTGAAGTAATGGGGGCTGTCTGTGAAGCCTTGCAGCAGTACAGCCCAGGTAATTTGCTGAGCCTAATGGGTGTCAGGGTCAGTCCAAGTGAAAGCAAAGAGAGGCTGGGATGAAGGGTGCAAAGGAATAGTAAAGAAAGTATGTTTGAGATCCAGAACAGAATAATGGGTAGTAGAGGGAGGTATTGAGGATAGGAGAGTATATGGGTTTGGCACCATGGGGTGGATAGGCAAAACAATTTGGTTGATAAGGCGCAGATCCTGAACTAACCTGTAAGGCTTGTCTGGTTTTAGGACAGGTAAAATGGGGGAATTGTAAGAAGAGTTTATAGGCTCTAAAAGGCCATGCTGTAGCAGGTGAGTGATAACAGGCTTTAATCCTTTTAAAGCATGCTGCAGGATGGGATATTGGCATTGAGCAGGGTAAGGGTGATTAGGTTTTAATGAGATGGTAAGGGGTGCATGATCGGTCACCAAGGAGGGAGTAGAGGCATCCTATACTTGTGGATTAAGGTGGGGAGATACAAGGGGAGGATGTGAAGGAGTCTTTGAACTGGGGGAAAAGGTGGCAATAAGGTGTGGCTGTAGCCCAGGAATAGTCAGGGAAGCAGATAATTTAGTTAAAATATCTCGGCCTAATAAGGGAACTGGGCAGGTGGGGATAACTATAAAGGAGTGCTTAAAAGAGTATTTTCTAAGTTGGCATAAGAGTTGGGGAGTTTTAAGAGGTTTAGAAGCCTGGCCATCAATATCTACAAAAGTTATGGAGGCAAGGGAAACAGGCCCTTGAAAAGAAGGTAATGTGGAGTGGGTAGCCTCCGTATTGATTAAGAAGGGGATGGACTTACCCTCCACTCTGAGAGTTACCTAGAGCATCTGTGATGGTCCTGTAGGCTTCTAAGGTGATTAGGCAGTGTCAGTCTTCAGCTGCTAAGCCTAGAAGATCTGGGAAGGAGTCAGTCAGAGAACCTTGGGCCAGAGTTCCAGGGGCTTTGGAAGTGGCTGCCAGGTGAGTTGAACAGTCTGATTTTCAGTGGGGTCCTTCACAGATGGGACATGGCTTTGGAGGAATCCCGGGCTGTGGGCATTCCTTGGCCCAGTGGCCAGATTTCCATCACTTGTAGCAAGCTCCTGGGGGAGGAGGTTCTGGAGGAAACCCTGGCAGCTGTGGTTCAGGCGTTTGGAGTTCTTGTGTACTGGAGATATGGCTGGGGTTTGTCTCACAGTGGAGGCAAGGAATTGCAACTTAGAAATACATTGCTACTTAGCTGCCTCTACTTTATTATTATACACCTTGAAGGTAAGGTTAATTAAGTCCTGTTGTGGGGTTTGAGGGCCAGAATTTAGTTTTTGTACTTTTATTTAATGTCGGGAGCGGATTGGGCAATAAAATGTATATTGAGAATAAGATGACCTTTTGACCTTTTAGGGGCTAGGGCTGTAAAGCATCTCAGGGTTGCTGCCAAACGAGCCATGAACTAGGCTGCGTTTTTATATTTGATGAAAAACAGCCTAAATGCTATCTGATTTGGGATAAAGAAAAAGGAGCATTAACCTTGACTATGCCTTTAGCTCCAGCCACCTTTTTAAGAGGAAATTGCTGGGCAGGTGGGGGAGGGCTAGTCACAGAATGAAACTGTAAACTGGACCGGGTGTGAGGAGGGGAGGTGATAAAAAGGATTATAGGGTAGGGGAGCAGAGGCTGAGGAAGAATTGGGACCTAGCTCGGCCTGGTGAGGGGCAGCCTGGGGAGAGGTCAGATGTGTCTGTAGAAAAGGAAGATTGGAAACACTCAGTGATGCTTTGGGTTGGGACTGAGGGGACAGGTGGGAGGGAAAGAAGCAAGATTTGGGATGAGTTGCATTGGGAGCAGAGACTATGGAGGGACCGATGTGTAAAAGAATGCCTGGACATCAGGAACCTCAGACCATTTGCCCATTTTATGACAAGAATTATGTAGATTTTGTAGGATGGAAAAATTGAAAGTGCCGTTTTCTGGCTATTTGGAACCACTGTCGAGTTTGTATTGGGGTCAAGGGGTGTTGCAGAAGAAAATAAGGCATTTAGGTTTTAGGTCATGTGTGAGTTGAAGAGGTTTTTTTTCACTTGCATCCATGTGAAGAGACCACCAAACAGGCTTTGTGTGAGCAACAAGGCTGTTTATTTCACCTGAGTGCATGTGGGCTGAGTCTGAAAAGAGAGTCAGCAAAGGGAGATGGGGTGGGGCCATTTTATAAGATTTGGGTAGGTAAAGGAAAATTGCAGTCAAAGTAGGGGGGTTGTTCTCCGGCTGGCAGGGGTGGGGGTCACAAGGTGCTCAGTGGGGGAGCTTTTGAGCCAGGATGAGCCAGGAGAAGGAATTTCACAAGGTAATGTCATCAGTTAAGGCAGGAACAAGCCATTTTAACTTCTTTTGTGGTGGAATGTCATCAGTTAAGGCAGGAACCAGACATCTGGATATGTACTTGCAGGTCACAGGTGATATGATGGCTTAGCTTGGGCTCAGAGGCCTGACAGTTTTAAGTTCTTAAGAACACAGGCTAAGGGAGAAGGAGGAATGGAGGGTGGAAGCCTACCCATAGTGAAGGAGGCAAGCCCAGAGAAAAGAGAGAGTAGAGACACAGAGAGAAGGGGTGGGGGGTGCTTGCTCCCCAAGAAACATGGAGAGAAGTGGTCAGGGGGTTATTGTCCCCCAGAAAAGTGGAGAAGGGGTAGAGACATGGAGAGAAGGGGTTGGGGGTGTTCTTGCCCCCCATAAAAGTGGAGAAGGGGTAGAGAAATGGAGAGAAGGGGTCAGGGGTCAGACACCTCTGAAATGTGGGTGAATAATCAGGCAGGCATCCGCGTATGATTAAACACCAAGGGAAGACTGTCTTCCTGAGTCTGTGACCGGTGCTGGAGTTTTGGGTCCACGGATAAAATGCATCTCCTGTTTCTACAAGAAAAGGAAAGGAACTGAAATTAAGAGAAGGGAGAGATTGAAGTGTGGTGCCAAGATTGAAAGGAGAAAGAGGTTGAGGGATAGTGAGAGAGGTTGGAGAAGAGAGTAGAAAGAGGTCGCTTACTGGATTTAAAATTGGTGTGATGTTCCTTGGGCTGGTCAGTCGGAGGACCTGAGGTCATAGGTGGATCTTTCTCACGGATCAAAGAGCAGAAGGACAGGGGATTGATCTCACAAGGGAGGTCCCCTGGTCCAAGTCATGGCACCAAAATTTCACTCGCTTCTGTGTGAAGAGACCACCAAACAGGCTTTGTGTGAACAATGAGGCTGTTTATTTCACCTGGGTGCAGGCAGGCTGAGTCTGAAAAGAGAGTCAGCGAAGGGAGATAAGGGTGGGGCTGTTTTATAAGATTTGGGTAGGTAAAGGAAAATTAAAGTCAAAGGGGGGTTCTCTGGCAGACAGGAGTGGGGGTCACAAGGTGCTCAGTCAGGGAGCTTTTTGAGCCAGGATGAGCCAGAAGGAATTTCAGAAGCTAATGTCATCAGTTAAGGCAAGGACTGGCCATTTGCACTTCTTTTGCAGTTGAATGTCATCAGTTAAGGCAGGAACAGGCCATTTAAATATCACTTCTTTTGTGATTCTTCAGTTACTTCAGGCCATCTGGATGTATACATGTAGGTCACAGGGGATATGATGGCTTAGCTTAGTCTCAGAGGCCTGACATACAGGATATCACCACTGGTCCCACAGAAATACAAACTACCATCAGAGAATACTAGAAACACCTCTATGCAAATCAACTAGAAAATCTAGAAAAAATGGATAAATTCCTGGACATATACACCCTCCAAAGACGAAACCAGGAAGAAGTTGAATCCCTGAATAGATTGATAACAAGTTCTGAAATTGAGGCAGTAATTAATAGCCTATCAACCAAAAAAAGCCCAGGACCAGATGGATTCACAGTTGAATTCTAACAGAGGTACAAAGAGGAGCTGGTACCGTTCCTTCTGAAACTATTCTAAACAATAGAAAAAAAGTGATTCCTCCCTAACTCATTTTATGAGGCCAGCATCATCCTGATTCCAAAACCTGGCAGAGACACAACAAAAAAAGAACATTTCAGGCCAATATCCCTGATGAACTTTGATGCGAAAATCCTCAATAAAATACTGGCAAATCAAATCCAGCAGCACATCAAAAAGCTTATTCACCATGATCAAGTTGGCTTCATCCCTGGGATACAAGGCTGGTTCAAATACACAAATCAATAAATGTAATCCATCACATAAACAGAACCAATGACAAACACCACATGATTATCTCAATAGATGCAGAAAAGGCCTTCGATAAAATTCAACACCCCTTCATGCTAAAAACTCTCAATAAACTAGGTATTGATGGAACATATCTCAAAATAATAAGAGCTATTTATGACAAACCCACAGCCAATATCATACTGAATGGGCAAAAGCTGGAAGCATTCCCTTTGAAAACTGGCACAAGGCAAACACACCCCTTCTCACCACTCCTATTCAACATAGTATTGGGACTTCTGGCCAGGGAAATGAGGAAAGAGAAAGAAATAAAGGGTATTTAAACAGGAAGAGAGGAAGTCAAATTGTCTCTGTTTGCAGATGACATGATTGTATATTTAGAAAACCCCATTGTCTCAGTCCCAAAACTTCTTAAGCTGATAAACAACTTCAGCAAAGTCTCAGGATATAAAATCAATGTACAAAAATCACAAGCATTCCTATACACCAATAATAGATGAACAGAGAGGCAAATCATGAGTGAACTCCCATTCACAATTGCTACAAAGAAAATAAAATACCTAGGAATACAACTTATAAGGGATGTGAAGGACCTCTTCAAGGAGAACTACAAACCACTGCTCAATAAGAGAGGACACAAACAAATGGAAAAACATTCCCTGCTCATGGATAGGAAGAATCAATATCATGAAAATAGCCATATTGCCCAAAGTAATTTATAGATTCAATGCAATTCCCATCATGCTGCCATTGACTTTCTTCACAGAATTAGAAAGAAATACTTTAAATTTTATATGGAACCAAAAAAGAGGCTGCATAGCCAAGACAATCCTAAGCAAAAAGAACAAAGCTGAAGGCATCACACTACCTGACTTCAAGCTATAATACAAGGCTACAGTAACCAAAATAGCATGGTACTGGTATCAAAACAGATATATAGACCAATGGAACAGAACAGAGGCCTCAGAAATAACATCACACATCTACAAATATCTGATCTTCAGCAAACCTGACAAAAACAAGCAATGGGGAAAGGATTTCTTATTTAATAATTGGTGCTGGGAAAGCTGGCTAACCATATGCAAAAAACTGAAACTGGATCCCTTCCTTACACCTTATACAAAAATTAACTCAAGATGGATTAAAGACTTAAACATAAAACCTAAAACCATAAAAACCCTAGAAGAAAACCTAGGCAATACCATGCAGGACATAAGCATGGACAAAGACTTAATGACTACAACACAAAAAGCAATTGCAACAAAAACTAAAATTCTAAAATTGACAAATGGGATCTAATTAAACTAAGAGCTTCTGCACAGCAAAGGAAACTATCATCAGAGTGAACAGGCAACCTACAGAATGGGAGAAAATTTTTGCAATCTATCCATCTGACAAAGGGCTAATATTCTGAATCTACAAGGAACTTAAACACATCTACAAGAAAAAACAAACAACTCCATCGAAAAGTGGGTGAAGGATATGAACAGACACTTCACAAAAGAAGACATTTATGCGGCCAAAAAACATATGAAGTAAAGCTCATCATCACTGGTCTTTAGATAAATGAAAATCAAAACCACAGTGAGATACCATCTCACGTCAGTTAGAATGGTGGTCACTAAAAAGTCTGGGAACAACAGATGCTGGTGAGGATGTGGAGAAATAGGAAAGCTTTTACACTGTTTGTGGGAGTGTAAATTAGTTTGACCACTGTGGAAGACAGTGTGGCAATTCCTCAAGGATCTAGAACCAGAAATACCATTTGACCCAGCAATCCCATTACTGAGTATATACCCAAAAGGTTATAAATCATTCTACTATAAGGACACATGCACATGTATGTTTATTGCAGCATTATTCACAATAGCAAAGACTTGGAACCAACCCAAATGCCCATCAATGTTAGACTGGATAAAGAAAATGTAGTAAATATACACCATGGAATCCTATGCAGCCATAAAAAGGAATGAGTTAATGTCCTTTGCAGGGACATGGATGAGGCTGGAAACCATCATTCTCAGCAAGCTAACACAGGAAGAGAAAACCGAACACTGCATGTTCTCATAAGTGGGAGATGAACAATGAGAACACTTGGACACAGGGAGGAGAACATCACACACCAGGGCCTGTCAGGGGGTGGGCAGAAAGGGGAGGGGGAGCATTAGGACAAATGCCTAATTCATGCAGGGCTTAAAACCTAGATGACGGGTTGATGGGTGCAGCAAACCACCATGGCACGTGTATGGCTATGTAACAAACCTGCATGTTCAGCACATGTATCCCAGAACTTGAAGTAAAAAACAACAACATGTAATTAGTGTTTTCAAAATACCTTATAGTTTACAAAATATTTCTACGTACTATTTTGTTTTCCGTTGCAAAGTTTTTACTTAAAAATGAAAGTGAAAAAAATATTCCTGGTAATTCAGCTTATTCAGTTTTCTAGGTGAAATATAAAAAGATCAATTTTTACATTTGTTTAAAAAATATTAAATTTCAACTTCAAAGCTAAAACATTTCTGAGTTTATAAAAATATGGGGGATGCTTTGTAAATGATTAATTTTTGGTACTTCAAAAAGAAGCTTTGCTTCAAAAAGAAGGGCTTTTGAAAACAAATAAGTGGATGCCACAGGTTTCCTGTCTTTTTGTCCTAATGAAAGGTGGCTGCCCCCAGCTTTGCCTGAACCCATGAGCTGTGGTCAGAGTTGGCTGTAGGTTCTGTGTTGGAAAGATGAGGAACTGTAGCCTCCACTGATTTTCCAGAGCTACACTTTTCTTTTGCAGCAGAACCCCATCTTCTGGAGTGTACCACTGAGCTGTCCAATGTGAAAAAGGGATAAAATAAATGCAGCAGCTCCGATTGAAAGCTGCAGAGGCACCTGTTAGATTGGAAGCCTTCATTGACATGCTTTGCCAACAGAGTCAGTAGGAATAAAATAATGACAACAGTGGTGACATTCAAGTGTTCCCACTGTGCCAGGCACTGTTTTGCACATTTTAGAAACAACTCGATGAGGATATTCCCTCACTCCATGGCTATGGGTTCATCTCCATTATTTCTACTATTGCAGACTTTGTGGCCCTTTTCAACAGACTCCCCCTTCAACCAGCTTTGGCGGTGCTTTAACTGAGTGAACATTTATAGAATAAGGAAACTGAAATAAAGTGCTGATTCACAATGGACCAAGAGAAAAGCAGAGGAAATGGGTAATTAAGGACCAATGATGCATCACAATAGAGACAATTTGGGCCATGGCAAAGGGCTGTGCCATCCACAGGGCTCTCTAGCAGGGGCAGAGTCAACTGCATATAATCCCACTATCAGGTGAGTAGTAGCATATATCAGTGAGTAGGATAAACTTACAAAACTGATTGTTGGCACCCTTGGGATGGTAGTTGTCTGCAGGGTATAGACACTGAGTTTTGATTACCCACATTCAATTTCTGCTTACAAGAGTGGAAGCAAGAAGGCGTGTCTTGTTTATGAGGGCTGGGGTGAGAATTCAGTCCAGGGAGGAAGTAGAAATCTGTGGAACCTCAGAAACTCCTTAGTGTTAATTAGTCTTTTGGTATTGATGTAGCACAGAGACTGCCAACTTTGTGGCTGTGGCAGAACTTGCCTGGATAGTGAAACCTATCAAGAGGGCAGCTTTAATGTCTCAGGGAGCCCAGTCTGACACAACTGTAGTGGTAGCAAACTTTACCACCATCTCAGCTGAGGGAAATATAACAAGAAATTTCTGTGTCTTGCTCAAATGCAGATGCCAAGGACTCTGTTCTTCCATACCTCTGTACCCTGTGGAGAGGGGTCCACTGCAGCCCTGAGCACATTCCCCAAAGCCCTGTCACTTCACGGGGCAACAGGAGAACAGCACTCTGATAACTGCCTATAGATCATTGATTAAACAGGGTTTTGGCGGCTCACACTTAGGACTACTGCTCTACAAGGCTGGGCTTGGAAAGGGGTGTGGGCAAGGCTCATCAGGGCTTGTCCATCAAGAACATACACCCAGACTCTTAACACAAGGAGCCTGGCAGATGTATGATATTAAGAAAAGTATAGAAAGAAAAGGGTGTGTGTGGCTTTAGTGATCTGTCTATTTCCAAATATGAGAAATGAACCTGTTAGAGGCTTCATTAGTCTAATCTCTCTAGGAATTCCCAGGGCTAACAAGTAGACCTGTGTTAGGACTCTCTTAGTTGCAAGGGACAGCAAACAAAATACCTTAAGCAAAGTGAGGAACTTCCTGGTTTAAGTGACTATCAAATCCTGGAGTAGAAAACAGTACAGATGGATTTAGGGCTTCATAACATAAGCTTCAAAATAACGTGATTGGTCAGTTCTCCAGAGCCATGTGATCATTGTGGTGAAGGAAGTGAAGGTGTCAGGTGGATGGAAACAGCACAGGACCATGGTACACCTCACAATCTTAGTTCCTTGCTCTTTTTCTTCCAACAGTACCCAGAATATGCTCTAATGAACAACAGCTGGTCCTTCTGTCTAGCTTCATGGCTGGAATTCCTTAAAGAAGTTTCGTAGTGAGACACATGGGTAGAACCTGTTAACAGATCTTCCCCTTCTCTACAGGAAATATGTGTTTTGGGGTTTTCAGTTTTTATAGTTTCATTTCAGTCCAACATTATACAGAATCTACTGACCAGGCTCCCTGCGAAACAGACTCTGAGTCTGAGGTTTGTGGGCATGAAATTTACTGGGGAAGGTGGAGGAACAGGATTGGGCAGAGGGAGAAGCTGAACTGTGATGCAGTTACAGCAAAGGCCAAGCTATGGGGAGCTCTGGAGCTGAGATGGTTGTTACAAGTCAGGGTGCCCCTTGGGTTTTGTTTCTTCAAACATGTGCATTTCCTCTTTGTCCTTCTCTGTCATATTAGGATGCAACATGAAAGCCCTTGCCAGAAGCCATGGTAAGACCCTTGAACTTGCTAACCCACAAAACTGGGTGCTAAATAAACCTCTTCTCTTTATAAATTACTTAGCCTCACATATTCTATTATAGCAACACTAAATAGACTAAGACAATCTGTCAATTATTTGTAGGGCCAGACTCAAATGGACTTAAGTCTGGCCCTCCAAGCAATTAGATGGAGACATACTGGAGACTACAACCCCTGTGTACTTTAAGCTTTTAAGGGTAGAAAAGTTGTTATTCACTAGGAACACACTGTTATTTTTGATTTACTATTTTAGGAGGGAGTGAGATACAGTTTTCTTGTGTCCACTTGACTTTTTTCACCTTGGTAGTTCTTATTCCACAGGTCAAGGACCTGTGGGTGTTCTGCACGTCATCAAGTATGGTGAATCCCATTATTCAGGAAGGAATGGGGGAATAACTCCTTTGAGGCCTTGGTTGTGATCCTCTATTATGTCACTCCCAAAACTCCTGCTTTAAAATGGCAGCATGATGACTCTTTGAGTCCCTGAATATTTATGCCACCATGAACTCTGTGCTCAGCAGTCCTCAGAATGTTTCCAGTGCATGTTCATGCAAGTAAATGGCATAGATTTCTTTGGGAAGGTCTGGAGGAATCATTTAAATATGCAATTACTCTGGTGTTTCAGAGGTCTTCCTTCTAGGGATACAACTTCTCCTTCATCCAGTGGCTTTGGGTTCTGAGACCCGGCTCTGATGTGGAAATTAAAAAAGAAACCATAATTTTTTATGGGGCAATCTGCCCTCAAATTGTTGATTATCTTTCCTGACTTCTTTTGATTGTATATAATAGTAATACTCTTGTTGGTAGCCCATCTATTTTGCACAAAGCATTGCTGTGTTTTGTTAGCCATTGCCATAGGTTTCTTTGGGTTGGTTCACTGAGAAAGAGAGTCTGAGGCAGAAATGTACATGCAGGAAGGTTTTTTTCGGGTGCTCTTAGAACCAACATTTGTAAGCATATAAGGAACACAAGACTGGGCAAAGGTAGAAGTTGAACAGTGATGCAGTTTGTGGTTTTGAAAAGAAATATATGCACTTATAGTTTAATAATCCTGTCTTTAAAAATTAGAGCTTAATTCTCTTCTACTTGAGTGTGGGCTGGATGTGGTGACTCACTTCTGAGTAACTGAACAAAACAGAAGTGATGGTGTGTGGCTTTGCAGACAGTCATAAGAAGGCAGGGTGCTCTGCCTCTTGGGTTATTTACTCCTAGGAAAGCAAGATGCCATACCATGAGGACATTCCCTGAGGACAGGCCTTTGTGGCAAGGAACTGAAGCCTTCTTCCAACAGCAGCTAGAGAGTGAGCCATCTTGAAGCAGATCCTCCAGCACCAGTCAGTCCTTTAGACAAATTCAACCCCTGCTGACACCTTGACTGCAACATCATAAAAGACCTTGAACCAGAGGTATCTGGCTAAGTTGCTTTAGGATGCTAGACCTTCAGAAACTGTGTGAGGTAAATGTTTGTGGTATAAGTGGCTAGGTATTGGGATGATTTGTTTTGCAGTGATAAGTAATTCATACATCTCTTCATACTAGGAGCAGAGTGCTATCCTAATAATATCTGCACACGTGAAAGTGGTTTGGAAGCAGGCAGTGGTCTGCAACTAGAAAGATTTTGATGAGAAAGTTATATAAAGCTTGAACAGCCTTGAAAATATTTTTAGAAGCATTATGTGATTTTTAGGCAGTTGTGAGTGAGACTTAAAGCAATGTGAAAAACATGGAAACTGGAGGAAAGGACTTCTTGTTATGAATGGCAGATGTTTAGCAATATTCTTCCATATGGTATGTGGAACGCAGAAAACATGCCTAATGAACTGGGTGTTGTTGGGGAATTTCTGGGTAAAGCACTAAAAATACAGCCTGATTTCATATTGCTGCTTAGAGTAAAATGCAAGCAAAGAGAGAAAAGAAGGAAATGTCAAACATGAATAAGTTGGGAGTTGAATGTTAAAAAAAAAACCATTGTTAAACGGAACTGGAGTTCATTATGCTAAGTGAAATAAGCCTCAGCAAGGTAAGCATCACATGTTCCCACTTATCTGTGAGATCTAAAAATCAAAACAATTGAACTCATGGAGATAGAGAGCAGAAGGAAGGTTACCAGAGGCTGGGGAATATAGTGGGAGGACTGGGGTTGTTGGGAGGTAGGGGTAGTTAATGAGTACAAAAAATGGAATGAATGAATAAGACCTAGTATTTGATAGCCCAACAGAGTGACTATAGTCAATAATAAGTTAATTGGCCTATAATCCCAGCACTTTGGGAGGACGAGGCGGGCGGATCACGAGGTCAGGAGATCGAGACCATCCCGGCTAAAACGGTGAAACCCCGTCTCTACTAAAAATACAAAAAATTAGCCGGGCGTAGTGGCGGGCGCCTGTAGTCCCAGCTCCTTGGGAGGCTGAGGCAGGAGAATGGCGTGAACCCGGGAGGCGGAGCTTGCAGTGAGCCGAGATCCCACCACTGCACTCCAGCCTGGGCGACAGAGCGAGACTCCGTCTCAAAAAAAAAAAAAAAAAAAAAAAAAAATAAGTTAACTATACATCATAAAATAACTAAAAGAGTACAACTGAATTGCTTGTAACACAAAGGATTAATGGTTGAGGGGATGAATACGTCATTCTCCATGATGTAATTATAACACATTTCATGCCTGTATCAAAACATCTTATGTACTCCATAAATATATACACCTACCATGTACCCACACAAATTTAAAAAAAACCTTTGTTAAAACATCAAAGCTGTCTTACATGATGCCCCAGATTATTACTCAGTTCAAAAGGTTCTCTAAATATTTCGATGTCATGACTCACAGATTCTTTCAATAAAAACATCACTTTTAAGAAGCTTAAGGGCATTGTTTCTTGATAGAAGCATAATGAAGAGATGGGCTTACTTGGGAAGATTTTTAGATGTCTTTTATTTAATGAGCAGACCCTCCAAAAAGATTCAAAGGAGACCCAGGAAATTTTTAATAGAATTATATCAGGAGAAACACTACCAGTTTGGACAGAAATGGACAGAGAGAGCAGGCAATGAAAACAGACCATTGGATCTTCAAACATTACTGATAAGAATCAGGCTGAGAAAACTATGTCTTCAGCTATACGTCAGTTTTAATGAAAATGAAAGGATGACTTAGAAGGCAGAACAAAGAGCTGGGAGGATGTAGCCAGGAGTCATATAGAACAACTCTTGGGGAAGATATGGATGAGTCTTAGTCATGGAACCTGCAACATTTGCCCAGCTGGGTTTCAGAACTGTTCTGGATCAATGACTTCTCTGTACTTTGCATTACATCTCTTTGAATAAAAATGTATGTGTTGGTTATACTATGCTCATCACTCCACTGTCTGAGTAATGTGTAGGGGACAGAAAGCTTATCTGTTTAGTTCACAGGTTTACAAATGGAGAGAAACTGTACTTGAGAGCCATGTTTAAGGAAGTGCATGTGAGCAGTCTCATCTTCACCTGGACCTAGTATCTGTTAATGAAATACCAGTGCCACATCCAAGGACAAATGTCAGATAGCAAATTTGAGAGGAATAGTGTCAGTAATTGGAGGATTGTAAAAACTGGAGAGGAACAAACAAAAGAAATGTGAATCTCTTGCTGACAAGGCATCCACTGATTTCCCTTTACAGATTATAACATGGAAAGTAGAAGTCCATTCAGAGGCTCTCTGAATGTGCCTATTGAAGGTCCCTGGTGCCTTTGAATGACATAATTTAGGTTGGTGACTAGTTTCTACAACTGCTGCTGTCAAACACTTGACTTATATTAGATGCTTGAGTTGGTAGTGGTAAAAGTAGGAATCTAGAACCTCTTTCATATGTTTTAGTTCCCAGCTCAGATTATAAGATTCATAAATGCAAGTGATAGATGAAGGGGTAACACTAGGCAGAATGTATATAAGAGGAAGTTATAGGAGATAGACTAGTTCACATGTTTAGAGGCATGCTGCTTGGGAATGAGTGTGGACTTTTGCAAGAGCAGCTGAAGGAGTACAGTTGGATACCTCTTTCCATAGTGATTTTTGTGCCAATTTGTCCTGTAAATCACCTGATGATACATGAATAATCTGTCCTTGTTTCAGGCACCACCTTGGTCTAGGAACCTGGTCCAGGGAACTTAATTCAATAAATTAATTAGGTCTTGTTTTATATAAGATGACTATCCAAAATTATTGATAGCTATGTTGCTTAGAGGAAGATTGTTGAAAGAGCTTCCTTTCAAGGGGCTATGAGTATGCCTGTCCTGAAGGAGCTCTAATACAATTGGGAGATATGATTTTCCATAATTTCAAATATTTCCCTTCTGACATAAAGTATAATCATCAGGTCTTAGACTGGTTTCTTTTTCTTTTATAAAATTTAATTTGAAAAAATATTATAATGCACCAGTAAATGAAAAAAAGGTCACTGGCCATCCTAATGCAGAATGATAACCAGAATGGAAGTATTAATTAGGTGCTTGAAGAATGCCTCTACCGCCCACAAGCAACTGAAAGAAAAATGGGCCACCTTCCTTCCCACAATTGAATTTTTCTACTTATGATCATTATACTTCACCACCAAATTGATACTTTACTCTTATTTATTTATTTGTTATTTATTTACATATTTATTTTTTATTATACTTTAAGTTCTGGGATACATGTACAGAACGTTCAGGTTTGTTACATAGGCATACATGTGCCATGGTGGTTTGCTGCACCCATCAACCCATTGTCTACATTAGGTATTTCTTCTAATGTTATCCCTCCCTTTGTACCCCACCCCATGACAGGCCCTGGTGTGTGATTTTCCCCTCCCTATGCCCATATGTTCTCATTGTTCAACTCCTACTGATGAGTGAAAACATGCAGTGTTTGGTTTTCTGTTCCTGTGTTAGTTTGCTGAGAATGATTGTTTCCAGCTTCATCCATGTCCCTGCAAAGGACATGAACTCATTCTTTTTTATGACTGCATAGTATTCCATGGTGTATATATGCCACATTTTCTTTATCCAGTCTAACATTTATGGGCATTTGAGTTGGTTCCAAGTCTTTGCTATTGTGAATAGTGCTGCAATAAACATACATGTACATGTGTCTTTATAGTAGAATGATTTATAATCCTTTGGGCATATACCCAGTAATGGGATAGCTGGGTCAAATGGTATTTCTGGTTCTAGATCCTTGAGGAATTGCCACGTTGTTTTCCACAATGGTTGAACTAATTTACACTCCCACCAACAGTGTAAGAATGTTCCTATTTCTCCAAATCCTCTCTGGCATCTGTTGTTTCCTGACATTTTAATGATAACCATTCTAACTGGCATGAGATGGTATCTCATTGTGGTTTTGATTCATATTTCTCCAATGACTAGTGATGATGGGCTTTTTTTCACATGTTTGTTGGCCACATAAATGTCTTCTTTTGTGAAGTGCCTGTTCATATCCTTTGCCCACTTTTTGATGAGGTTTTTTTTTTTCTTGTAAATTTGTTTAAGTTCCTTGCAGATTTTGGATATTAGCCCTTTGTCAGATGGATAGATTGCAAAAATTTTCTTCCATTCTGTAGGTTGCCTGTTCACTTTGATGATCATTTCTTTTGCTGTGCAGAAGCTCTTTAGTTTAATTAGACCCCATTTGTCAATTTTGGCTTTTGTTGCAATTGCTTTTGGTGTTTTAGTCATGAAGTCTTTGCCCATGCCTATGTCCTGAATGGTATTGCCTAGGTTTTCTTCTAGGGTTTTTTATGGTTTTAGTTCTTACATTTAAATCTTTAATCCATCTTTTTTTTTTAATTTTTTTAATTTTTATTATACTTTAAGTTTTAGGGTACATGTGCACATTGTGCAGGTTAGTTACATATGTATACATGTGCCATGCTGGTGCGCTGCACCCACTAACTCGTCATCTAGCATTAGGTATATCTCCCGATGCTATCCCTCCCCCCTCCCCCCACCCCACAACTGTCCCCAGAGTGTGATATTCCCCTTCCTGTGTCCATGTGATCTCATTGTTCAATTCCCACCTATGAGTGAGAATATGCGGTGTTTGGTTTTTTGTCCTTGCGATAGTTTACTGAGAATGATGATTTCCAATTTCATCCATGTCCCTACAAAGGACATGAACTCATCATTTTTTATGGCTGCATAGTATTCCATGGTGTATATGTGCCACATATTCTTAATCCAGTCTATCATTGTTGGACATTTGGGTTGGTTCCAAGTCTTTGCTATTGTGAATAATGCCGCAATAAACATACGTGTGCATGTGTCTTTATAGCAGCATGATTTATAGTCCTTTGGGTATATACCCAGTAATGGGATGGCTGGGTCAAATGGTGTTTCCAGTTCTAGATCCCTGAGGAATTGCCACACTGACTTCCACAATGGTTGAACTAGTTTACAGTCCCACCAACAGTGTAAAAGTGTTCCTATTTCTCCACATCCTCTCCAGCACCTGTTGTTTCCTGACTTTTTAATGATCGCCATTCTAACTGGTGTGAGATGGTATCTCATTGTGGTTTTGATTTGCATTTCTCTGATGGCCAGTGGTGATGAGCATTTTTTCATGTGTTTTTTGGCTGCATAAATGTCTTCTTTTGAGAAGTGTCTGTTCATGTCCTTCACCCACTTTTTGATGGGGTTGTTTGTTTTTTTCTTGTAAATTTGTTTGAGTTCATTGTAGATTCTGGATATTAGCCCTTTGTCAGATGAGTAGGTTGCGAAAATTTTCTCCCATTTTGTAGGTTGCCTGTTCACTCTGATGGTAGCTTCTTTTGCTGTGCAGAAGCTCTTTAGTTTAATTAGATCCCATTTGTCAATTTTGTCTTTTGTTGCCATTGCTTTGGTGTTTTAGACATGAAGTCCTTGCCCATGCCTATGTCCTGAGTGGTATTGCCTAGGTTTTCTTCTTGGGTTTTTATGGTTTTAGGTCTAACATGTAAGTCTTTAATCCATCTTGAATTGATTTTTGTATAAGGTGTAAGGAAGGGATCCAGTTTCAGCTTTCTACATATGGCTAGCCAGTTTTCCCAGCACCATTTATTAAATAGGGAATCCTTTCCCCATTGCTTGTTTTTGTCAGGTTTGTCAAAGATCAGATAGTTGTAGATATGTAGCGTTATTTCTGAGGGCTCTGTTCTGTTCCATTGATCTATATCTCTGTTTTGGTACCAGTGCCATGCTGTTTTGGTTACTGTAGCCTTGTAGTATAGTTTGAAGTCAGGTAGTGTGATGCCTCCGGCTTTGTTCTTTTGGCTTAGGATTGACTTGGCAATGTGGGCTCTTTTTTGGTTCCATATGAACTTTAAAGTAGTTTTTTCCAATTGTGTGAAGAAAGTCATTGGTAGCTTGATGGGGATGGCATTGAATCTGTAAATTACCTTGGGCAGTATGGCCATTTTCACGATATTGATTCTTCCTACCCATGAGCATGGAATGTTCTTCCATTTGTTTGTATCCTCTTTGATTTCATTGAGCAGTGGTTTGTAGTTCTCCTTGAAGAGGTCCTTCACATCCCTTGTAAGTTGGATTCCTAGGTATTTTATTCTCTTTGAAGCAATTGTGAATGGGAGTTCACTCATGATTTGACTTTCTGTTTGTCTGTTGTTGGTGTATAAGAATGCTTGTGATTTTTGTACATTGATTTTGTATCCTGAGACTTTGCTGAAGTTGCTTATCAGCTTAAGGAGATGTTGGGCTGAGACAGTGGGGTTTTCTAGATATACAACCATGTCGTCTGCAAACTGGGACAATTTGACTTCCTCTTTTCCTAATTGAATACCCTTTATTTCCTTCTCCTGCCTGATTGCCCTGGCCAGAACTTCCAACACTATGTTGAATAGGAATGGTGAGAGAGGGCATCCCTCTCTTGTGCCAGTTTTCAAAGGGAATGCTTCCAGTTTTTGCCCATTCAGTATGATATTGGCTGTGGGTTTGTCATAGATAGCTCTTATTATTTTGAAATACGTCCCATCAATACCTAATTTATTGAGAGTTTTTAGCATGAAGGGTTGTTGAATTTTGTCAAAGGCTTTTTCTGCATCTATTGAGATAATCATGTGGTTTTTGTCTTTGGTTCTGTTTATATGCTGGATTACATTTATTGATTTGCGTATGTTGAACCAGCCTTGCATCCCAGGGATGAAGCCCACTTGATCATGGTGGATAAGCTTTTTGATGTGCTGCTGGATTCGTTTTGCCAGTATTTTATTGAGGATTTTTGCATCAATGTTCATCAAGGATATTGGTCTAAAATTCTCTTTTTTGGTTGTGTCTCTGCCCGGCTTTGGTATCAGAATGATGCTGGCCTCATAAAATGAGTTAGGAAGGATTCCCTCTTTTTCTATTGATTGGAATAGTTTCACAAGGAATGGTACCAGCTCCTCCTTATACCTCTGGTAGAATTCGGCTGTGAATCCATCTGGTCCTGGACTCTTTTTGGTTGGTAAGCTATTGATTATTGCCACAATTTCAGATCCTGTTATTGGTCTATTCAGAGATTCAACTTCTTCCTGGTTTAGTCTTGGGAGAGTGTATGTGTCAAGGAATTTATCCATTTCTTCTAGATTTTCTAGTTTATTTGCGTAGAGGTGTTTGTAATATTCTCTGATGGTAGTTTGTATTTCTGTGGGATCGGTGGTGATATCCCCTTTATCATTTTTTATTGCGTCTATTTGATTCTTCTCTCTTTTTTTCTTTATTAGTCTTGCTAGCGGTCTATCAATTTTGTTTATCCTTTCAAAAATCCAGCTCCTGGATTCATTAATTTTTTGAAGGGTTTTTTCTGTCTCTATTTCCTTCAGTTCTGCTCTGATTTTAGTTATTCCTTGCCTTCTGCTAGCTTTTGAATGTGTTTGCTCTTGCTTTTCTAGTTCTTTTAATTGTGATGTTAGGGTGTCAATTTTGGATCTTTCCTGCTTTCTCTTGTGGGCATTTAGTGCTATAAATTTCCCTCAGCACACTGCTTTGAATGCATCCCAGAGACTCTGGTATGTTGTGTCTTTATTCTCGTTGGTTTCAAAGAACATCTTTATTTCTGCCTTCATTTCGTTAGGTACCCAGTAGTCATTCAGGAGCAGGTTGTTCAGTTTCCATGTAGTTGAGTGGTTTTGAGTGAGATTCTTAATCCTGAGTTCTAGTTTGATTGCAATGTGGTCTGAGAGATAGTTTGTTATAATTTCTGTTCTTTTACATTTGCTGAATAGTCCTTTACTTCCAAGTATGTGGTCAATTTTGGAATAGGTGTGGTGTGGTGCTGAAAAAAATGTATATTCTGTTGATTTGGGGTGGAGGGTTCTGTAGATGTCTATAGGTCTGCTTGGTGCAGAGCTGAGTTCAATTCCTGGGTATCCTTGTTGACTTTCTGTCTCATTGATCTGTCTAATGTTGACAGTGGGGTGTTAAAGTCTCCCATTATTATTGTGTGGGAGTCTAAGTCTCTTTGTAGGTCACTCAGGACTTGCTTTATGAATCTGGGTCCTCCTGTGTTGGGTGCATATATATTTAGGATAGTTAGCTCTTCTTGTTGAATTGATCCCTTTACCATTATGTAATGGCCTTCTTTGTCTCTTTTGATCTTTGTTGGTTTAAAGTCTGTTTTATCAGAGACTAGGATTGCAACCCCTGCCTTTTTTTGTTTTCCATTTGCTTGGTAGATCTTCCTCCATCCTTTTATTTTGAGCCTATGTGTGTCTCTGCATGTGAGATGTGTTTCCTGAATACAGCACACTGATGGGTCTTGACTCTTTATGCAATTTGCCAGTCTGTGTCTTTTAATTGGAGCATTTAGTCCATTTACATTTAAAGTTAATATTGTTATGTGTGAATTTGATCCTGTCATTATGATGTTAGCTGGTTATTTTGCTCGTTAGTTGATGCAGTTTCTTCCTAGTCTCGATGGTCTTTACATTTTGGCATGAATTTGCAGTGGCTGGTACCGGTTGTTCCTTTCCATGTTTAGCACTTCCTTCAGGAGCTCTTTTAGGGCAGGCCTGGTGGTGACAAAATCTCTCAGCATTTGCTTGTCTGTAAAGTATTTTATTTCTCCTTCGCTTATGAAGCTTAGTTTGGCTGGATATGAAATTCTGGGTTGAAAATTCTTTTCTATAAGAATGTTGAATATTTGCCCCCAGTCTCTTCTGGCTTGTAGGGTTTCTGCCGAGAGATCCGCTGTTAGTCTGATGGGCTTCCCTTTGATGGTAACCCGACCTTTCTCTCTGGCTGCCCTTAACATTTTTTCCTTCATTTCAACTTTGGTGAATCTGACAATTATGTGTCTTGGAGTTGCTCTTCTCGAGGAGTATCTTTGTGGCGTTCTCTGTATTTCCTGAATCTGAACGTTGGCCTGCCTTGCTAGATTGGGGAAGTTCTCCTGGATAATATCCTGCAGAGTGTTTTCCAACTTGGTTCCATTCTCCCCATCACTTTCAGGTACACCAATCAGACGTAGATTTGGTCTTTTCACATAGTCCCATATTTCTTGGAGGTTTTGCTCATTTCTTTTTATTCTTTTTTCTCTAAACTTCCCTTCTCACTTCATTTCATTCATTTCATCTTCCATCACTGATACCCTTTCTTCCAGTTGATTGCATTGGCTCCTGAGGCTTCTGCGTTCTTCACGTAGTTCTCGAGCCTTGGCTTTCAGCTCCATCAGCTCCTTTAAGCACTTCTCTGTATTGGTTATTCTAGTTATACATTCTTCTAAATTTTTTTCAAAGTTTTCAACTTCTTTGCCTTTGGTTTGAATGTCCTCCCGTAGCTCAGAGTAATTTGATCGTCTGAAGCCTTCTTCTCTCAGCTCGTCAAAGTCATTCTCCATCCAGCTTTGTTCCGTTGCTGGTGAGGAACTGTGTTCCTTTGGAGGAGGAGAGGCACTCTGCTTTTTAGAGTTTCCAGTTTTTCTGTTCTGTTTTTTCCCCATCTTTGTGGTTTTATCTACTTTTGGTCTTTGATGATGGTGATGTACAGATGGGTTTTTGGTGTGGATGTCCTTTCTGTTTGTTAGTTTTCCTTCTAACAGACAGGACCCTCAGCTGCAGGTCTGTTGGAGTACATTGCCGTGTGAGGTGTCAGTCTGCCCCTGCTGGGGGGTGCCTCCCAGTTAGGCTGCTCGGGGTCAGGGAGCCACTTGAGGAGGCAGTCTGCCGGTTCTCAGATCTCCAGCTGCGTGCTGGGAGAACCACTGCTCTCTTCAAAGCTGTCAGACAGGGACATTTAAGTCTGCAGAGGTTACTGCTGTCTTTTTGTTTGTCTGTGCCCTGCCCCCAGAGGTGGAGCCTACAGAGGCAGGCAGGCCTCCTTGAGCTGTGGTGGGCTCCACCCAGTTGGAGATTCCCAGCTGCTTTGTTTACCTAAGCAAGCCTGGGCAATGGCGGGCGCCCCTCCCCCAGCCTTGCTGCCGCCTTGCAGTTTGATCTCAGACTGCTGTGCTAGCAATCAGCGAGACTCCGTGGGCATAGGACCCTCCGAGCCAGGTGCAGGATATAATCTCGTGGTGCGCCGTTTTTTAAGCCAGTCGGAAAAGCGCAGTATTTGGGTGGGAGTGACCGGATTTTCCAGGTGTGTCTGTCACCCCTTTCTTTGACTCGGAAAGTGAACTCCCTGACCCCTTGCGCTTCCCAAGTGAGGCAATGCCTCGCCCTGCTTTGGCTCGCGCACGGTGCACACACCCACTGACCTGCGCCCACTGTCTGGCACTCCCAAGTGAGATGAACCCGGTACCTCAGATGGAAATGCAGAAATCACCTGTCTTCTGCATCGCTCACGCTGGGAGCTGTAGACAGGAGCTGTTCCTATTCGGCCATCTTGGCTCCTCCCTCCTTTAATCCATCTTGAGCTCATTTTTGTATAAGGTGTAAATGGGTCCAGTTTCTGTTTTCTGCATATGGCTAGCCAGTTTTCCCAGCACCATTTATTGAATAGGGAATCCTTTCCCCATTGCTTGTTTCTGTCAGGTTTGTCAAAGATCAGATGGTTGTAGATGTGTGGTGGTATTTCTGAGGCCTCTGTTCTGTTCCATTGGTCTATATATCTGTTTCATTACCAGTACCATGTTGTTCTGGTGACTGTAGCCTTGTATTATAGTTTGAAGTCAGGTAGCGTGATGCCTTCAGCTTCGTTCTTTTTGTTTAGGATTGTCTTGGTTATATGGGCTCTTTTTTGGTACCACATGAACTTTAAAGTAGTTTTTTCTAATTCTGTGAAAAAAGTCAATGGTAGTTTGATGAGGATAGCACTGAATTTATAAATTATTTGGGCAGTATGACCATTTTCACAATATTGATTCTTTCCATCCATGAGCATGGAAAGTTTTTTCATTTGTTTGTGTCCTCTCTTATTTCCTTGAGCAGTGGTTTGTAGTTCTCCTTGAAGAGGTCCTTCATATCCCTTCTAAGTTGTATTCCTAGGTATTTTATTTTCTTTGTAGCAATTGTGAATGGGAGTTCACTCATGATTTGGCTCTCTGCTTGTCTATTATTTGTGTACAGGAATGCTTTTGAGTTTTGCACGTTGATTTTGTATCCTGAGACTTTGCTGAAGTTGTTTTTCAGCTTAAGGAGTTTTTCGGGCTGAGACAATGGGGTTTTCTAAATATACAATCATGTCATATGCAAACAGAGACAATCTGATTTCCTCTTTTCCTATTTGAATACCATTTATTTATTTCTCTTGCCTGATTGCCTTGGCCACAGCTTCCAATACTATTTTGAATAATAGGAGTGGTGACAGAGGGCATCCTTGTCTTGTGTCAGTTTTCAGAGGGAATGCTTCCAGGTTTTGCCCATTGAGTATGATATTGGCTGTGAGTTTATCATAAATAGCTCTTATTATTTTGAGATGTGTTTAATCAATACCAAGTTTATTGAGTGTTTTTAGCATGAAGGGGTGTTGAATTTTATTGAAGGCCTTTTCTGCATCTATTGAGATAATCATGTGGTTTTTGTCATTGGTTTTGTTTATATGATGGATTACATTTATTGATTTGTGTATGTTGAAGCAGCCTTGCACCCCAGGTATGAAGCCAACTTGATCATGGTGGATAAGTTTTTTAATGTGCTGCTGGATTCTGTTTGCCAGTATTTTATTGAGGATTTTCACATGGATGTTCATCAAGAATATTGGCCTGAAATTTTTTTGTGTGTGTGTCTCTGCCAGGCTTTGGTATCAGGATGATGTTGGCCTCATAAAATGAATTAGGGAGGACTCCCTCTTTTTCTTTTGATTGGAATAGTTTCAGAAGGAGTGGTACAAGCTCCTCCTTGTACCTCTGGTAGAATTCAGCTGTGAATCCATCTGGTCCTGGACTTTTTTTGGTTGGTAGGCTATTAATTATTGCCTCAATTTCAGAGGCTGTTATTGATCTATTCAGGGATTCAAATTCTTCCTGGTTTAGTCTTGGGAGGGTGTATGTGTCAAGGAATTTATCCATTTCTTCTAGATTTTCTAGTTTATCTGTGTAGAGGTGTTTATAGTATTCTCTGATGATAGTTTGTATTTCTGTGGGATCGGTGGTGATATCTCCTTTATAATTTTTTACTGCATCTATTTGAGTCTTCTCTCTTTTCTTCTTTATTAGTTTTGCTCGTAGTCTATCAATTTTGTTGATCTTTTCAAAAAACCAGCTCCTGGATTCATTGATTCTTTGAAGGGTTTTTTGTGTCTCTATCTCCTTCAGTTCTGCTCTGATCTTAGTTATTTCTTGCCTTCTGCTAGCTTTTGAATGTGTTTGCTCTTGCTTCTCTAGTTCTTTTAATTGTGATGTTAGGGTGTCAATTTTAGATCTTTCCTTCTTTTTCTTGTGCACATTTAATGTTATAAATTTCCCTCTACACACTGCTTTAAATGTGTCCCAGAGATTCTGGTATGTTGTGTCTTTGTTCTCGTTGGTTTCAAAGAACATCTTTATTTCTGCCTTCATTTCGTTATGTACCCAGTAGTCATTCAGGAGCAGGTTGTTCAGTTTCCATGTAGTTGAGTGGTTTTGCGTGAATTTATTAATCCTGAGTTCTAGTTTGATTGCACTGTGGTCTGAGAAAGAGTTTGTTATAATTTCTGCTCTTTTACATTTGCTGAGGAGTGTTTTAGTTCCAACTATGCGGTCAGTTTTGGAATAAGTGTGATGTGGTGCTGAGAAGAATGTATTTTCTGTTGATTTGGGGTGGAGGGTTCTGTAGATGTCTATTAGGTCTGCTTGGTGCAGAGCTGAGTTCAATTCCTGAATATCCTTGTTAACTATCTGTCTCATTGATCTGTCTAATGTTGATAGTGGGGTGTTGAAGTCTCCCATTAGTATTGTGTGGGACTCTAAGTCTCTTTGTAAGTCTCTAAGGACTTGCTTTATGAATCTGGGTGCTCCTGTATTGGGTGCATATATATTTAGGATAGTTAGCTCTTCTTGTTGAATTGATCCCTTTACCATTATGTAATGGCCTTCTTTGTCTCTTTGATCTTTGTTGGTTTAAAGTCTGTTTTATCAGAGACTAGGATTGCAACCCCTGCCTTTTTTTGTTTTCCATTTGCTTGGTAGATCTTCCTCCATTCCTTTATTTTGAGCCTGTGTGTGTCTCTGCATGTGAGATGGGTCTCCTGAGTACAGCACACTGATGGGTCTTGAATTTTTATCCAATTTGCCACTCTGTGTCTTTTAATTGGAGCATTTAGCCCACTTACATTTAAAGTTAATATTGTTGTGTGTGAATTTGATCCTGTCATTATGATGTTAGCTGGTTATTTTGCTTGTTAGTTGATGCAGCTTCTTCCTGGCATTGATGGTCTTTACATTTTGGCATGTTTTTGCAGTGGCTGGTACCGATTGTTCCTTTCCATGTTTAGTGCTTCCATCAGGAGCTCTTTTAGGGCAGGCCTGGTAGTGACAAAATCTCTCAGCATTTGCTTGTCTGTAAAGTATTTTATTTCTCCTTCACTTATGAAGCTTAGTTTGGCTGGATATGCAATTCTGGGTTGAAAATTCTTTTCTTTAAGAATGTTGAATATTTGCCCCCACTCTCTTCTGGCTTGTAGAGTTTCTGTTGAGAGATCCACTGTTACTCTGATGGGCTTCCCTTTGATGGTAACCCAACCTTTCTCTCTGGCTGCCCTTAACATTTTTTCCTTCATTTTAACTTTGTTGAATCTGAAAATTATGTGTCTTGGAGTTGCTGTTCTCAAGGAGTATCTTTGTGGTGTTCTCTGTATTTCCTGAATTTGAATGTTGGCCTGCCTTGCTAGGTTGGGCAAGTTCCCCTGGATAATATCCTGCAGAGTGTTTTCCAACTTGGTTCCATTCTCCTTGTCACTTTCAGGTACACCAATCAGATGTAGATTTGGTCTTTTCACATAGTCCCATATTTCTTGGAGGCTTTGTTCATTTCTTTTTACTCTTTTTTCTCTAAACTCCTTTTCTCACTTCATTTCATTCGTTTGATCTTCAATCACTGATACCCTTTCTTCCAGTTGATCGAATCAGTTACTGAAGCTTGCACATTCATCACATAGTTCTTGAGCCATGGTTTTCAGCTCCGTCAGGTCGTTTAGGGACTTCTCTATGCTGGTTATTCAGTCAGCCATTCACCTAATCTTTTTTCAAGGTTTTTATCTTGTTTGCAATGGGATCAAACTTCCCCCTTTAGCTCGGAGAAGGTTGATCATCTGAAGCTTTCTTCTCTCAACTTGTCAAAGTCACTCTCCATCCAGCTTTGTTCTGTTGCTGGCAAGGAGCTGCCTTCCTTTGGAGGGGGAGAGGTGCTCTGATTTTTAGAGTTTCCAGTTTTTCTGCTCTGTCTTTTCCCCATCTTTGTGGCTTTATCTACTTTTGGTCTTTGATGATGGTGACATACAGATGGGGTTTTGGTGTGGATGTCCTTTCTGTTTGTTTTCCTTCTAACAGTCAGAACCCTCAGCTGCAGGTCTGTTGGAGTTTGCTGGAGGTCCACTCCAGACCCTGTTTGCCAGGGAGTGCCTCCCAATTAGGCTACTTGGGGGTCAGGGACCCACTTGAGGAGGCAGTCTGTCCATTCTCAGATCTCAAACTCCATGCTGGGAAAATCAGTACTGTCTTCAAAGCTGTCAGACAGGGACATTTAAATATGCAGAGGTTTCTGCTTCCTTTTGTTCAGCTATGCCCTGCCCCCAGAGGTGGAGTCTACAGAGGCAGTCAGGTCTTCTTGAGCTGTGGTGGGCTCCACCCAGTTTGAGATTCTTGGCCGCTTTGTTTACCTACTCAAGCCTCAGCAATGGCAGTCACCCCTCCCCCCAGCCTCACTGCCACCTTGTAGTTAGATCTCAGACTGCTGTGCTAGTAATGAGTGAGGCTCTGTGGGCATGGGACCCTCTGAGCCAGGCACGAGATATATTTTCCTGGTGTGCTGTTTGCTAAGACCATTGGAAAAGTGCACTATTAGGGTGGTAGTGACCCAATTTTCCAGGTGCTGTCTGTCATGGCTTCCCTTGGCTAGGAAAGTGAGTTCCCTTACCCCTTGCACTTCCCAGGGGAGGTGATGCCTCACCCTGCCTTGGCTCTTGCTTGGTGGGCTGCACCCACTGTCCTGCACCCACTGTCTGACACACCCCAGTGAGATGAACCTGGTACCTCAGTTGGAAATACAGAAATCACCTGTCTTCTGCGTCACTCATGCTGGGAGCTGTAGACTGGAGCTGTTCCTATTCGGCCATCTTGGAACCACTATGTGGTCGATTTTAGAATAAGTGCTATGTGGTGCTGAGAAGAATGTATATTCTGTTTATTTGAGGTGGAGAGTTCTGTAGATGTTTATTAGGCCCACCTGGTTCAGAGCTGAGTTCAAGTGCTGAATATCCTTGTTAATTTTCTGTCTCATTGGTCTGTCTAATATTGACAGTGGGGTATTAAAGTCTCCCACTATTATTGTGTGGGAGTCTAAGTCTCTTTGTAGGTCTCTAAGAACTTGCTTTATGAATCTGCGTGCTCCTGTATTATAAAGTCTGTTTTATCAGAGACTAGGATTGTAAACTCTGTTTTTTTTTCTTTCCATTTGCTTGGTAAATATTTCTCCATCCCTTTATTTTGAGCATAAGTGTGTCTTTGCACTTGAGATGGGTCTCCTGAATACAGCACACTGATGAGTCTTGACTCTTCATCCAGTTTGCCCATCTGTGCCTATTAATTGGGGCATTTAGCCCACTTACCTTTAATGCTAATATTGTTATGTGTGAATTTGATCCTGTCATTATGGTGCTAGCAGGTTATTTTCCCCATTAGTTGATGCGGTTTCTTCATAGTGTCGATGGTCTTTACATTTTGGTTTGTTTTTGCAGTGGCTGGTACCACTTTTTCCTTTCCATATTTAGTGCTTCCTTCAGGAGCTCTTTAAGGCACACCTGATGGTGACAAAATCCCTCAGCACTTGCTTGTTTGTAAAGGATTTTATTTCTCCTTCACTTATGAAGCTTAGTTGGCTGGATATGAAATTCTGGGTTAAAAATTTTTTCTTTAATAATGTTGAATATTAGCCCCCACTCTCTTCTGGCTTGTAGGGTTTCTGCTGAGAGATCTGCTGTTAGTCTGATGGGCTTCCCTTTGTGGGTAACCTGACTTTTCTCTCTGGCTGCCCTTAACATTTTTTCCTTCATTTCAACCTTGGTGAATATGATGATTATGTTTCTTGGGGTTGCTCTTCTCCAGGAGTATCTTTGTGGTGTTCTCTCTATTTCCTGAAGTTGAATGTTGGCCTGCCTTGCTACGTTGGGGAAGTTCTCCTGGATAATGTCCTGAAGAGTGTTTTCTAACTTGGTTCCATTCTCCCATCACTTTCAGGTACACCAATCAAACATAGATTTGGTCTTCATATAGTCTCATGTTTATTGGAGGCTTTATTTGTTTCTTTTCACCCTTGTTTCTCTAGTCTTGTCTTCTCACTTTATTTCATTAATTTGATCTTCAATCACTGATATCCTTACTTCCACTTGATCTAATCGGCTATTGAAGCTTGTGTATGCTTCATGAAGGTCTCATACTGTGGTTCTCAGCTCCATCAGGCCATTTAAGCTCTTCTCCTTACTGGTATTCTAGTTAGCCATTCGTCTAACCTTTTTTCAAAGTTTAGTTTCCTTGCAATGGGTTAGAACATGCTCCTTTAGCTCAGAGAAGTTTGTTATTACCGACCTTCTGATGACTACTTTTGTCAATTTGTCAAACTCATTCTCCATCCAGTTTTATTCCCTTGCTGTTGAGGAGTTGTGTTCCTTTGGAGGAGAAGAGGTATTTTGGTTTTGGAATTTTCAGCCTTTCTGCTCTGGTTTCTCCCCATTTTTGTGGTTTTTGTCTACGTTTGGTCTTTGATGTTGGTGACCTATGGATGGGGTTTTGTTGTGGATGTCCTTTTTGTTGATGTTGATGCTATTCCTTTCTGTTTGTTAGTTTTCCTTCTAACAGTCAGGCCCCTCATCTGCAGGTCTGTTGGAGTTTGCTGGAGGTCCACTCCAGACCCTGGAGTATTACCAGGTTTGCCTGGGTATTTCCAGTGGAGGTTGCAGAACAGCAAATATTGCTGCCTGATCCTTTCTCTGGAAGCTTTGTCCCAGAGGGACACCTGCCTGTATGAGGTGTCTGTCGGCCCCTACTGTGAGGTGTCTCCCCATCAGGAATCATGGGGTCATGGACCCACTTGAGGAGGCAGTCTGTCCATTATCAGAGCTTGAACTCTGTGCTGTGAGAACCACTGCTCTTTTCAGAGCTGTTAGGCAGGGAGGTTTAAGTCTGCAGAAGCTGTCTCCTGCCTTTTGTTCAGATATGCCCTGCCCCTAGAGGTGGAATCTAGAGAGGCAGTAGGCCTTGCTGAGCTGTGGTGGGCTCCGCCCAGTTTGAAGTTCCCTGTTGCTTTGTTTAGACTGTGGGCATAGAACTGCCTACTCAAGCCTCAGTAGTAGTGGATGCCCCTCCCCCTGCCAAGCTCCAACATCCCAGGTTGATCTCAGACTGCTGCATTAGCAGCGAGCAAGGCTCCATGGGTGTGGGACCTGTCTAGTCAGGCTTGGGAGGGAATCTCCTGGTCTGCTGGTTGTGATGACCCTGGGAAAAGTGCAGTATTTGGGCAGGAGTGTACCATTCCTCCAGGTACAGTCACTCCCAGCTTTCCTTGGCTAGGAAAGGGAAATCCCCCAACCCCTTGCACTTCCTGGGTGAGGTGATGCCCTGCCCTGCTTTGGCTCACCCTCCATGGGCTGCACCCACTGTCCAACCAGTCCCAATGAGATGAACCAGGTACCTCAGTTGGAAATGCAGAAATCACCCATCTTCTGCATCGATCTCACTGGGAGCTGTAGACTGGAGCTGTTCCTATTAGGCCATCTTGGAAGTGACCTATCTCAAACTTTTAACCGTTTCTTTCCAGAAGAAAAATTTGAAACATTAAGGGAAAACAGTTGGGTAAAATATCCATTTGCTTTTCAAAACCCTGAATCAATAATTGAGCTAAACTTGGTGCCTGAAGAAGAGAATGAATTATTGCAGTTTAGTTCTTCATATACATTAAAGAATGATTATGAGACCTTAAGCTTATCAGCATTTTGGAATAAGGTAAAGGAAGACTTTCCATTGTTAAATAGAAAGAGTGTCCTGCTATTACTACCATTCACAACAACTAGTTTGTGTGAACTAGGGTTTTCTATCTTAACCCAGTTAAAAACAAAGGAAAGAAATGGCTGAATGGTGTAGCAGCTATGCAGGTAGCATTATCTTCCTATGTTCCAGACTGGAATGAACTTAGGAACAGGCAAGCACACCCATCATAATAAATAAAATCTTACCTAAAAAAAGATGTACAAATGGCTAATAGGTATATGAAAATCTGCTCAACATCACCTATTACAAGGGAAGTGCAAATCACTTGAATGGGAGAAAATATTTGCAAAGTGCTCATCCAAAGGGGACTAATATGTATTCTATACAAGAATAACAATTCAACTATAGAAAACCAAACAATCCCACTAAAAATGAACAATATTTTTCAAAAGAAGACTTACAAAAGACCAATAGTATATGAAAAATGCTCAACACTAATTATCAGGGATTGTAAATAAAAACCACAATGAGATATTATCTCACCACAGAATGTTTATTATTGACAGATGCACACACTCACACAGACACACACACACCCAGATGCTGGTGAGGTTGCAGAGAAAAGGGTACTCTTAGACATGGTGGGAATGTAAATTAGTGCAACCATTATGGAAAGCAGTATAGATATTTCTCAGAAAAACTAAATCTAGAACTACTACATGATGCAGCAATCTCACTACAGGGTATCTATCCAAAAGAAAAGAAATTATTTTCTCAAAGGGATACATTTGACTCACAGGTTTATCACAATGCTATTCCCAATAGAACAGATATGGAATCAACCTAAGTGTTCATCAATGGCTGATTGGACAAGAAAAATGGTGTGTGTGTGTGAGTGTGTGTGTGCACATGCATGCATGTACATGTATGTGTTTATATGTACTATTTGTTTTCTGGATACACACCTACACCCACACCCATAGGTACCCATACCTGCACAAATACCCATACACATATATACACATACACTATTCAGCCATTAAAAAGAGTGGAATCCTTTTCCAGCAACATGGATGGAAATGGGTTTTATTATGATAAGTGACGTAAGGGAAGCACAAAAAGATAAATACCACATGTTCTCACTCATATGTGGGATGTAAAAACTTGATCTCATGGACATCAAGAATAGGATAGATATCAGAAACTGGGAAAGGGAGGTGAAGAGAGGTTGTTTATGGATACAAACATGCAGTTAGATTGAAGAAATCATCCTAATGTTTGATAGCAGACTAGGGTGACCATATGTAGCAATACTATTATGTATATTGCAAAGTAACTAGAAGACTAGAAATGATAAAACACCTAAAAATGATAAACATGCATACATGCATGGTGATGGATACCCCAAATTACCCTGGCTTGATTATCACTCATTCCATGCATGTAACAAACGCTCACATATACCCAATAAACATGTAAATATAATGTGTCAATGAAAAAACTCTAAAATGTTGATTTGACATATAATAAAGCTTACTTGTCAGTGAAAAGATTAAACTCCCACGAAAAAAGTTATCTTATGCAAACAAGAGAATTTGACTTCTTCCTTTCCAATTTGGATTCCCTTTATTTGTTTCTCTTGCCTAATTGCTCTGGCTGGGACTTTTGATATTATGTTGAATAAAAGTGGTAAAAGCGGGCATCCTTGTTTTGTTTAAGACCTTAGAAGAAAGGCTTTCCATTTTTCCCTGTTCAGTATAATGTTAGCTGTGGGTTTGTGACATATGGCCTTTATTATTTTGAGGTATGTTCCTTCTATACTTAGTTTGTTGAGGATATTTTTCATAAGAGGATGTTGAGTTTTGTCAAATATTTTTTCATCATTTATTTAAATCTATTTAATTCTTGGTTCTGTTAATGTGATGTATCATGTTTATTGATTTGCACGTGTTGAACTATCCTTGTATTCCTGGGAGGAATCCCCCTTGATCATGGTGAATGATCTTTTAAGGTGTTGATGAATTTGGTTTGCTAGTATTTTGTTGAGGATTTTGCATATATGTTAATAATACTGGCTTTTAGTTTTCTTTTTTCATGTGTCCTTGCCTGGTTTTGGTGTCAGGGTAATGCTGCCATGTTAGAATGAGTTTGGAAGCATTCCTTGCTGTTTAATTTTTTTGAAGGATTTTAGTAGACTCAATTCATATTTGTTGTTCTTTTGATGTTTGGTAGAATTCATCAGTGAGTCTATCTGGTCCTGGGATTTTCTTTGAAGTGAGAATTTTATTATGACCTTACTCTTGTTACTCATTATTAATTTGTTGAGGTTTTATGTTTTTTTCTTGGTTCAATCTTGGTAGGTTTATATGTCTGGTAATTTATCCATTACTTTTAGGTTTCCAAATTGTCATATAGTTGTTCATAATAGTCACTAATGATTCTTTGTATGTCTGTGGTCTCAGTTGTTGTCTCCTTTTTCAATTCTGATTTTGTTTGTTTGGGTCTTCTCTACGATTTTTTTGGTTGGTTGATTAGTGGCTTTAGAACAGTTCTCTTGATTTTCTTGTCAGGTGGATTTTATGTCTGCATCCGTTTAGTGCCAATTACTGGTATGTTGTTTTGTTTGTTTGGTGACATCGTTTTTCTTTTTTTTAAATATTTTTTTATTTTGTTATTATTATACTTTAAGTTTTAGGGTACATGTGCACAATGTGCAGGTTTGTTACCTATGTATACATGTGCCATGTTGGTGTACTGCACCCATTAACTCGTCATTTAGCATTAGGTATATCTCCTAATGCTATCCCTCCCCTCTCCCCCCACCCCACAACAGTCCCTGGAGTGTGATGTTCCCCTTCCTGTGTCCATGTGTTCTCATTGTTCAATTCCCACCTATGAGTGAGAACATGTGGTGTTTGGTTTTTTGTCTTTGCGATAGTTTGCTGAGAATGATGGTTTCCATCTTCATCCATGTCCCTACAAAGGACATGAACTCATCATTTTTTAATGGCTGCATAGTATTCCATGGTGTATATGTGCCACATTTTCTTAATCCAGTCTATCATTGTTGGACATTTGGGTTGGTTCCAAGTCTTTGCTATTGTGAATAGTGCCGCAATAAACATACGTGTGCATGTGTCTTTATAGCAGCATGATTTATAATCCTTTGGGTATATACCCAGTAATGGGATGGCTGGGTCAAATGTTATTTCTAGTTCTAGATCCCTGAGGAATCGCCACACTGACTTCCACAATGGTTGAAATAGTTTACAGTCCCACCAACAGTGTAAAAGTGTTCCTATTTCTCCACATCCTCTCCAGCACCTGTTGTTTCCTGACTTTTTAATGATCTCCATTCTAACTGGTGTGAGATGGTATCTCATTGTGGTTTTGATTTGCATTTCTCTGATGGCCAGTGATGATGAGCACTTTTTCATGTGTTTTTTGGCTGCATAAATGTCTTCTTTTGAGAAGGGTCTGTTCATATACCTCACCCACTTTTTAATGGTTGTTTGTTTTTTTCTTGTAAATGTGTTTGAGTTCATTGTAGATTCTGGATATTAGCCCTTTGTCAGATGAGTAGATTATGAAAATGTTCTCCCATTTTGTAGGTTGCCTGTTCACTCTGATGGTAGTTTCTTTTGCTGTGCAGAAGCTCTTTAGTTTAATTAAATCCCATTTGTCAATTTTGTCTTTTGTTGCCATTGCTTTTGGTGTTTTAGACATGAAGTCCTTGCCCATGCCTATGTCCTGAATGGTATTGCCTAGGTTTTCTTCTAGGGTTTTTATGGTTTTAGGTCTAACGTTTAAGTCTTTAATCCATCTTGAATTAATTTTTGTATAAGGTGTAAGGAAGGGATCCAGTTTCAGCTTTCTACATATGGCTAGCCAGTTTTCCCAGCACCATTTATTAAATAGGGAATCCTTTCCCCATTGCTTGTTTTTGTCAGGTTTGTCAAAGAACAGATAGTTGTAGATATGTGTAATTAATTCTGAGGGCTCTGTTCTGTTCCATTGGTCTATATCTCTGTTCTGGTACCAGTATCATGCTGTTTTGGTGACTGTAGCACCAGTATCATGCTGTTTTGGTGACTGTAGCCTTGTAGTAGAGTTTGAAGTCAGGTAGTGTGATGCCTCCAGCTTTGTTCTTTTGGCTTAGGATTGACTTGGTGATGCGGGCTCTTTTTTGGTTCCATATGAACTTTAAGGTAGTTTTTTCCAATTCTGTGAAGAAAGCCATTGGTAGCTTGATGGGGATGGCATTGAATCTGTAAATTACCTTGGGCAGTACGGTCATTTTCACGATATTGATTCTTCCTACCCATGTGCATGGAATGTTCTTCCATTTGTTTGTATCCTCTTTGATTTCATTGAGCATTGGTTTGTAGTTCTCCTTGAAGAGGTCCTTCACATCCCTTGTAAGTTGGATTCCTAGGTATTTTATTCTCTTTGAAGCAATTGTGAATGGGAGTTCACTCATGATTTGGCTTTCTGTTTGTCTGTTATTGGTGTATAAGAATGCTTGTGATTTTTGTACATTGATTTTATATCCTGAGACTTTGCTGAAGTTGTTTATCAGCTTAAGGAGATTTTGGGCTGAGACGATGGGGTTTTCTAGATATACAATCATGTCATCTGCAAACAGGGACAATTTGACTTCCTCTTTTCTGAATTGAATACCCTTTATTTCCTTCTCCTGCCTGATTGCCCTGCCAGAACTTCCAACACTATGTTGAATAGGAGTGGTGAGAGAAGGCATCCCTGTCTTGTGCCAGTTTTCAAAGGGAATGCTTCCAGTTTTTGCCCATTCAGTATGATATTGGCTGTGGGTTTCTCATAGATAGCTCTTATTTTGAGATACGTCCCATCAATACCTAATTTTTTGAGAGTTTTTAGCATGAAGCATTGTTGAATTTTGTCAAAGGCCTTTTCTGCATCTATTGAGATAATGATGTGGTTTTTGTCTTTGGTTCTGTTTATATGCTGGATTACATTTATTGATTTGCGTATGTTGAACCAGCCTTGCATCCCAGGGATGAAGCCCAATTGATCATGGTGGATAAGCTTTTTGATGTGCTGCTGGATTCGGTTTGCCAGTATTTTATTGACGATTTTTGCATCAATGTTCATTAAGGATATTGGTCTAAAATTCTCTTTTTTGGTTGTGTCTCTGCCCGGCTTTGGTATCAGGATGATGCTGGCGTCGTAAAATGAGTTAGGGAGGATTCCCTCTTTTTCTATTGATTGGAATAGTTTCAGAAGGAATGGTACCAGTTCCTCCTTGTACCTCTGGTAGAATTCGGCTGTGAATCCATGTGGTCCCAGTAATGGGATGGCTGGGTCAAATGGCTGGCTGGCTTACCAACTCTTTTTGGTTGGTAAGCACAATTTCAGAGCCTGTTATTGGTCTATTCAGAGATTCAACTTCTTCCTGGTTTAGTCTTGGGAGGGTGTATGTGTCAAGGAATTTATCCATTTCTTCTAGATTTTCTAGCTTATTTGTGTAGAGGTGTTTGTAGTATTCTCTGATGGTAGTTTGTATTTCTGTGGGATCAGCGGTGATATCTCCTTTATCATTTTTTATTGCATCTATTTGATTCTTCTCTCTTTTCTTCTTTATTAGTCTTACTAGCAGTCTATCAATTTTGTTGATCTTTTCAAAAAACCAGCTCCTGGATTCATTAATTTTTTGAAGGGTTTTTTTCTGTCTCTATTTCCTTCAGTTCTGCTCTGATTTTAGTTATTTCTTGCCTTCTGCTAGCTTTTGAATGTGTTTGCTCTTGCTTTTCTAGTTCTTTTAATTGTGATGTTAGGGTGTCAATTTTGGATCTTTCCTGCTTTCTCTTGTGGGCATTTAGTGCTATAAATTTCCCTCAGCACACTGCTTTGAATGTGTCCCACAGATTCTGGTATGTTGTGTCTTTGTTCTCGTTGGTTTCAAAGAACATCTTTATTTCTGCCTTCATTTCGTTAGGTACCCAGTAGTCATTCAGGAGCAGGTTGTTCCGTTTCCATGTAGTTGAGTGGTTTTGAGTGAGTTTCTTAATCCTGAGTTCTAGTTTGATTGTACTGTGGTCTGAGAGACAGTTTGTTATAATTTCTGTTCTTTTACATTTGCTGAATAGTGCTTTACTTCCAACTATGTGGTCAATTTTGGAATAGGTGTGGTGTGGTGCTGAAAAAAATGTATATTCTGTTGATTTGGGGTGGAGAGTTTTGTAGATGTCTATTAGGTCCGCTTGGTGCAGAGCTGAGTTCAATTCCTGGGTATCCTTGTTAACTTTCTGTCTCATTGATCTGCCTAAGGTTGACAGTGGGGTGTTAAAGTCTCCCATTATTATTGTGTGGGAGTCTAAGTCTCTTTGTAGGTCACTCAGGACTTGCTTTATGAATCTGGGTCCTCCTGTGTTGGGTGCATATATATTTAGGATAGTTAGCTCTTCTTGTTGAATTGATCCCTTTACCATTATGTAATGGCCTTCTTTGTCTCTTTTGTTCTTTGTTGGTTTAAAGTCTGTTTTATCAGAGACTAGGATTGCAACCCCTGCCTTTTTTTGTTTTCCATTTGCTTGGTAGATCTTCCTCCATCCCTTTATTTTGAGCCTATGTGTGTCTCTGCATGTGAGATGGGTTTCCTGAATACAGCACACTGATGGGTCTTGACTCTATCCAATTTGCCACTCTGTGTCTTTTAATTGGAGCATTTAGCCCATTTACATTTAAAGTTAATATTGTTATGTGTGAATTTGATCCTGTCATTATGATGTTAGCTGGTTATTTTGCTCGTTAGTTGATGCAGTTTCTTCCTAGCCTTGATGGTCTTTACAATTTGGCATGTTTTTGCAGTGGCTGATACCGGTTGTTCCTTTCCATGTTTAGTGCTTCCATCAGGAGCTCTTTTAGGGCAGGCCTGGTGGTGACAAAATCTCTCAGCATTTGCTTGTCTGTAAAGTATTTTATTTCTCCTTCACTTATGAAGCTTATTTTGGCTGGATATGCAATTTTGGGTTGAAAATTCTTTTCTTTAAGAATGTTGAATATTTGCCCCCACTCTCTTCTGGCTTGTAGGGTTTCTGCCGAGAGATCCGCTGTTAGTCTGATGGGCTTCCCTTTGATGGTAACCCGACCTTTCTCTCTGGCTGCCCTTAACATTTTTTCCTTCATTTCAACTTTGGTGAATCTGACAATTATGTGTCTTGGAGTTGCTCTTCTCGAGGAGTATCTTTGTGGCGTTCTCTGTATTTCCTGAATCTGAACGTTGGCCTGCCTTGCTAGATTGGGGAAGTTCTCCTGGATAATATCCTGCAGAGTGTTTTCCAACTTGGTTCCATTCTCCCCATCACTTTCAGGTACACCAATCAGACGTAGATTTGGTCTTTTCACATAGTCCCATATTTCTTGGAGGTTTTGCTCATTTCTTTTTATTCTTTTTTCTCTAAACTTCCCTTCTCACTTCATTTCATTCATTTCATCTTCCATCACTGATACCATTTCTTCCAGTTGATTGCATCAGCTCCTGAGGCTTCTGCATTCTTTATGTAGTTCTCTTGCCTTGGCTTTCAGCTCCATCAGCCCCTTTAAGCACTTCTCTACATTGGTTATTCTAGTTATACATTCGTCTAATTTTTTTTCAAAGTTTTTAACTTCTTTGCCGTTGGTTTGAATTTCCTCCTGTAGCTCGGAGTAGTTTGATTGTCTGAAGCCTTCTTCTCTCAACTCGTCAAAGTCATTCTCCATCCTGCTTTGTTCTGTTGCTGGTGAGGAACTGCGAACCTTTGGAGGAGGAGAGGTGCTCTGCTTTTTAGAGTTTCCAGTTTTTCTGTTCTGTTTTTTCCCCATCTTTGTGGTTTTATCTACTTTTGGTCTTTGATGATGGTGACATACAGATGGGTTTTTGGTGTGGATGTCCTTTCTGTTTGTTAGTTTTCCTTCTAACAGACAGGACCCTCAGCTGCAGGTCTGTTGGAGTTTGCTAGAGGTCCACTCCAGACCCTGTTTGCCTGGGTATCAGCAGTGGTGGCTGCAGAACTGGATTTTCATGAACCGCAAATGCTGCTGCCTGATCGGTCCTCTGGAAGTTTTGTCTCAGAAGAGTATCCGGCCGTGCGAGGTGTCAGTCTGCCCCTACTGGGGGGTGCCTCCCAGTTAGGCTGCTCGGGGGTCAGGGACCCACTTGAGGAGGCAGTCTGCCCATTCTCAGATCTCCAGGTGCGTGATGGGAGAACCACTACTCTCTTCAAAGCTGTCAGACAGGGATGTTTAAGTCTGCAGAGGTTACTGCTGTCTTTTTGTTTGTCTGTGCCCTGCCCCCAGAAGTGGAGCCTACAGAGGCAGGCAGGCCTCCTTGAGCTGTGGTGGGCTCCACCCAGTTCGAGCTTCCTGGCTGCTTTGTTTACCTAAGCAAGCCTGGGCAATGGCAGGTGCCCTTCCCCCAGCCTCACTGCTGCCTTGCAGTTTGATCTCAGACTACTGTGCTAGCAATCAGCGATACTCCATGGGCTCAGGTCCCTCCGAGCCAGATGCGGGATACAATCTCCTGGTGTGCTGTTCCTTAAGCCCACTGGAAATGTGCAGTATTAGGGTGGGAGTGACCTGATTCTCCAGGTGCCGTCTGTCACCCTTTTCTTTGACTAGGAAAGGGAACTCCCTGACCCCTTGTGCTTCCCGAGTGAGGCAATGCCTCGCCCTGCTTTGGCTCCCACATGGTGTGTTGCACCCATTGTCCTGCACCCACTCTCTGGCACTCCCTAGTGAGATGAACCCAGTACCTGAGATGGAAATGCAGAAATCACCCGTCTTCTGCGTCCCTCATGCTGGGAGCTGTAGATCGGAGCTGTTCCTATTCTGCCATCTTCTGACATCATTTATCTTTGATTGTTTTTGATCCTTGTGGTTGTGCATCAATGTCTATTCATTGAAGAAATAGGTATTTATTTTAGTGTTCATAGTCTGGATTTCTCTGTGACAGTTCTTGTACAAGACGTCTATCCAGCAACTCTGAGCATGCTGTTTGTCATGGTCACTAGATTCATAAGTGCTTGATCTAGTGTAGCACTAAGGCCTCTTCATGTCCTACTGTGGGACAGAGGATGGCAAGCCTGTGCTGGTGTCTTGGATGACAGCATCTCCCAGAAGTTCACTGCACAGGTAGGATAGTTTCCAGGCTGTTGCAGAAAAGGGCTGGAGCTGAGACTGGGCCTTTTTAGAATCTTCTGTGAGAAAGAGGATGCATCGCAAGCCTCTTCTGGTGGCTCAGATGGGCACATATCTAAGCAGTTCCCAGCACAGGTAGGATAGTTACCTGACTGCAGTGACAGGTGCTGGAGCTGACATTTGACCCTTTTAGGATCTGCTATGGGATGGAAGTTAGAAACCCTGTCCTGTTACTTCAGATAGGTGCATTTCCCAGCAGTTCCCTGCATAGGTGGGATAGTTTTCTGGCTATGGCAGTAAGAGGCTGAAGCTGAGACTGTGCCCCTTCAAGAATTTCTGTGAGACACAGTCTGATAAGTCTGTCAAAGAGGCTCAGATGGGGTGAGTTTCCCAGCAGATCCCTGTGCCTTTGGGATTATTCCCTCATTGCAGCAAGAGGGGCTGGGTCTAAGACCAGGCCCCTTGAGGACCTGCTATGGAACAGATGCTGGCAAGCCTGTCCCAGTTGTTCAGATGGGCATGTCTCCCAGCTGTTCCTTGTACAGGTCAGATAATTCCCTGGCTGTGGCACCAATGGATTTGAGCTGAGATTGGCTCCTTCAGGCTCTGCAATGAGATGGAACCTAGTAAGCCTGTTATGGAGGCTCAGATGGGTGACTCCCAGCCATTCTCTGCTTGGGCAAGATAATGCCGGGCTGAAAGATAGAGCCCATTTAGACTGTGCTGTGGAACAGAGGCTTTCAAGCCTGTCCTGGTGTCACACATGAGAGCTCTTTCTGAGGCCTTGTGCAAGCAGTGTCAATCTGTGACCACAGTTGAGGGGAACTGTAGCTTTTATAGGGTAACTTTCCAGTCCACTGCTGAGACCAATGTTGGTGGGCAGTCAAACCTTTTTGCCAAGATACTGTTGTGATTCCTCCTGGAGGCTTTGGCAGATAGTTTTGGTTCCAGGGTCAAGGCCATACAAGGCTGTAGCTAAGCCCTTTGGGAAATGAGGCTCTTTCAAACTTTCAATGCAGGAGCATGATTGGTAGGCCTGCCATCTGGGTGTGGGCCTGCACTCTTAAAATGACTTTTCAAAGTCTTGGGCTCCACTGGGGTTTCACAGACTTCAACCTCAGTCTCCAGCTCATGTAAAGAGGCTTTTTCTCTGTTGACAGGTACAGAATTCTTGTTGTTTTTGGGGGATACGAGTGGATGACTTCTTATTCTGCCACCTTACTGGCAGCACACTTCTGAGTTTGAAGTTTTTAGATTCCACAAATAAGTTAGATCTTGTGGTATTTGTGTTTCTTTAGCTGCACTTGTTTTATGTACTGTTCTTTACAAAATTAAGACTGGATTCCATGGTATTATATCCAGCTAACTATTAGAATCATGATTTATAGCACATGAGTTTCAAAAAATATCTATAGCTACATGGCTCAGGAGGGTTTGGATAACAGGCTATGAATATCCATGTCCAGGAAGAAGCTCCTTTACCACAATTAGGAGAGATAATTAGCCCTAATTTCCAGCATTTCCTCAACGATTTCAAATGTATTCATTCGTTCTCTGATTTTTTTTCTTTTTACAAAATTCCGTTCAAGAAACACTGGACAACAAAGAGTGAGTTACAGATGTTCACTGATAATCCTATTTCAAAATGATAATCACTGCAAAATATTAACTAGGTCTTTGAAGAATGCTTCTGTTACTCCAAGTCAAATGGAAAGGAAACCCGTTCACTCACCCCACCATAGTAGATTTTTTTTACAGTTGTGCTCACTAGACTTCTCCAGTAAAAATATTATCTGTTGGGCCACAAGCACTGGTCTCTAGCTTTAAAGACTCATGAAGACCTGTGGGAAATTCTCTTCCATGAAACATCATGTTTATGAACTGACCACTATCTTCTGGGGTGATGCACAGAAACGGATGCCATGTAGTCTTCATCATAATGGGCTATCAAACATTTCATTAGGCACAAGAATGAGACTGGATAAACTCATGATATCCATTATGGATGATTTCCTGGAATATCCTCTTTCCCACATTCCTGCGGGTTGTCATGTCTTTACTTTTTGATCCCTCGGAAGGTGTTTTGAAGCTGATAAGCAAAAGAAGTCTTGAAGACTATTTTTTTCAAAAGCTAAATTGGCAGTGTAACTAGAGGGTCTGTGCAAAAGCTAAAGAGTTTATCAAAATAAGTGGAGTATTTGGGAAGGGTGAGGGTGGAGGAGTGTCTCTGGGTCCTGGGGGAACCAGAACCCGGTATTCACCTTTAGGATACTCCATGGAATCAGAGAACTCCTAACAGAGTGGTTGCAAATGGAGGTAAGTGGCCACACCAGAATCCCCATTTCAATGCCTCATTGTGATGGGAATGGTAGGGTTTCAGCACTGAGTGTGTGCAGGCTCAGTAGCTACATGATAACCTCTAAGCGGATAACTGATAATGAGTGCAATCTTCCATTATTACTACTTTATTTCTTGACACACTCTGCATGTGCCTGTGGAGTCTAGATAGCTTTGATGTGAAAGATTTGTGGAAATAATTCCTGAAAATAACTTATTTGCATTTTTTTTTTTTTGCCAACCCAGAGGCAAGGTGGAATTTAAATTGAAATTTTGTTACTGGTAACAACTAAAATGCAATGTTACATCTATATTTGCAGACAAATACTCATATCTATTAAATCCGTGTGATGTCTTTTTTTCATTTCTTCTGTGCATTCAGAGCTTCTAGCATACTGCTTAGTTGCTATTACATGATGACCTAATAATTTTTTTCATGTTATGAGTTTTCTCTTCTTTTTAAAAATAAATTTAATTATGTATATTTAAGGTATACAACATAATGCTATGAGAGTTATATGTGTGTGTGTGTGTGTGTGTGTGTGTGTGTGTGTATAAAATAGTCACCATGGTGAAGCAAATTAACGTATCTATCACCTCATATAGTTAACTTAGTTTTCACTCTGTGGCAAGAACATCTATAATCTAGTCATTTAGCAAAAATTCTGAATTCTATACTCTATTATCAACTATAGTCTTCATGTTGTACGTGAGCTCTTTAGCCTTGTTTATCCTACATATCTTGTACTTTGACCTACATCTCCCCATTTCCTCCTTCCCATCTTGTCTCTGGTAACTGCTATTTTATTCTCTATCTCCATTTATTTGACCTTTTTCCCACATATAAGTGAGGTCATGCAATGTTTTCCTTTTTGTGTCTGGCTTATTTTATTTAGCCTAATGTTTTCCAGGTACATCCGTGTAGTGGCAAATGGCAGAATCTCCTCTTATTTTTTTTTTTTTATAATTCCAACTTTTACATTTAGGGGGCACATGTGCAGATTTGTTACCTGGATATATTGTGTGATGCTGAGATTTAGGTACAATTGAATATCTCCTTTTTAAAGGCTGAATAATATTACTCGTGTGTGTGTGTGTGTGTAAATATTACAGTTTCCTTTTTCATTCATCTGTTGATGGACACCTAGATTGTTTCTGTATCTTGGTAATTGTGCATAATGCTTCAATGAAAATGGGAGTGCAGATGTTTTTTACAAGGTGGTACTTTCATTTCTTTTGGGTATATACCCAGAAGAGGGGTTGCTGGATCACATGGTAGTTCTGTCTTTAATTTTGGGGTGGAATCTTTTCTTTTTAACTTTTATTTTAGGTTCAGGTGATACTTGTGAAGTTTTCTTACATGGTACCTTTATAATGTTTTCCCTAATGGCTGCAGCAATTTACATTCCACCAACAATGCCAAAGTACATGCTCTTGACGATACTTGTTAACTCACCTTTTAAATAATAGCTATTTTAAGGAATATAAGGTGACATCTCATAGTAGTTTTGATTTGCATTATTCTGTCCTCATGAATAGTGATGTTGAGCACCTTGTCCTATACTTGTTGGCCATTTTTATGTCAACTTTGGAGAAATATCTATTCAGGCATTTTGTCCATTTATTATTGAATTATATATTTTCTTACTAATGAGTTGTGTAAGTTTTTACATAAATTTTGGATATTAACCTCTTATCAGATATATAGTTTGCAAATATTTCCAATCCATAGGTTGCCTTTTGATTTTGTTGTTTCCTTTGCTGTGCAGAAACATTTTGGCTTAATGTAGTCCTATCTATTTATATTTGCCTTTGTAGCGTGACCTTTTAGTGTATTATCCAAGGAATGGAATTGTTGCCAAGGCCAATGTCAAGGAGCTATGTTCTCTTCTTTCTCCTATGTTTTATTCCAAGAGTTTTATGGTCTTACATGTAGGTCTTTTATTCATTTTAAGTTGATTTTTGTATATGGTGTAAGATAAGGATTCGATTTTATTCCTTTACATGTGGAAATACAATTTTTTTCTAGCACCGTTTATTGAAGAGGGTACCCTTTTTCAATTGTGTCTTTCTGGTGTCCCTGTCCAAAATTAGTTGGCCATATATGCTTGGATTTATTTCTGGACCTTTTATGCTATTCTATTTCCAATAGGCTTGCACACTTTTTCATAAATGTTTAGTCATGTGACTTTAGTCCTTTGAAAATTATATGTTCTTGGTGTTCCCCAATAGTATATTGAATCATGTATTCTTTTTTCATAGACATAAGAAATCTAAATATGTATGTCTTCTAAAGTTTATCTTGTATTTTGTAATTTAAAATATAACAATAATTTATAATTTTTTTCTGAGTGGATGTCATCTGAATTTTAAATATATGTATATTTTTTATTTCAATAGCTTTTGGGGTACAAGTAGTTTTTGGTTATATGGATGAATTGTATACTGGTAAAGTTGGAGGTTTTAGTGCATCCATCACCTAAGTAGTGTATATTGTACCCAATATGTAGGGTTTTTTCCCCTCCCCTTCTGAGTATCTAATGTCCATTATACCACTCCATATGTTTTGTATACCTGTAGCTTAGCTCCCACTTATAAGTGAGAACGTACAATATTTGGTTTTCCATTCCTGAGTTACTTCACTTAGAATAATGGCCTCCAGCCAATCTAAGTTGCTGCAAAAGACATTATTTTGTTTCTTTTTATGGCTGAGTAGTATTCCATGATGTATATGTACCACATTTTATTTATCCACTGATTGGTGGCGGGGCACTTAGGTTGGTTCCATATTTTTGCAATTGTGAATTGTGCTGCAATAAACATGCATGCAGGTTTTTTTTTTTTTATATAATGGCTTCTTTTCCTTTGGGTAGTGATATGGTTTGGCTGTGTCCCCACCCAAATCTCATCTTGAATTGTAGTTCCCATAATCACCATGTATCATGGGAGGGACCCGGTGGGAGGTAACTGAATCATGGGGGCAGTTACTCCTGTGCTGCGGTTTCTGTGATAGTGACTAAGTTCTCACGAGATCTGATGATTTCATAAGGGGTATCCTCCTTTGCTCAGCACTCATTCTTCTCCTTCCTGCCATCATTTGAAGAAGGAAGTATTTGGTTCCCCTTCTGCCATGATTGTAAGTTTCCTGAGGCCTCCCCAGTCATGCAGAACTGTGAGTCAATTAAACCTCTTTCCTTTATAAATTATTCAGTCTCGGGCAGTTCTTTATAGCAGTGTGAGAACAGACTAATACAGGTAGATACCGAGCAGTGGGATTGCGGGATTGAATGGTACATCTGCTATTTTCTCTACTACTCTTAATTCTTTGAAAAATCTTCATACTGTGTTCCAGAGAGGATACAACAGTGTATAAGTATTCCCGTTTCAACACATACATGCCAACATCTATTTTTTTTGACATTTTAATCGCCCTTCTTGCACTTAAGCATTTTTTCATATGTTTGTTGGCTGTTTGTACATCTTCTTTTGAGAATTATCTATTCATGTCCTACCCACTTTTGGAGGAGATTGTTTTTTTCTTGCTGATTTGAGTTCCTTGTAGATTCTGGATATTAGTCCTTTGTAAGATGATGATTTGTGAATATTGTCTCCTACACTGTGGGTTGTCTGTTTACTCTTCTGATTATTTCTTTTGTTGTGAAGAATTTTTAAAATTTAATTAGATCCTATTTATTTATTTTTGTTTTTGTTGCATTTGCTTTTGGGGTCTCAGACATAAATTCTTTGCCCAGACCAATGTCCAGAAATGTTTTTGCTAGATTTTCTTCTAGAATTTTTAGGACTTAAATTTAAGTCTTTGATCCATCTTGAGTTGATTTTTGTAGATGGCAAGAGATAGGGATTCAGTTTTATTCTTCTATATGTGGCTATCCAGTTTTCCCTGCACCATTTATTGAACAGGATGTTCTTTCCCCTATTTATGTTTTTGTATGCTTTGTTGAAGATAGGTTTGTTGTAAGTATGGGGCTCTATTTCTGGGTTCTCTATTCTGTTCCTTTGGTCTATGTGTCTACTTTTATACAAGTACCATGCTGTTTTGGTTACTATAGCCTTGTGGTATAACTTGAAGTTGGATAATGTGATGCCTCCAATTTATTCCTTTTGCTTAGTATTACTTTGGCTATGCAGGCTCTTTTTTTTTTTGGTTCCATGTGATTTTAAAAATTGTTTTTCCTAATTCTGTGAAAAAATTATATAATTTATAAAATTTTAAGCTGTTGCATATTCCTTGCTTCAACTTAGAATACACTTACAAAGAAGAAAGTTAAATAACTTTGAGGTCTACCATGAAAATTTAATGTTTTTAATCATTTTGTTGTATATTTTTATAGCTTTCTCCCATAATTTCTTGGGTTTTCTTCACAGAAGGCTTAAATGAGTAGTCAAGTATATATATGTTTATTTGGAATTTACTTTCCTATTAATAACATGTTTTTCTTTTTTGAATTTTGGTAGCCAAGGCTCCTTTGAAAGCATGGTTTATTTGTTCCATTTAACTTGTTCTCAGCTATACTGAAGTATGATTGACAAATAAAACTTGCATATATTTGAGATGTACAGTGTGATGATACATGTATGTATACAATGTGAAATGATTGTCATAATCATAATCAATAATTGGTATATTGGTTTAGGAAATGTGATGGTTAATATTGAGTGTCAACTTGATTGGATTGAAGGATGCAAAGTATAGTTCCTGGGTGTGTCTGTGAGGGTGTTGCCAAAGGAGATTAACATTTGAGTCAGTGGACTGGGAGAGGCAGACCCACCCTCAATCTGGGTGGGCACCATCTAGTCAGCTGCCAGTGCAGCTAGAATAAAGCAGGCAGAAGAAGATGGAAAGGGCAGACTTGCTGAGTCTTTCAGCCTTCATCTTTCTCCCATGCTGGATACTTTCTGCCCTCAAACATCCGACTTCAGGTTCCTTAGCTTTTGAACTCTTGGACTCACACCAGTGATTTGTCAGGGGCTCTCAGGCTTTTGGCCACAGACTGAAGGCTATATGGTCAGCTTCCCTACTTTTGGGGTTTTGGGACTTGGACTGGCTTCCTGGCTCCTCAGCTTGCAAATGGCCTAGTGTGGAACTTCATCCTGTGACCGTGTGAGTCAATTCTCCTAATAAACTCACTTTTATATACACATATATACTATTATTTCTCTTGCTTTAGAGAACCCTGACTAATACAGGATATAAAGTTGAATTGTTAGTCATTTATTTCTGATTAGTTGGCTAATGCTATTTATTCCATAATTAGGTGTTTCCTCTAAGAATGTACAATACTGAAATTGTTACACATTAAATGTTATACATACTAAAGTCTACTTTTGAATTTCTTTGTTTTGTAAATGCATCTGCTAATAATGTTATGAATATTACAACTTATGATAAAATTCTGTGCATGCTACCCCACTTACCTGACAGCTACATTTTTCACTCCCTGATCTTCTTTTTTCTGAACCAAATGTCTACTATTAATTCCTAGATAAATTTGAATTTATTTTAAAGTTTTTGTAAAAGTAGCAGATTTTTCATTGTAATTATCCCACCAGTTACTCTATCAAATAATTGAAGAAGACACATTGTGTTTAATAGTACTCAATCTTCCTATCCAGAAACTTGCTAGGGACCTATAACTACATAAATAGTCTATTATGATTGATTTTAAAGTGTTATATAATTTTCTTCAAACTTTTTCTTACTATTATATGTAGATAGCTTATATTTAGTTATTTAGTACCACAATTGTGAAGTGAATCTACTGACTCACTATATCTTGTTATTTCTTTTCTTTTCTTTCTTTCTTTCCTTCTTTCTTTTTTTTTTTTTTTTTTTTTTGAGACAGTCTCGCTCTGTCACCAGGCTGGAATGCAGTGGCCCAATCTTGGCTCATTGCAATTTCCACCTCCTGGGTTCAAGTAATTCTCCTGCCTCAGCCTCCCAAGTAGCTGGAATTAAAGGCCTGTGCCACTGTGCCCAGCGAAGTTTTGTATTTGTTTTAGTAGAGACAGGGTTTCACCATGTTGGCCAGGGTGGTCTTTATCTTCTGACCTCATGATCTGCCCGCCTCAGCCTCCCAAGGTGCTGGGATTACAGGCGTGAGCCACCGCACCCAGCCTTGTTATTTATTTTCTAGATTTTGCTAGTGTCTAGGAATAGTCCTGATTGTTCCCTTCATCTGGCTCATTGATCGGCAGTCAGCTCCTGGAATTCCTTAAAACTGCGTCACTTCCACTCTCGGATCCTCTTGCTTTGGTTCTCTGGGGTCTTTTCTCCTAGAACAAATACAAAGAAACCAACAAAAAATCACAAAAATGAAAAGACATGGACTAAACATGTAAGTCCCGCATTCTTTAAGGAATGTTGATTCTTTGTCCATTAGTTTGGTAAAAACCATATCTCTGCCCCCAAGGGATTGAGTAAACCTTGTGAAGTAAAAGATGAAGCTCCCAGACTAGGATCTGGGAAGGCAGCTTGGATACTTTCTACTTGTCATCCTTGGACGCCTTGGTGCAAGCTTGTCCAGCCTATGGCCCACAGGCTGCCTGTGGCCCAGGATGGCTTTGAATGTGGCCCAACACAAATTTGTAAACTTTCTTAAAATGTTATGAGATATTTTTGTGATTTTTTTTTTTTTTAGCTCATCAGATATTATTAGTGTTAGTGTATTTTATGTGTGGCCCAAGACAATTCTTATTCCACTGTAGACCAGGGAAGCCAAAAGATTGGATACCCCTGCATCTGCATACTCTTCCACAAATTCTTCAGTGGCCTAGTAGTCAGGCCTGTAAGCACTGGCAATCTCAGACAGCTTACAGGTACCCACTTGTTTGAGGGTTTCCCAGGGATGAAAATCTGGTGTTTGGATCTCTGCATATTTGTAAAATACCTTCAACAGTGTGCATATCACACTAGGGCAGGGAGGGAAGAGGAGACCTAATTTTGGCTTCTTCACTATGAAGCCTCCTTTGACAAGCTGGGCAGAGCTGGTCTGTGTGATCTGGAGAGCCTCAGAGGGTGTCTGAGGTCACTGTGGGAAGGCATGTGGCTGTACCTAGACCTAAGGCACTGATTACATGGGAAAATCCTAAGTCTAAGCCTTTTGAGAGGACAGTGGCCCTAAATGGTATTTTGCCTTCCTCAGCACAGACCTATAGCACACAGATCCTCTGAGGGGCAACCGGGCTATTTACTCACTCATTTTTCTCATCCTGGATGGTGTCAAACAGAGGCTTGTTCCTGGTTTCAGGAAGGAGGAGGAAAGCAAAGCCAGAGATGAAGGGGAAGACTCCATAGATGATCCAGGGCAGGGGTGGAGAATACACACTTAGGATCATCATGAGGGGAGCCAGGGCTCCTGCTATATTAGCAAAGGTTGCATTGATCCCCATAGCTCTTGCCCTTTGAGTGGAAACAGCAATACAAGAATATCTGTTAAAAATCCACACAGGCAATTTGTGATTTATCATTTTGCTCTAATTATGGGGGAACATTTAGACACACAGAGGTGATGAAATACTCCTGTGTTTGAAATTTTCACTTTTATTTGCTAGCAATTAATTTTTCAGTTCACAAGTGCATTAGATGCATTTTCATCATTTAGGAAATACTGCTATCCTTAGCACCAACCTCTCAGGTGGCTCAGAAGGTTATGTGGGATACTATAATACATCAAAGGACTTAATACAGTGGCAAAAAGTCAGCTTGAGATAAAGTTGGTCTATAATTATTTGTGTTTATGACTGTTATGATTTATTTTCTTAATGAACCAGTCTTAGATTTCTTCCCGCAAAAAGTGTCAATTATCTGAGAAAGGTCCATTTTGAACCTGACAGGGCATACTTAAGGTTCTGTACCTGATTATGGTGGGAATTACTTCATTTCCATGGGCAAAAGCAAGGGTATTGGCAAGAGCAGACGCTCCTAAGCCCAGTGTTGCCAAAACCTCACGCAGCGTCTGCATTTCTGGAGAAAGGAAGAACACAAGGCCTCAGGAAATCTGAGCTGAAGGAATCAGCATCCCCAAGGTAGAAGTGAAAAGGACTGTATTGGAGGTGTTTGCAAGGGTTAAATGTACTGTAGGGAAACTGCATAGAGGCAAAGAATGTGCAGTGGCTGATAGCTGAGAAACATGATTTGTCTTCGCCTTGTGGCTTAAATAATGCATAAAAAGGATCTGAGCTATTACTTCACTTCTCACTATATATCAGAGATATGCCATAGCAAGAGAGAGGCGTGTAAGTTGAGCTGAATGTTTTTTCATTTATTCCGTCCAGGGACTCCTCTGCCTACCTGGTAGAACATAGGACTGTCATGTGGGCAATACTTGGGAGTATAAGACCCATCCATGTTCTCCTGGCCGTTAAAACCTAGGTACATACACAGTATTGACATGGGGCTAGGGTTGCAGAAGAGAGTCATAAAAGATCAGGAGGTCTATGTTAGGAGAGAAGCTAGAGAGTATTAATGTTTTAAGGATTAGGAATAAGGACCTCGAAAAGAGGAAAAAAAGTCAGACTTTGGAAAGCACTGAAGGGAAGTTTCAGAGGCTTGTTTCTATCCAACTGAAGAAATCCTGTCATAGCCTCATGACATTGGAGGGTGCTGTTGCTTTGTAGCACACTTGGATCATTGCTGGCATTCAAGAGGGGGAGTGGAGCACACCAATCTGAGATCCTGTTAGATACATTACTACACTAAGAGTTAGGTGAAGACTGGTGGCCACCTGGGTTCCCTTACTTATTACATATGATCAGTTAATTTCTTAAAATAGAATCTACAAGAGGCTATTAACTGACAATTTCTTCATTTCTACTGTACAGTTCTTTACATAAAGATGGGGCACTTTTGTTCCCTTGAAGTCAAGATGACTCCCCTAAACCAGATTGCAGTTATGGTGACCAAATACAAGGCACACAAGTAGATACATGGGAATTAGGGAGTACATTGTCACTGAAGCTGTAGTAATAAGAAAGAGCCCAGACAGAGGAAGTAGCAGTATTATGTCCTCATGTTGGGAAACAATGACAAGGCCTATACCTCAATACTCATTTAAAGTTTGATTGGCCAAAGAGTAAGTAATTGATTGCTGTTGTAGAGAAACTGTCAGAAATAAATGGCTTCAGTTTCTTAGTATTTGTTGAATATGATGAGGACAACCATATAATAGAGCCAACCTTTACTCATCTTTGACTCGTTTTCCAGCAACTTGTGGCAGAATCTGTCCCAAATCCCCAGATTGGTGTCAGGAAATCCTAAGAACCCAATTCTCCCTTTCCTTCTTGGCTTCAGATAGGTGTGACAAGTACAATCCCTGAGAAAAGAGGCAAAGGCATTTCTCTCTTCCACCTGTGATCTTTTCTCACCTTGTGGCACAAATATGATGGCCAGAAGGCAGATTGCCAGTAGGAACATGAGAAGCATCTGGCTTGCTCGACGGTTCATGTATTTCAGTGCCCAAGGTGCAACACAGTTGGCCAGGAGGATGACTGCACCAAAGAGAGTCTGCAACAGGAAAACATTGTTCCCCAGATGCTGGACATGGAGATTAAGGCCAAAATAGGCCATAAAGTTTGCAAATCTGTGATGATTAAAAAGGAAAGAAACATATTATAATCTGTGGAGCCTACATCCTACAAATGAGAATAATATTGGCCCAGGCAGCTAGGGATTGTTAAAGTATAAAGGCTGGGTCTATTTCATGGAATATTTTCTTGCAACGTGATTTAAAGAAATCTATTAAGTGATAATGATAACATTATGGAACTATTTGTGAAGAAGTTATTAATACTAGAGAAGAGGCTGGAAGTTAGATGCTTAAATATGTTCAGAAAGAGATACAGACTGTGTCTTATGAAGCAGGATAATTTCTGAAGACTTTTCAAAGGTATCTTTGGTAGCTTCTATTTGATAAAAATGAGACAAAAGTATAATACTACCTACAAAGATGATGACTAAAAGTGTGGGAAAAGAAGACAGTTCCATTTGAAAATGCTGCCACCTTCCTCCACAAAAGCAAACCAAGTCTCAAACTCATATTTCAACCACCAAGTCCTGTCTCTCAAAGCTAAAGTAAGTGACAAAGAGAACTGAAGATACCACAATATGTTGATTTTTAAATTATCGTAAAATGATGGTAAGACGATGATGGTCATAATTGTCATTAATTTTTTGGAAGACAGCAAGTGTTTTATGGAGGATTAAACTATGGGGCCTGAGGTTTATTTATTTATTATAAGTAATTGCTTTTATTAGTATTCTAAAGCCAATTTGCTCACATGACAACAAAAACCACTGCAAGACAATTCACTATCCTGAGGGCCACAAAATTAAAAGTAAAAATTTACAGATATTAGTCAAACTCCCAGTGAGTACCTCAGGAGCTGAAATGTCCATTTACCTCCATTACAATCAGAAATGTCACTAAAATGTACAACTTATTGAGTGACAGATTGTATATCCACAGCATTCACTGTGTAGTTGGTCCTGTGTAGTAAATCCAGAATGCAACAAGGAAACCTATTTTTATATTACTTATGTTTAATGGCATATAACCTCGTGATGGTTTTGTTTATTAGCATAGAAAGGAGTCAATAGTTTTTATTACGTTTTCAGAATACATATGTATCTTGTTAGAGGGAATTCCTACAATTTTATGTTGTCTCATCGTTCATTTTGATTACAAGTTTAACTTTCTCACAGCACAGCAGGGCTTAGTCGCCCTTGACACAGTTTCTAGTTCTCACACCACTTCCAAATTGCTCAAACCAGAAGCCAGAGATAACTTTGAGTCATCTCTCCTGTTTAGCTGACTGGGTTCCCTGCTTTCCTGTTGCTTCCTTTAAATGAACTATTCAGGCATTTACCTGCAAACTTTAAGTGACCCACACCTGATTTCTTTATATAAACTGCTAGTTGCCATGTATTCCTTTTATTATTATTATTATTATTATTGTTATTATTTCAATAGCTTTTGGGGAACAGGTGGTGTTTGGTTACATAGATAAGTCCTGTAGTGGTGATTTCTGAGATTTTGGTTTCTCAGCCAGTTGCTTCATTTCTGCCTCATCTGACATGGGGACAGAACACTGCCCTCCCAATTCATTATTCTCTCCTTTCCCAGGATCTGTAAGTAGACATCTTTGAATTTGCTTCTTCTTGTGGTGGTGTACTGAATTTACGCTTTCTGTCTGAAAAACTAGGGGCTGTTTCAGGCTGGGTTTTCCCTAGGACTGCAGTGAGAACACAATGTTAGGCAACCAGTGCCAGAGCAATGGTCAGGCAGACATAAACTGTACATGGGTCGGATAAGAGCCCCAAGGGCATCTGCCAGTATAAACAAGCTTCCTGTGTGAAGGTTCCCCTGGTCAAGGGTCAAACAACTAGGCATCAGGCCATCCACTGAAGGAAAAGTATTGCGTGAACACTGTAAACCCCTACATCCAGCTCCCATTCATTTTCTTTTTAGGGCAGGGTTTTTAACCACTCTGGTACTGAAATCCAAATTTAGTTGGGGGCTCTCAAAACACTTATTCATTTTTAAAATATTGTGATAAAAATACATAAGATGAGATTTACCTAGAAAACCCCATCGTCTCAGCCCAAAATCTCCTTAAGCTGAGAGATTTACCTACTTAACAAATTTTTAGATACAGTACAGTATTTACTGTAAGCATAATGTTGTACAGCAGATTTCCAAGACATTTGCATCTTGCATAACTGATACTTTATGCCCTTAAATGACAACTCCCTATTCCCCTCTGTCCGCTGTCCCTGAAAACCACTATCCTACTTTCTGCTTCTATGAGTTGACTTTTTTTTAGATATCTCATATAAGTGAAATCAGACAGTGTTTGTTCTTCTGTGCTAGCCCAAGGTTCATACATGTTGGGTATGACCTTTTTCTTTCTTTTTTGAGGCTAATATTCCATTATAGGTATATAACATATTTTGCTTATTCATTCATATGTAAATGAATAGTTAAGTTGCTTCCATATCTTGGCAATTGTGAATAATGCTGCAATGAACATATGGGAGTGCAAATATCTCTTCCAAATACTGATTTCAATTCTTTTCTGAAGAATTGAGATCCCATAACTGAAAATACAGAATCATATGGTAGTTCTAACCTCCATAGTGTCTTCATGGTGAGTGTAGCATTTTATATGGCCACCAACAATATACAAGGGTTCCAATTTCTCCATATCCTTTGAACACTTATTATTTCTTGTTTATTTATTGATTGATTGATTGATTTATTTATTTATTTTTGATAATGATAATCCTAATAGGTATAGGATGCTATTTCATTTTTTACGTGTTTAATCCTCCATAAAACACTTCATATTTTATCTCCTTTTCTTACCTTTTTATCTCTTTTTCTTCCCTAATTGCTCTTGTTAGAATTTCAAGGACTATATTGAATAGAAGTGGTGAGAGTAGAATCCTTATCTTGTTCTTGATCTTAAAGGAAGAGTTTTCAGTTTTTTATTGTTGAGTATAATATTAATACTGGACTTTTCACATTAGTCATTTATCAGTGAGCTTTATATGTTCATATGCTCTCATGCTGCTCTTTAGTGCCATTTTTTAAAGTTCAAGGTTTCCCTTTGGAAATAATAATAATGGAGGTGGGGTGCTGACAGACTCACTCAACTTTTGTTTGTGTGGGAAAGTATTTCTTTTCATTATTGAGGGATGGTATGCAAGATACAGTAATTTTTGTTAGCCTTTTATTTTTTCATCTCTCTGAACATATCATCCCACTCTCTGTTGGCCTACAAGGTTTCTGCAGAAATCTGCCATCCCCCAATCGTCTTATGGAGGACATTCTCTTAGTATGTAACAAGTCAGTCACTTTATCTTGCTGCTTTCAAAATTCTCTCTTTTCTTTGATAATTTAATCAGAAAATGGATTAATATGGAATTCTTTTTTACTTTTATATATTTGGTTTTTAGTCTTCTGACTATATTAATTTCACTTAATAGTCTGAAATTCTTAGAATCTGTCCATTTATCCAATTGTCAATTATATGTCATTGACTTTTTATAACAATCTTTTGTATTGATATATTTTGGAAAGTGTTTTTCTTCTCCTTAGATCTTCCTTCAGGGAAGCTGAAGCAAAAGTTGATGAGCATGTATATGTGTGAACTTCAAAAAATGGTGAAAGGTGAGCAAACATACAAATATTCTAAAAATGTTAGTGTTTATGGGAATTTTAGTGTCCTTAATTTCCAAAATAATTACATATTGAGTGAAGACAGTATAGTGTAAAAGGAAAGTAATATGGTATAATGGCTAGAAGTGCAAGATTTAATGTCAGATTAGTGTTCAAGTTCTGATTGTACCATTTACTAATTATGTGATCTTTTAAAACATAATTTTACATTTAGTTAAAAACCTTTTTTTTTTTCAACTTTCATTTTAGGTTAGGGGTACACATGTAGGTTTGTTACATGGGTAAATGTCACAGTGGAGCTCAAATAGCCAAATCAATCCTAAACAAAAGGAACAGAGTGAGAGGCATCACACTACCTGATTTCAAACTACACAACAAGGCTACAGTAATGAAAACAGCATGATACTGGCATAAGAGCAGATACATAGACCAATGCAACACAGTCATTAGATAACCCAGAAATAAAGCCACATATCTACAACTGCCTGATCTTTGACAAAGCTGACAAAAGCAAGCAATGGGGAAAGACTCCCTATTCAATAGATAGTGCTTGGATAACTGGCTAGCAATATGCAAAATTTTGAAACTAGACCCCTTCCTTTGACCATATACAAAATTCAACCCAAGATGGATGAAAGGCTTGAATGTAAGATGTAAAAGTGTTAAAAACACAGAAGAAAAGAGGAAATACCACGCTGAACATCAGCCCTGGCAAAGATTTTATGATAAAGACTCCAAAAAGCAATTGCAACAAAACCAAAAATTGAAAAGCAGGAACTAATTAAACCAAGGAGCTTCTGAACAGCAAAGGAAGCTAACACCAGAGTAAACAGACAACCTATAGAATGGGAAAAAATATTTGCAGGTTATGCATTTGACAAAGGTCTAATGTTTGGACTCTATGTGGGACTCAAATAAAGCAACAATAAAACAAACAAACAAACAAACCCATTAAAAATGGGCAAAGGACATGAACTGACAGTTCTCCAGAGAAGACATACACATGGCCAACAAGCATATAAAAAAACTTATAACATCACTAATCATTTGAGAAATACAAATGAAAGCAATAATGAGATAGCATCTTACACCAGTCAGAATGGCTGTTATTAAAAAGTCAAAAATCAACATGCTGGTGAGGTTGTGGAGAAAAGGGAACACTAGTAGACTGCGGGTGGGAATGCAAATTAGCTCAGCCACTCCAGCTTTGTTCTTTTTGCTTAGGATTTCTTTCGCTTTATGGGTCTTTTTTGATTTTGTGTAACTTTTAGGACTAAAAAAAATTCTGTGAAGAATGTCATTGGTATTTTGATAGAGATTGCATTGAATCTGTAGATTGCCTTGGGTAATAGGGACATTTTAACAATATTGGTTCTTCTAATCCATGCACATGGGATGTCTTTCTATTTTTTGTATCAGCTTATTGTTTTCATTGTAGAAATCTTTCAGTTCTTTGGTGTAGTTTATTACTAGGTATTTTACTTTTTGTAACGAATTGCAAATGAGATTGCTTTCTTAATTTCCTTTTCAGATTGCTGTTTATTGAAATATAGTTATGGTAATTATGTTTTATGTTGATTTTGTATCCTGCGACTTTACTGAATTTTTTGTTTATTCAGATAGATTTTTGAGAGGGTCTTTGGGTTTTTGTAAATATAAAATTATATCATATGCAAATGAGGACATTTTGATTTCTTCCTTTCCAATATGGATTCCTTTTATTTTTTTCTCTTGCCTAGTTGCTCTGGGTAGGACGTCCACTACTGTATTGAGTAAAAGTGGTGAAAGTGGGCATACTTGTCTTCTACATGATCTTAGAAGAAGAGCTTTCATTTTTTTCCCCATTCTCTATGGTGTTAGCTGTGGGTTTGTTACATATGATCTTATTGTTTTGAGGTATTTTCCTTTTATGCTCAGTTTGTTGAGAGCTTTTATCATAAAGAGAGAATTCGAATTTTATCATATGCTTTTGGCGTCTGTTGAAATGATTATATATTTTTGTCCTTGATCCTACTAATGTTATGTTTTATGTTTATTGACTTGCCTATGCAGAACCATTCTTGCATCCTTGGGATGAATCACACTTGGTCGTGATGAATGATCTCTTTAATGTGTTTTAAAATTTTGTTTGCTACTATTTTGTTGAGAATTTTTACATCTATGTTCATCAGTGATGTTTTCTTTTTTGTGTGTGTTCGTTTCTGGTTTTGGCATCAGGGTAATGCTGGCCTTGTGAAATGAGTTTGGAAGTATTCCCACCTCCTTTATTTTCTCAAATAGTTTGTGTACAATAGGTATGAGTTCTTTAAATGTTTGGTAGAATTCAGTTGTTCTGAAGCTATCAGGTTCTAGATTGTTCTTTGATGGAGGACTTTTTATTACTGCTGGTGTCTTGCTGCTGGTTATTGCTCTGTTCATGGTTTGTATTTCTTAATGTGTCAACTTGGTTCAATCAATATTCTATGTGTCAAAAAAATTTATCCACCTCTTCTAGGGTTTTCAATTTATTGGCATAAAGTTGCTCATAATAGTCTCTAATGATCCATTGGATTTCTGTGATGTCAGTTGTAATATCTCTTTTTTATCTTCAATTTGATTTATTTTTGTTTTCTCTATTTTTTTCTTAGTTTGCATAAAGCCTTGTTGATGTTGTTTATTTTTCACAAAACAACTTTTGACTTGTATTTTTTGTATCAATTTCGTTTATTTCTTGCTCTGATCTTTATTATTTCTTTCCTGCTGCTAATTTTGGGTTTCATTTGTTGTTGCATTTCTACTTCTTTAAGGTACATCCTAGGCTATTTGAAGTCTTTCTACTGTTTTGAGGTAGGTGTTTATTGCTATAAACATACCTGTTAGTGCTTCTTTTGCCATATCTCAAAGGTTTGGTATATTGTGTTTCCATTTTCATTTGGTTCAAGAAATTTTTAATTTTCTTCTTAATTCCTTGATTGACCCATTTGTCATTTAGGAGCATATTGTTTAATTTTCAGGTATTTGTATATTTTTCAAAGTTCCTTTTGTTATTGTTTTATTCCAATGTGATCAGAAAAGATAACTTGATATGACTGAAATTTTAAAATTTCCTGAGAAGTTTTTGTGTTCTAACATGGTCTATCTAAAGAATGCTGCATGTGCTGATGGGAAGAATGTACATCCTGCATTTGCTGAGTAAAATGTTCTGTAAAAATTTATTAAGTCTATTTCATCTATCATGAAAATAAAGTCCAATGTTTCTTTTTTGATTTTCCATCTAGAGGAACTTATCAATGCAGAATGTTGGTTGTTGAAATTCTCAACTATTTTTGTACTGGGGTCTATCTCTTTAGTTCTAGTAGTATTTACTTTATATATCTAGGTGCTCCCATGTTGATAACACATATATTTGCAGTTTTTATATCTTCTTACTGATTTGACCCCTTTATCATTATATAATGATCTCCTTTGTCTGTTTTTACAGTATTGATGTGAAATCTATTTTATTGGATATCACCATAGCAGCTCCTGCTCTTTTTTGCCCTCTGTTTGCATGGAATACCTTTTTCTCTCCATTCATTTCTAGTGCAGGTGTAATTTTACAGGTGAAGTACATTACTTGTAGGAACTTAGAGTTGGGCCTTGTTTTTTAACCCATTCAGCTATTTCATGTCTTTTAATTGGAGAATTTAGTCCATGTACATTCAATGCAATTAATAGGTAAGAATTTATAACTGCCGTTTTGTTATTTGTTTTGTGGTTACTTTGTAAGTCCTCTATATACCTTCTTCCTTTCTTTTTTGTGTATAAGGACTTTGTGTGGTAGTATGTTTTAACTTCTTGCTTTTCATTTTTATGTATCTATTAGAGACTATTTGCTTTGTGGTTAATATGAGGCCTGCAAAAATACCTGATGATAAATTATTTTTAAGTCTGAGTTATTTGCCTTAATAAGGATGCATACACTGAAGTAGAAAGTTTCTTTGAAGGAATAATAATACAGAACAACGAAGAGGAGCAAGATGGCTGAGTAGAAGCCTCTAAGGTCATCTTTCCCACAGAAACAGAAAATTTAACAATTATCGACACACAAAAGGCAGCTTCATAAGAGCCAAAAATAAAGTGGGAGATCACAGTACTTGGTTTTAATTTCATATCACTGAAAGAGACACTGAAGAGGGTAGGAAAGACTTCCTTGAATTGCCAGTGCCAACCCTGCCCATCTCCCAGCAGTGGCTGCCTGGTGCAGGGCATCTTTGTGTGCTTGGGGGATAGAGAGCACAGTGATTGTGGGACTTTGCATTGGGAATCAGTGCTGCCCTGTCACAGAGGAAAGCAGCACCAGACAGAACTCAGCCAGCAACCATGGAGGGAGCATTTAGACCAGCCCTAGCCAGAGGGGAATCGCCCATCCCAGTGGTCAGAATCTGGGTTCTGACAAGCCTCACCATCATGGACTAAAGGTCTATGGGGTCTTAAATAAACTTAAAAGACAGTCTTGGCTACAAGGACTGCTATTCCTAGGCAAACCCTGGTGCTGTGCTGGGCCTGGGATCAGTGAACTCGGGGGACCTGTGATCTAGTGAGACCCCAGCAGCTTGCAGCTCCAGGAGAGAATTCTCCCTTTGACTTGAGGAGAGGAGAGGGAAGAATGAAGAGGACTTTGTCTTGCAACATGGATACTATTTCAGCCACAGTAGAATAGGGTCCTGGGGCCTGCATTCTAGGATGTAGCTCCCAGATGACATCTCCAGACATCTCCAGGGGCAGAAGGAAACGTACTGCCTTGAAGGGAAGGACGCAGGCCTGACAGGATTCATCACCTGCTGACTAAAAAACCTTGGGTCCTGAATAATCATCAGTGGTGGCCAGGTAGTTCACTCGATTGGCCTTGGGTGAGACTCTGCCTTGTGCTGGCTTCAGGTGGGACCTGGCATATTTCCAGCTGTGGTAATTAAGGGGAGACACTCCTTCTACTTGAGAAAAGAAGAGCCAAGATTAAAGGAGGCTTCGTCTTGCAGCTTAGGTACCAACTCAGCCACCATAGGATAGAACACCAAGTGGGGTCTTGGGGTCCATAAATCCAAGCCTGGGCTCTTGGATGGCAGTTTGGGACCTGCTCTGGGCCAGAGGGAAGCCCATTTCCCTGAAAGGTAATTCTCAGGCCTGGAAGCAGCATTCACACAAGCTGACTGAAGAACACTTAGACCTTGAGTGCACATTGGCAATAAACAGGTAGTACTTACCATAAACGTGGGGTGGTGGTGGCCATGAGATGACTCCTCTGCTTGTGGAAAAGGGTGGGAAGAATGGAAAAGACTTTCTTTTGTGCCTTGGGTGCCAGCTCAGCCACAGTAGAATAAAACACCAGATAGATTTCAAAGGTTTCTGACTCTAAGCCCTGGTTGCTGGATGGCATCTATAGACCCATCTGTGGTTGTAGGGAACTTGTGACCGTGAAGGGAATAACATGAACCTAGCCAGCTTTGACAACTGCTGACTGTAGAGCCCTAGGGCCTTGGGCAAACCTAGGCAGTAGCCAGGCAGTGATTACTATGGGCCTTGGGTGATACCCAGTGCTATACTGGCTTCAGGTCTGATACAGTGCAGTTCCAGTGGTGGTGGCCACAGAGGTGCTTGTGTTACCCCTCCCCCAGCTCGAGGCAGCTCAGTATAGAGACAAAATGCCCATTTGTTTCAGAGAAAGTAAGGGAAGAGAACAAAAGTATCTGCCTGGTAATCCAGATAATTCTTCTGGATGTTATCCATGACCATGATGTCAGTATATCTGTGGGTCTGCAAGAACTGCAGCATTACTGGCCTTGGGGTCCCTCCTAATGAACATATGTCTGCAGTGATGAAAAACAGATCAAATCACCAAAGTCCCTTTGCATACATGGAAAACTTTCCCAAGAAAGATGTGTACAAACAAACTCAGACTGTGAAGACTACAATAAATACCTAAGTTTTCAGTGCCCAGACACTGATGAACATCCACAAGCATCAGCACCATCCAGGAAACATTACCTCACCAAGTAAACTAAATAAGGCACTAGGGACCAATCCTGGAGAGACAGAGATATGTGACCTTTCACACAGAGAATTCAGAATGGCTCTTTTGAGGAAAATCTATGAAATTAAAGATAACACAGAGAAAAAAATCAGAATTTTATCAGATAAATTTGACAAAGAAATTGAAATAATTAAAAATAATGAAGCAGAAATTTTGGAGTTGAAAATGCAATTGAAGTGCAGTGTTTGGAGGCTTGCATCGTGAATTTTAGCTCCAGAATGACTGCAGAAACAAAACGGGATTCCTGAAAGGACCCACAGACCCTTTGGAGGAAGCCGACTGCTCCTGCAGGAGCCAGGAGATATCCCAAATACGATGAGTGCCCAAACTGCAGAAGTAGAAAAGAGAGATCCTCCACCCCTGAACACGCACCCCCACTGGGGAAACTGAAGGTCTACTTTGCAGGAAGTTTCTGACCTTACCTGGAGCTGAGTTAATTTAGAGAGCCAAGAGAAATACAGGGGCAGAGGAAGCAGCAGGAAAGGCCCTGGGAGCTTGCTAGGCCCCCATGCCAGCCATTCCTGCCTGGCACTTTGTGGGGGGCTGTGGAGAGAGGCAGAAAAATGTCACAGGAAGAAGGATATCTGCAGCTGAACTTTGTAATAATTTGAACTGGATGTGAAGCCTCCTGGCCAGAACTTGGGAGAGAGTGCGAATTTGGCCTGCAGACTCCACAGGCAGAGAAAGAACTAAAGCCCTTTTCTCTTGCAGCTGGGAGGTGGGTAGCCTGGGGAAGGTTCTAAAGCCCTGCTCACTCACTGCCTGGAAAACAGACTCGGTGCTGTTAGTGGGACACAATGGGAGTGAGACCAGCTCTTTGGATTGCATGGGAGCTGGGTGAGGCCTGTGACTGTGGGCTTTCCCCCACTTCCCTGACAACCTGCATTACTCAGCAGAGGCAGCCATAATACTCCTAAATACACAACTCCTTTGACCTGGGAACCTCACCCCTATCCTCAACAGCAGCTGTAGTAAGACCCACCCAAGGAGAGTCTGAGCTCAGACATGCCTAGTCCTGCCCCCACCTGATAGCCTTTTCCTACCCAACTTCTGAAGACAAAAGGCATATATTCTTGGGAGTTCTAGGGCCCCATTCACTGCTGGTTTCTCTCCACAGCTGATGTTCTCTGGAAAGTGCCACCCCCAGCCAGGAGGCCAACCAGCACAAAAATAGAACATTAAACCACCAAAGCTAAGAACCTGCATAGAGTCAATTTCACCCACTAGCCACCTCCACCAGAACAGGTGCTGGTATCCATGGCCGAGAGACCAATAGACAGTTCAAATCACAGGACTCTGCAGACAATCCCCAGTACCAGCCCAGAGCCTGGTAGACTTGTTGGATGGCTAGATCCAGAAGCAAGATAACAATCAGTGCAGCTCAGCTCTCAGGAAGCCACATCCCTAGAAAAAGGGAGAGTACTCCATCAAGGGAACACCATGGGACAAAATAACCTGAACAACAGCCTTTAGCCCTAGACCTACCCAAATGAGAAGGAACCAGAAAACCAACTCTGGTAAAATGACAAAACAAGGCTCTTAAACAACCCCCCAACATTACACTAGCTCACCAGCAATGGATCCAAACCAAGAAGAAATTCTTGATTTACCTGAAAAAGAATTCAAGAGGTTAGTTATTAAGCTAATCAGGGAGGCACCAGAGAAAGGCAAAGCTCAGGGCAGGGAAGTAAAAAATGATACAAGAAGTGAAGGGAGAAATATTCAAGGAAATAGATAGCATAAAGAAAAAGCAAAAGAAACTTCAGGAAATATTGGATACACTTATAGAAATGCAAAATGCTCTGGAAAGCCTCAGCAATAGAATTGAACAAGCAGAAGAAAGAAATTCAGAGCTCGAAGACAAGATCTTCAAATTAACCCAATCTAACAAAGACAAAAAAATAAATAAATGAAAAAAGAACAAGAAAATATGAACAAAGCCTCCAAAAAGTCTGGGATTATGCTAAACGACCAAACCTAAGAATATTTGGTGTTCCTGAGTAAGAAGAGAAATCTAAAAGTTTGGAAAACATATTTGGGGGAAAAATTGAGGAAAACTTCCCCAGCCTTGCTAGAGAACTAGACACGCGAATATAAGAAGCACAAAGAACTCCTGTGAAATTCATCTCAAATAGATAATCGCCTAGGCACATTGTCGTCAGGTTATCTAAAGTTAAGACAAAGGAAAGAAGCTTAAGCGCTGTGAGACAAAAGCACCAGGTAACCTAAAAGGGAAAACCTATCAGATTAACAGAAGATTTCTCAGAAGAAACCCTACAAGCTAGAAGGGATTGGGGTCCTATCTTCAGCCTCCTCAAACAAAACAATTATCAGCCAAGAATTTTGTATCCAGTGAAACTAAACATCCCATATGAAGGAAAGATTGTCTTTTTCAGATAAACAAATGCTGAGAGAATTCACCATTACTAAGCCACCCCTACAAGAATTGCTAAAAGGACCTCTAAATCTTGAAACAAATCCTGGAAACACATTAAAATAGAACCTCTTTAAAGCCTAAATCTCACAGGACCTATAAAACAAAAATAGAATTAAAAAAAAAGAAAAACCAAAAAACCAAGGTATAAATGTGACAAATAGCATGATGACTGGAATGATACCTCACATCTCAAGCTAAGAACGTTGAAAAAAGGTTAGAGGAATTGCTAACTAGAATAACCAGTTTAGAGAATAACATAAATGACCTGATGGAGCTGAAAAACACAACACGAGAACTTCGTGAAGCATACACAAGTATCAATAGCTGAATTGATCAAACGGAAGAAAGGATATCAGAGATTGAAGATCAACTTAATGAAATAAAGCATGAAGACAAGATTAGAGAAAAAAGAATGAAAAGGAATGAACAAAATCCCCAAGAAATATGGGACTAAAAGACCAAACCCACATTTGCTTGGTGTACCTGAAAGTGATGGGGAGGATGGAAACAAGTTGGAAAACACTCTTCAGAATATTATCCAGGAGAACTTCCCCAATCTAACAAGACAGGCCAACATTCAAATTCAGGAACTACAGAGAACACCACAAAGACACTCCTCAAGAAGAGTAACCCCAAGACACATAATCATCATATTCACCAAGGTTGAAATGAAGGAAAAAATGTTAAGGGCAGCCAGAGAGAAAGTTCGGGTTACCCACAAAGGGAACCCCATCAGACTAACAGCAGGAAAAGCACTTGACAAAATCCAGCATCTCATTATAATTAAAACTCTCAGCAAAACTGGCATACAAAGGACATACATCAATGTAATAAAAGCCATCTATGACAAACCCACGGCCAACATAATACTGAATGGGGAAAAGTTGAAAGCATTCCCTCTGAGAACTGGAACAAGACAAGGATGCCCACTCTCACCACTCCTCTTCAGCATATTACTGATAGTCAAACTGTCACTGTTTGCTGATGATATGATTGTTTACCTTGAAAACACTAGAGACTCCTCCAGAAAGTTCCTAGAACTGATAAAAGAATTCAGCAAAGTTTCCAGATACAAAATTAATGTACACTAATCAGTTGCTCTTCTATACACCAACAGAGACCAAGTGAAGAATCAAATCAAGAACCCAACCCTTTTTATCGTAGCTGCAAAAAAATTAAAATACTTAGGAATAAACCTAACCAAGGAGACAAAAGACCCCTACAAGGAAAGCTACAAAACACTGCTGAAAGAAATCATGGATGACACAAACAAATGGAAACACATCCCATGTTAATGGATGGGTAGAATCAGTATTGTGAAAATGACCATACTGCCAAAAGCAATCTACAAATTCAATGCGATTCCCATGAAAATAAAACCATCATTTTTCACAGAATTAGAAAAAACAATTCTATAATTCATATGAAACCAAAAGAGAGCATGCATGGCCAAAGCAAGACTATGCAAAAAGAACAAATCTGGATCTTTACTTGTGACATGCACAGATCAAGAAATTGGAAAATGTGAAGCAACCCTTATTGAGGTATCATCTTAGTGTTTTAGAGAAACCAAGAATTTTAAAAAATGAGAATATCAACATTTGGTTTTGTGTAAAAGTGGTGTTTGCATTAAAATACTTTTTCAATGAACTGTATAAGCTATGTTTTTATTAAACTACAATATATCAGTAAGTGTTGCAAAAAAAGAGACTTCCTCAAGGCCTTTAATAGTCAGACTCCCAAAAGCCAATGATAAAGAAAAAATTCTAAAAGCAGAAGAGAAAAGGAACAAGTAACATGCAGTGGAGCTCCTATACATCTGGTAACAGACTTTGCAGTGGAAATTTTAAAGACCAGGAGAGACAAGCATGATATATTTTAAGAGCTGAAGGGGGAAAAAAAAACCTTTTATCCCAGAGTAGTATATCCAGCCAAAAAATAGCCTCAAACATGAAGGAGAAATAAAGACTTTCCTAGAAAAACAAATACTGAGGGATTTCATCAACACCAGACCTGTCCTACAAGAAATGTCAAAGAGATTTCTTCCATCTGAAAGACAATGACATTGATGAGCAGGAATATATCATCTGAATGTACAAAACTCAATGGCAAAAGTAAGTACACAGAAAAACACAGAATAGTATAACACTGTAATTGTGGTGGCTAGACTACTTGTATTTTGAGTAGGAAGATTAAAAGATGAAACAATAAAAAATAATGAATAAATTTCAGACATGGAAAATACAGTAAGATTTAAAAACAAGAAAAGGTTAAAAAGCCAGGAGACAAAGTTACAGTGTAGACATTTTATTAGTTTTCTCTTTCCTTATTTGTTTGTTTATGCAATTACTGTTACATTGTGATTGGTTTAAAATTATGGGTTAAAGATATTATTTGCAAGCCTCATGGTAACCTCAAATTGAAAAACATGCAACAGGTACACAAAGAATGAAAAGTAGGAGATTAAAACATATCACCAATGACAGTCATCTTCACCTAAAGGAATACAGGAAGGAAGGAGAGAAGGAAGATACTACCACAAAACAACCAGAAAACAAATAACAAAATGACAGAAGTAAGTCTTTTTTTTAAAATCAATAATAACATATAAGGTAAATGAACTAAACTGTCCAATCAAAAGACAGAGAGTTCCTGAATGGATTAAGAACAGGACTCAATGATCTGTTGCTTACAAGACATCCACTGTATTTAAAAAGATATACAGACTGAAAATAAAGGGATGGAAATGATATTCTATGCCAAAGGAAACCAAGAAAGAGCAGGAGTAGATACACTCATCAGAGAAAACAGATTTTAAGGCAAAAGTCTAAAAAGAGACAAAGAAGGTAATTATATAATGATTAAGAGCTAATTCAGCAAGAGAATATAACAATTGTAAATATATACACACCCAGGTATATAAAGCAAATATTAATAGAGTTAAAGAGAGAGATATACCCCAATACAATTATATTAATAACTGGAGACTTCAACTTCCCACTTTCTGCAATGGACAGATCATCCAGACAGAAAATCAACAAAGAAACATTGGACTTAATCTGCATTGTAGAACAAATCGACCTAATAGATACTTATGAAACATTTCATCCAATGGCTGAAGAATATGCACTTTTCTCCTCAGCTCATGGGTATTTCTTAAGGATAGACCATATGTTAAGCCACAAAACAAGTCTGAAAAAAGTCAAAATAATTGAAATTATATTAAGTGTCTTATCTGGCCACATGAAATACAACTAGAAATCAATAACAAGAGGAATTTTGAAAATCATATCAACACATGGAAATTAAACAATATGCTCCTGAGTGCAAGTGGATCAATAAATAAATTAAGAAGGAAGTTTAAAAGTTTCTTGAAACAAATGATAATGGAAACACAACATATCAAAACCTACGGGATACAGCAAAAGAAGTACTAAGAGGTATATTTTTAGCTATAAGTGTCTACATCAAAAAAATAGAATAAACTGAAAGAAACAACCTCATGACACATCTTAAAGAACTAGAAAAGCAAGAGCAAACCAAACCCCAAATCAGCAGAAGAAAATAAATAATAAAGATTAGAGCAGGTGTGGATAGGAAGAATCAATATTGTGAAAATAGCCATACTGCCCAAAGTAATTCATAGATTCAATGCTATTCCCATCAAGCTACCAGTGGCTGTCTTCATAGAATTAGAAAAAACTACTTTAAATTTCATATGGAACCAAAAAAGAGCCCGTATAGCTAGGACAATCTTAAGCAAAAAGAACAAAGCTGGAGACATCATGCTACCTGGCTTCAGACGATAACCAAAAGTTACAGTAACTTAAGGTTACAGACCCCAAAACAGCATGGCACTGGTACCAAAGCAGATATATAGGCCAATGGAAAAGAACAGAGACCTCAGAAATAATACCACACATCTACAACCATCTGATCTTTGACAAACCTGGCAAAAACAAGCAATGGGGAAAGGATTCCCAATCTAATAAATGGTGCTGGAAAAACTGGCTAGCCACATGCAGAAAACAGAAACTGAACCCCTTCCTTACACCTTATACAAAAATTAACTCAAGATGGATAAAAGACATAAATGTAAAACCAAAAACCATAAAAACCCTAGAAGAAAACCTAGGCAATACCATTGAGGACATAGGCATGGGCAAGGACTTCATGACTAAAACACCAAAAGCAATTGCAACAAAAGCCAAAATTGACAAATGGGATCTAATCAAACTCAAGAGCTTCTGCACATCAAAAGAAACTATCATCAGAGTGAACAGTCAATCTACAGAATGGGAGAAAATTTTTGCAAGCTACCCATCTGACAAAGGCCTAATATCCAGAATGTACAAGGAACTTAAACAAATTTACCAGAAAAAACAACCCCATCAAAAAGTGGGCAAAGGATATCAACAGACGCTTCTCAAAAGACAACATTTATGTGGCCAGCAAACATGAAAAAAAGCTTATCATCACTGGTCATTAGACAAATGTAAATCAAAACCACAATGAGATACCATCTCATGCCAGTTAGAATGGTGATCATTAAAAAGTCTGGAAACAACAGATGCTGATGAGGATGGGGAGAAATAGGAAAACTTTTATACTGTTAGTGGGAGTGTAAATTAGTTCAACCATTGTGGAAGACAGTGTGGCAATTCCTCAAGGATCTGGAACCAGAAATACCATTTGACCCAGCAATCCCATTACTGGGTATGTACCCAAAGGATTATAAATCATTCTACTATAAAGACACATGCACACGTATGTTTATCGCAGCACTATTTACAGTAGTAGAGACTTGGAACCAACCCAAATGCCCATCAGTGATAGACTGGATAAAGAAAATGTGGCACACATACACCATGGAATACCATGCAGCCATAAAAATGGATGAGTTCATGTTCTTTGCAGGGACATGGATGAAGCTGGAAGCCATCATTCTTAGCAAACTAACACAGGAACAGAAAACCAAACACTGCATGTTCTCGCTCATAAGCGGGAGTTGAACAATGAGAACACATGGACACAGGGAGGGGAACATCACACACTGGGGCCTGTCGGGGGTTGGGGGAAGGGGGAGGGATAGCATTAAGACAAATACCTAATGCATGTGGGGCTTAAAACCTAGATGACGGGTTGATAGGTGCAGCAAACCACTGTGGCACATGTATACCTATGAAACAAACCTGCATGTTCTGCACATGTATCCCAGAACTTAAAATAAAAAAAAAATTAGAGCAGAAATAAATTAAAATAAAATAAATAACACAATACAGATGATCAATAAAATTAAAAGTTAGTTTTTGAAAAGATAAACAAAACTGACAAACATTTAGCCTAACTAAACAGAGAAGATCCAAATAAATCAGAGATTAAAAAGGAGACATTGTAACTGATACCACAGAAATTCAAAATGTCATTAGAGGCTACCATTAACAACTATATGCCAATAAGTTTGAAAACTTAGAAGAAATAGATTAATTACTAGACACGAATAGCATACCAAGGTTGAACCATGAAGAAATTTAAAACCTGAACAGAGTAATAAAAAATAATGGGATCAAAGCTATAATAAAAGGTCTTTCAGCAAAGACAAGCTCTGGACCTGATAGCTTCACTGCTGAATTTTATCAAAATTTAAGGAAGAACTAATGCCATTTTTATCATATTATTCAAAAAAAAAATACAGGTGGAGGGAATACTTCCAAACTCATTCTATGAGGCTAAAATTACCCTGATACCAAAATCAGACAAAGGCACATTAAAAAAAGAAACCTACAGGCTAATATCCCTGTTGAACATTGATGCAAAAATCTTCAACAAAATACTAGAAAACTGAATTCAACAACACATTAAAACAATGATTAATTATTACTAAGGGGAATTTATCCCACAGATGCAAGGATAGTCAAACATATGCATATTGGTTAGCATGATATATCATATTGACCAAATAAAGGACAATACCATGTGATCATATCCACTGATGCTGAAAAAGCATATGATAAACTTCAACATCCATTTCTGATAAAAAAAAAAAACCTCTCGAAAAACTGGGCATAGAAGAACATACCTCAACATGATAAAAGCCATAAACAACAGACTCATAGCTGGTATCATACAGAATGGAGAAAAAATGGAAAGTTTTCATCTAAGATCTGAAACACAAAAGATGCCCACTGTCATCTCTGTTATTCAACATAGCCCTTGAAGTCCTAGCTGGAGTAATCAGAGAAGAGAAAGAAATCAAGGACATTCAAATTGGAAAACTCGAAGTCAAATTATTCTTGTTTGCAGATGATATAATCTTATATTTGGAAAAATCTAAAGACCCCACCACAAAGCTATTAGAAACAAGAAATAAATTCAGTAAAGTTGCAGGATACAAATTCAGTGAAGCTGCAGGATACAAAATCAACAAATAAAATCAATAGCATTTCTATATGCCAATAAGGAACCATCTAAAAAAGACCAAGAAAGTCAACATGCTTACAATAGTTACAAATAAAATAAAATACCTAGAAATTAAGTTAATAAAAAGTGAAAAAACCCTCTGATGAAAACTTTAAAACATTAATGTAAGAAATTGAAGAGGATTAAAAATGGAAAGATATTCCATGTTCATGGATTGGACAAATCAATATTGTTGAAATGTCCATACTACCCAAAGCAATCTACCGATTCAATACAATCCCTATCAAAATACCAATGACATTTTCCGCAGAAATAGAAAAAACAATCCTAACATTTAAGTGGAACCAAAAAAGACCAAGAATAGTCGAAACTATCTGGAGTAAAAAGAACAAAACTGGAGGAACCACATTACGTGACTTCAAATTATACTACAGAGCTATAGTAGCCAAAACAGCATGGTACAGACATAAAAACATAGATCAGTGTATGCTTAGGTCAGTGTAACAGAATAGAGAACCCAGAGGTAAATCCAAACATCTATAGTCTACTTCTTTTTGAGAAAGGTGTCAAGAATGTGCATTGGGGAAAGGACAGTCTTTTCAATACATGGTGCTTGGGAAATGGAATATCCATATGCAGAAGAATGAAACTAGATCCTTATCTCTTACCATATACAAAAATAAAATCAAAATGGATTAAATTCTTAAATCTAAGACCTCAAACTATGAAACTGCTACAAGAAAAAATTGGGAAAATTCTCCAGGATATTGGACTGGGCAAGGATTTCTTTAGTAATACCCCAGACGCACAGGCAACCAAAGCAAAAGTGAACAAATGGGATTATATTAAGTTAAAAAAATCCTTCTGCAAATTCTTTGAAACCAAGGAGAACAAAGAGACAACATACCAGAATCTGTGGGTTGCAGCTAAAGCAGTGTTAAGAGGGAAATTTATAGCACTAAGTGCCCACATCAAAAAGCTAGAAAGATCTCAAATCAACACCCTAACATCACAACTAAAAGAACTGGAGAACCAAGAGCAAACAAACCCCAAAGCTAGCAGAAGACAAGATATAACCAAGATCAGAGTGCAACTGAAGGAGACAGCGATACAAAAAACAAAAAACAAAACAAAACAAAAAACAAAACAAAACAAAAAAACAAAATCATCAACAACAACAACACAAAACCCTTCAAAAAACTGATGAATCTAGAGGCTAGATTTTTGAAAAAATTAATAAAATATATAGACTGCTAGCTAGACTAATAAAGAAGAAAAGAGACAAGACTCAAATAGACACAATAAAAAATGGCAAAGTGGATATCACCACTGGCCCCATAGAAATACAAACTACCATCAGAGGATACAATAAACACCTCTATGTAAATAAACTAGAAAATTTAGAAGAAATAGATAAATTCCTGGACACATACACCCTCCTAAGACTGAACCAGGAAGAAGTTGAATCCCTGAATAGACCAATACGTTCTAAACTGAGGCAGTAATTAATAGCCTACTTACCAAAAAAAAAAAAAAAAAAAAAAAAAAAAAAAAAAGTCCAGGTCCACGTGGATTTATAGCTGAATTCTACCAGAGGTACAAAGGGGAGCTGGTACCATTTCTTCTGAAACTATTCCAAACAATTGAAAAGGAAGGACTCCTCCCTAATTTATTGTATGAGGCCAGCATCATGCTAACCTGGTAGGGATAAAAACCTGGCAGGAATACAACAATAAAAGAATACTTCAGGCCTATATCCTTGATGAACATTGGTGCAAAAATACTCAACAAAATACTGGCAAACTGAATCCAGCAGCACACAAAAAAGCTTATTAACCCCGATGAAGTCGGCTTCATCCCTAGATGCAAAGCTTGTTCAACATAAGCAAATCAGTAAATGTAATTTATCACATAAACAGAACTAAAGACAAAAACCACATGATTATCTCAATAGACACAGAAAAGGCCTTCAATAAAATTCAACATCCTTCATGTTAAAACTCTCAATAAACTAGGTCTTGAAGGAACATACCTTAAAATTATAAGAGCCATTTATGACAGACCCACAGACAATATCATTCTGAATGGGCAAAAGCTGGAAGCATTCCCCTTGAAAACTGGCACAAGACAAAGATGCCCTCTTTCACCATTCCTATTCAACATAGCATTGGAAGTTCTGGCCAGGGCGATCAGGAAAGAGAAAGAAATAAAGGGTATTTGAATCGGAAGAGAGGAAGTCAAGTTGTCTTCATTTGCAGATGACATGATCTTATATCTAGAAAGCCCTATTGACTCATCCCAAAAGCTTCTTAAGCTGATAAGCAACTTCAGCAAAGTCTCAGGATACAAAATCAATATGCAGAAATCACAAGCATTTCTATACACCAACAACAGACAAGCAGATAGCCAAATCATGAATAAACTCCCATTCACAATTGCTGCAAAGAGAATAAAATACCTAGGAATACAGCTAACAAGGAAAATGAAGGACCTCTTCAAGGTGAACTACAAACCACTGCTCAAGGAAATCAGAAAGGACACAAGCAGATGGAAAAACATTCCATCTTCATGGATAGGAAGAATCAATATCGTGAAAATGGCCATACTGCCCAAAGCAATTTATAGATTCAATACTATTTCCATTAAACTACCATTGACATTCTTCAAAGAATTAGAAAAATCTGTTTTAAAATTTATATGGAATGAAAAAAGAGCTCATATAGCTGGGACAATCCTAAATCTAGGCAACAGTATTCAGGACATAGGGATGGGCAAAGATTTCATGATGAAATCACCAAAAGCAACTGCAACAAAAAAAAAATTGGCCATAGGATCTAATTAAACTAAAGAGCTTCTGCACAGCAAAAAAAAAAAAAAAAAAAAACTGTATCATCAGAGTGAACAGGCAAGCTACAGAGTGGGAAAAATTTTTGCATCCTATCCATCTGACAAAGATGTAATATCCAGTCTATAAGGAACTTAAATTTACAAGGAAAAAACAAAAAAACTCCATTGAAAAGTGGGCAAAGGACATGAAGAGACACTTCTCAAAAGCATACGTTCATGTGGCTAACAAACATATGAAAAAAAGCTCAACATCACTGATCACTAGAGAAATGCAAATCAAAACCACAATAACATACCGTCTCACACCAATCAGAATGGCAAATATTAAAAAGTCAAGAAATAACATGCTGGCAAGGTTGAGGAGAAACAGTAATGCTTTTACACTGTTGGTGGGAAGGTAAATCAGTCTGACTACTGTGGAAGATGGTGTGGTGATTTCTCAAAGATCTAGAACGGAAATACCATTTGACCCAGCAATTCCATTACTGAGTATATACGCAAAGGAATATACATCATTCTATTACAAAGATACTTGCACACGTACATTCATTGCAGCACTATTCATAACAGCAAAGACATGGAATCAACCCAAATGCCCATCAATGATAGACTGGATAAAGAAAATGTGGTACATGTACACCACGAACTACTATGCAGCCATAAAAAAAATGCGATCATGTCCTCTGCAGGGACATGGATGAAGCTGGAAGCCATTATCCTCAGCAAACTAATGCAGGAACAGAAAACCAAACACTGCATGTTCTCACTTATAAGTGGGAGCTGAACAATGAGAACACATAGACACAGGGAGAGAAACAACACACACTGGGACCTGTTGGGGGTTGGGTGCAGGAAGAGAGAACATTAAGAAAAATAGCTAATGCATACTGGGCTTAATACCTAGGTGATGAGTTGATAGGTGCAGCAAATCACCATGGAACATGTTTACCTATGTAACAAACCTGCACATCCTGTACATGCACCCCAGCACAGTCATTGTCTTCATCTACTCCCTGATTTATTTTGGTCATTTGAAATATTTACAATATTTCTTTGTTGAATTTCTCACTTTGTTCCTCTTTTTTTTTTTTTTTCTTAGATGGAGTCTCGCTCTGTCACCAGGCTGGAGTGCAGTGGCACGATCTCAGCTCACTGCAATCTCCACCTCCCGGGTTGAAGTGATTCTCCTACCTCAGCCTCCCAAGTAGCTGGGACTACAGGCGTGCACCACCACGCCCAACTAATTTTTGTATTTTTAGTAGAGACAGGGTTTCACTATGTTGGCCAGAATGATCTCTATCTCTTGACCTCGTGATCTACCTGCCTCAGCCTCTCAAAGTGCTGGGATTACAGGTGAGAGCCACTGCGCCCGACCTGTTCATCCATTTTTATCTTGACTTATGTGTGCATTGTTATGGTAGCTGTTTCTAATTTGTTATCACTTTATTCATATACCTCTCTTTATGGTCAGTTTCTGGGGATTTTTTTGTTCCCTTTTGAGTCATGTTTCTCTGTTTCTTCATGTTCTTTGAAGCTTTGCATTGGTGTATGCACATTTGAAGAAACAGCTCCCTCTTCCTATCTTCCCAGACTAGCTTTTATAGGGAAAGACCTTCACCAATCAACCCAAATAGAGATTCTAGGGGCTTGTCAAACATTCTCTGTAAAGTGTCTTATCTGTATTTGTGTGTGCATATTTCTGATCAGAGAGATCTACTGGTTTCTGTTTTAAAATATCTTGTAATCTGGCTGCCCGTGGTGTCTGTCTGCTGTACTATGAGTTCTCTGATGCAGCAGGATGACAGTCAGATTTTTTTTATCATGTTTTATTCTTAAGATATCCAGAGTATCTGGAGTCCCATTGGCATCCCGGGTGGGAAAGACAAAAACACATTTCTTGGGCATCTCCCTGAAAAATTAGAATGTTGGACACATACTGCACTCCCTTCCCTCCCTCCTGAGGGAGAAACCTAAAATTGCCCATCTTATTTTTATTGCACTGAGCTGTACCAGTCACAGATTTTCTTTGTGCTCACCTTCTATTCAGTGACCCAAACATCCAAATATGCAAGTTCCATAAGTGCTCTGAGTGAGGTGAGACAAATACCAGTTCCTCACACAGTGTGTCAAAAGGCCCAGATGTGTATTGCTCCACTCCTTCCTTTTCTATGAGGGAGCGGTCATAGGCCAGGGTGTTCTCTCTTGGCACTGAGCTGAAACAACTTTGGGAAGGGGTTGTCATGGGTCAGGTGAAATTACTCTTCTTACCCATTTCAGTGCAACTGTTCTTGGGTTTGTGCTCATCTATTGTTTTACAACATCTTACCTCTATTTTGGAAATCTCATAGAGGTATTTGGATCCAATCATTGTTAAATCAATGTTTCTGTGGGGGGATTAATAGGTAGGACTTCCTATTTATGTTTTTTCTATGCTTGCGATCATGTCCTAGTATTTTAGAGGTTTTTATGTACCTTGATCTAAATTACATATCAAAATATGGAAATAATCATTGAGCTGTATATATTTGTGTACAAAATTCTCTTTGTAATTTACCTCATTAAAACTGGAAACAAACACGTTAAGAAACTTCAAGCCAAAGCATATACTGTAATTGAAGTTCTCTGCGTTGGTGTCCAGTGAAGAGCCTGATAGGGTGTTGCGATAAACAAAAACTATTGCATAAATTAATTCCGTGTCAGTCTTTTCACAACTCTTTTACTACATTCAAACACAGCAATTCTCTTTACGGCTTTCTCATCTTTTATGTGCAAATCTGTTTCCTAAACATGCTGTACTACTTGAAATGAGGACAAGATTCATGTCTCCAGTACTGTAACTTACCCTCAAACACTGCATGAAGCTTACCTCGTAAAGGACAGGAGGGAGATCCTTTTACATATGTTGGGCATGTGGAGCATTTCACACAGAGAAGGTTTTTTTTTTTGTGCTGCCTCCAGTTCTTTTTTCATGGTGGATTTCAAAATCTTCAACAATAGCAGAAACAATAAACTGTACAGTTGTCAGAAAAGAGTAGGCACTGTAGGCGCACTGGTCAACCCACAGATGAGAAGTGAGTTGACTGCACTTTCTGTCTGGTGGAAAATATAAGCCTTAAAATGCAATGATATGTGTAAAAATGATGTGAAAAGTGAATTAGGACGTTAAAGCAGCCTCCAGGAAATTATGTTTCAAGGATATTTTAGACAAGAGATCCAAGTGGCTACAGAGCATTGAAAAGGGTATGTATGTTAGAGAATCAGACCATGATGGGGACCGAATAAAGATTACAGTCCAAATGAAGGCCATATTGGATTATAGTCCAAAGCTCCATTTGGACCACATGGTCCCCAAAGGACGTGGACATTGGTTCTCAGCTCACTGCCCCTGGTGAAAAACAGCTTGCCTCAGAAAGGAGCAAAATTTCCTGAGAGAACTCATTTTGGTTCTTGGCTCAGAAATACTGAAGGTTGGGGAAGGAGGGGCTGCTTTCTCCCTAATCTCATGCTTCCATGAGGAATAACTCTCAAAAGAGACAATCCTGGCCCTTCTGTACATACCCTCAGCTACCCATAAAGAACTGAGTTACTTGATTGGTGAGTGTGGGAGAATGCCATAGGCATTCTCAAGTGCCCAGAACACTTTTAGAAAGAGATCATATTCAGGCCTGCTTTCTGGGCTGCACCCTATATTTACCAGGTTAGGTTTTGTACCTGTTAAAAAAACTGGGACAGGTAAGTTCAGTTATGGAATGAAGCATTAGAAATAATGTTGATGGTAGGTATTGAAAGTCACATCCTCTATTCCAGTCCTCACAGTAGTAAAACACCTAAAATTTTTTATCTTCATGGTCCTAACCACTTTAAATATCTCTGGGTTATATGTGATCTGGGCAGAGGAGATGTATGTTATTTACTGGACTCCCAGACCCATAAGACTGGAGTAATTAATGGATTGATATTGACATAATGTGGAGCAGCTTTAGGTTAGAGGGTTGTCTAGAACAGGTACATTAGGAAACCTGTGAGATGGAGGTTAAAACAGGACTAAGACCAGACCTTTATGAATAATCATTATAAAATAATAAATTCAAATTTAGGCAACATTAGGTATCCAGTCATGTATAAAATCCATTTTCCATACCAAGCTTCAATTGCATTTCATAAGCAATGCTCTCTTTTTTTCCCTGGGAAACTGATGGGATCATCAGTTGCCATTTAGTTTAATAATGCATCATTCTTTTTTGATTCCAATGCTCTTTTATTTGTTTTTTGTTTTTTACTTTCCAACTTTTAGGCTCGGGGCACATGTGCAGGTTTGTTACATGGATAAATTGTGTTTCATGGGGGTTTGGTGTGTAGATGATTTCATCACCAAGTTAATAAGCACAGTACCCAATAAGTAGTTTTTTTGATCCTCACCTTCTTACCTCCTTACATCTTCCACCCCCAAGTAGGCTCTGGTGTCTATTGTTCTCTTGTTTGTGTGTATGTATACAAATCTCCATTTGGACCAATGTTTAGCTCCTATATATAAGTGAGAACATGTGGTATTTAGTTTTCTTTTCCTGCATTAATTGGCTTAGGATAATGAACTCCATCTCTATCCATGTTGCTGCAAAGGACATGACCTCTTTTTTTGGCTGCTTAGTATTCCATGGTGTATATGCATTACATTTCCTTTATCCAGTCCACTGTTGATGGGCATTTAGGTTGATTCCATGTCTTTGTTATTATGAAAAATGCTGTGATGAACCTACATATGCATGTGCCTTTATGACAGAAAAATTTGCATTTTGAGGGGTATACACCCAGTAGTAGATTGCTGGGTCGAATGGTAATTTTATTTTCAGTTATTTGAGAAATCTCCACACTGCTTTCCACAGTGTCTGAACTAATTTACATTTCCATCAAAAGTTTTTAAGTGTTCCCTTTTTTCTGCAGTCTCACCAGCATCTGTTATTTTTTGACTTTTAAATAATTGCTATTCTGACAGGTGTGAGATGGTATCTTATCGTGGTTTTGATTTGATTTATCTAATGATTAGTGATGTTGAGCATTTTTTTCATATGCTTGTTGGCTGTGTGTATGTCTTTTTTTGAGAAGTGTTTGTTTGGCCGGGCACGATGGCTTACGCTTGTAATCCCAGCACTTTGGGAGGCCAAGGCAGGTGGATCACTTGAGGTCAGGAGTTTGAGACCAGCCTGGCCAACATGGTGAAACCCCATCTGTACTAAAAATACAAAAATTAGTCAGGTATGATGTCTCAAGCCTGTAATCCCAGCTCTTCAGAAGGCTGAGGCAGGAGAATCGCTTGAACCCTGGAGGTGGAGGCTGCAGTGAGCCAAGATCATGCCACTGCACTCCAGCCTGGGTGACAGAGTGAGACTCCATCTCAAAAACAAAACAAAACAAAACAAAAACAACTGTTTGTTCATGTGCTTTGGCCATTTTTTATGGGCTGTCTGTTCTTTTTTAATTTGTTCATGTGCCTTATAGATTGTGAATATTAGGCCTTTGTTGGATGAACAGTTTGCAAATATTTTCTCCCATTCTATAGGTTTTCTGTTTACACTCTTCTTTATTTACTCTGTTGAAAACTTTTGTGGAAAAGCTCTTTAGTTTATTTGGTCCCATTTGTCAACTTTTGTTTTTGTGGCAATTGCTTTTGGAGTCTTTGTCATGAGACCTTTGTCAGGGCCTTTGTCCAGAATGGTATCTTCTATGTTTTCTTCTAGGATTTTTATAGTTTTAGGTCTTAAACTTAAGTCTTTATCTTGACTTGAGTTTTGTATATGGTGAAAGGAAGGGGTTCAGTTTCAATCTTCTGCATATGGATAGTCAGTTATCACACCATTGACTGAATAGGGAATCCTTTCCCCATTGCTTGTTTTTGTCGACTTCATTGATGAACAGATGGTTGTAGAGGTATGGCATTATTTCTCAGTGCTCTAGCCTATTCTATTGGTCTACCTTTCTGTCTTTGTACCAGTACCATGCTGTTTTGGTTACTGTGTTCTCGTAGTATGGTTCAAAGTCAGATAGTGTGATGCCTACAGCTTTGTTCATTTTGCTTTGGATTGCTTTGGTTATTCAAACTCTTTTTTTTTGTTCCATATGAATTTTAGAATAGTTTTCTCTAATTCTATAAAAAATGTCTTTGGTAGTTTGATAGGAACAGGATTCAGTCTGTAAATTGCTTTGGGTGTATGGCCATTTAAACAATATTGATTCTTCATATCCATGAGCATGGAATGTTTTTGCATTTGTTTGTGGTCATCTCTGCTTTCTTTCATCATTGCTTTGTAGTTCTCATTGTAGAACTCTTGCCTCCCTAGCTAGCTATATTCTTAGGTATTTTATTATTTTGTGTTTATTGCGAATGAGATTACATTCTTGATTTGGCTCTCAGCTTTAACGATGTCAGCGTATAGAAATGCTACTGATTTTTGTACATTGATTTTGTATCCTGAAACTTTGCTAAAATTGTTTACCAGATCAAGGAGCTTTTGGGCTACAACTACAGGGATTTGTATGTATAAGATCATATTGTATGTGAAGAGAGATATTTTGACTTCCTCTCTTCCTATTTTGTGGCCTTTTCTTTCTTTTGTCTAATTACTCTGGCTAGGACTTTGAGTACTATGCTTAATAGAATTGGTGAGTGTGGACATCCTTGTCTTGCCTGGTTCTCAAGGGGACTGCTTCCAGGTTTTGTGTATTCAGTATGATCTTGGCTTGGGTTTGTCAATAGATAGCTCTCATTATTTTGAGGTATGCTCCTTCGATGCCTAGTTTGTTGAGGGTTTGTAATATGAACGATGTTGAATTTTATTAAAAGCCTTTTCTCTGTCTATTGGGTTGATAATGTGTTTTTTGTTTTTAGTCTGGTTTTTCTTTTTTTAAAATTTTTTTCTCTGCCAGGTTTTGGTATTAGAATGAATCTAGTCTTGTAGAATGAGTTAGGAGTCTCCCTGCCTCAATTTTCTGGAATAATTTCAGTAGGATTGGTACAAGCTCTTCTTTACATGTCTGGTAGAATTTAGCTGTGAATCCATGTGGCCCAGGGATTTTTCTAGTTGACTGGCTTTTTATTACTGATTCAGTTTGGAAACTTGTTATTGGTTTATACAGGGTTTCAATTTATTTCTGATTCAATATTGGGAGTTTGAATGTTTACAAGAATTATCTATTTCTTCCAGGTTTTCTAGTTTCTGCGCATAGAGGCGTTTGTAATAGTCTCTGAGTGTTTTTTGTATTTCTGTGTTGTTGGTGGTAATGTCACCTTTGTCATTTCTAATTGCATTTATTTGAATCCGCTCTCTTTTTTTCTTTATTAGTTTAAGAAAGTCTATCCATCTAATGTGTTCTTTCAAATTACCAATCTTTGGTTTTGTTGATATGTATCTTTTTTACATCTCAATTTCACTCAGTTCAGCTTTGAATTGGTTACTTCTTCTTTTCTGCTAGCTTTGGGTTTTGTTTGCTCTTCTTTTTCTAGTTCCAATAGGTTTGAGGTTAGGTTGTTAATTTGAGATCTCTCAAACTTTGTGATGTGGGGATTTAGTGCTATAAGTTTCCTTCTTAACATGTGTTTAGCTGTGTCCCAGAGATTCTGGTATGTTATATCTTTGTTTTCACTAGTTTGAAAGGTTTTCTTGATTTCTGCCTTAATTTCTTTATTTATCCGGAAGTCATTCAAGAGAAGGTTGTTTAATTTCCATGTAATTTTATGATTTTGGGAGATCTTCTTCATATTGATCTCTCTTTTATTGTGTTGTGGTCCAGGAGTGTGGTTGGTTTACTTTCTTTCTTTCTTTCTTTTTGAATTTGCTGAGGATTGTTTTATGGCTGATGTGTGGTCAATTTGAGAGCATGTGTCATGTGCAGAGGAGAATAACGTATATTCTGCTGTTGTTGGGTGGAGTGTTCCTTAGATATCTGTTAGGTCCATTTGGTCAAGTGTTGAGTTTAGTTCCTGAACATCTTTGTTAGTTTTCTGTGTCTATAATCTGTCTAACACTGCCAGTGGGGTGTTGAATTCTCCAACTATCATTGTATGATTTATCTAAGTCTCTTTGTAGATTTCTAAGAACTCGTTGTATGAATCTTCGTGCTCCAGTGTTGGGTGCATATATATTTAAGATAGTTAAATCTTATTGAATTGAACCCTGGATCATTATGTAATTCTCCTTTTGCCTTTTTTGATCACTGTTGGTTTAACATCTGTTTTATCTGAAATTAGAATTGCATCCCTTGCTCTTTTTTTGTTTTCCATTTGCTTGTTAGATTTTTCTTTATCCTTTCACTTTGAGCCTATAGGTGTCACTGCATGTGAGTGTCTCTGGAAGTCAGTATACAATTGGGTGTATTTTTTTTTTTAATCCAACTTGTCACTCTGTGTCTTTTAAGTGTGATGTTTTACATTTAAGGTTAATATTAATATGTAAGGATATTAAGAGGCTTGCTCTTAATCCTCTCCTTTTTCAATAAAATGGGAGAAAATGTATTTTTATTGTTCCAAGTAGCATTCTTTCCTTTCCCATATCATTTCCAATATTTGGATTTAAATCTGTCCATTGATATTCTCTGTCATAGCAAAAGCTTCATTCAGGTAGTTACCTTGACTTATTCTGTTATTCATGATCTAGTATCATTTGTGCATACCACATTTTAAGATTAATACTTTATATATGTGTATAACATGGATAATATTTAACTTAAAGATCCATGACAACATTTATCTTTAAGATCTGGGGTGGATTAAAATGAGAAAGACTTCTCACAGGCATTTCCACTTAGTCATGCTTTAGGAACTTATAGTAAGTAAGTATAATGAAACTCCAGACAAATAGGGATTTGGATTGATATGGGCACTGCAGTATTTCCAGGGAAGAATGGAATCTGGCATAGGTAGTGCCTCACTAAATGTATCATAAATGGAAGAATGTATGATTGAATGAACAAATAAGTGAACTCTTTATGTTGTATTCTATTTGCTCACTAACCCTTCCTCTGGCTTTACTACCCTGAAAGAGACCCACAGAATAATAAATGGGAAGGAATGAACTAGTTTTGGTTACTCCTATTACACAGTTAGAATGAGTTCAATGCAAAATCTTTACAATAGTTAATACTTTGTGCCTCTGCCTCCATTGAGTAAAATATCTGTGTCTCATCCTTTTGGCAACAGCATATTCCCCTTCAATGTTAACCCAAACAATATTGAAGCCCATTAAAAATGATAGTGAGGTGATACAGCCCATAACCATACCTGTGTTTCTTTCCTTTTTTTACCTTATGGACACTGCTACTGCTAAGTATTGATGACAAGTTATGTCTTCCCTACATCCCATATCTAGCTCCCATCCAGCTCACCTCCAGGGTTAGGGTGTCTCTGGCATTCTTCATTCCACTCCTGTGTGCAGCTTTTCTAAGTTCCTTTAAGCCTTCCTCTGGTTTATTGTTGATAATGAGCCACCGAGCAGACTCTAGCAGCCAACTGACCAAGGAAGAGAACAGAGGGGCAGTCGACTTTCACTTCCTCATTTCTTACATTAGTTTTTTCTTAAGATGTCTTCTCCCTCCAAGCTAATATCCACCACTTGTTTGGTTTTACCAGGAAATGTAAACTCACATTCTCTTTGACTATAACTAGAAAAATGTGAGATGACTCCTCCATCCAGTACATATTCACTGTTGGGAATGCAGACTTGGAATCATACTGGCTCCTCTCTTACTTGGCAAATTTACCTTGGAGCTCCTGACACTGCAGCATGAAGGACCGTCACTTGTACAGATAGATCCCTGCCAAGGTCCTAGTGAGGTCATGACTTATGTCTATTCTTAATGTGTTCTTTTCCCTAAAATAAAGTCCCTCAAATAATTTATGCATGCTTAAGGCCTCATACAACTAGAATCACTCCTGGTCATATCATCTGTGAATAAACTGGACATATTAACAAGTTACTTACCTAAATATTCCTCAGTGTTCTCATCTATGTAATGGAGAGAATATTACCTTGTAGGGCTGTTATGGAGATAAGATAAATGAATGGATGAGCCTGACAGGGAGTTTGCTTACTTTTCTATCTGAACTCTTCTCTCTGTATTAAATCTGTAATCATCTCTCTAAGGTAAAGTCCAAATAGATGTCTTTCACTGAACTGGCTTTTTTAAGGGGAGAGTATAGTTAACCGACTATAAGTATTTGCAAAGCTGATAGAAGGAAGATGGAATACTGACAAATGAGGTAAATTATCCATTTTGCCTTAATATTTTAATTGAAGAAACCATGCAGCTCTTTCTTTAGATAGTTATGAAAGTAAATTTGCTACACCTTCTTTTCATCCAATATCACCTATAATAATTAAGAAAAAAAATCCCAAACTTCTCCATCATGTATTTTTTTCCAAGGATATATATAAAAACATAGACTACCATGGAAGATAGCTCCTCAAATGTTTTCCTGTATTGGGGAAAACATTTTTGTAATAATTCTGTTTCCATAATACTTGTTAAGGCGAGGATATCCAAGGACACTAAGAAGTCTCAGGCAATGATTCATTGCTATTCCCCATGTCATGGGTTGCTGGTTTTAGCAAATGAAAACACAGTGGCATGGATGCATTTGAATTTCTATTAAGCAGGAAAATGTTTTAGTATAAGCATGTCTCATGCAATATTTTGGACATAATTATATTAAAAATTATTCATCCCTTATCTGAAATTTGAATTTAATGGGACTTCCTATGTTTTATTCATTTAAATAAAAGAACTCTCAGGTGAATGAAATTTCATATAAACAATAAATGATCTTGAGTAAATTATGTCTCTTACAATATTTGAGATATAATTTTAGAGAAATATTTGTTGGTTACCTTATGTTGAAATTTCATTGATTGCCCTCAGTTTTATCAGGAAACTCTATGTGTTCTGCTTCTTGTATTGCACATCAAGCACAGATTATGAGAGGACGTGCTCTCAGGTTTACACAAAGAACAAAAAGAAATTCAGGTGTCCTAGTTCCACATACATTCTCATTCCAATATCTCATTAAGACAAAAGAAGAAACAAACTCATACCTTGAGGTCAGAAAGATCACAAAGTATGGTACAGACACCACCAGCTGGAGGATATGCCAGTCTCGAATGGCAAAAGCCAGGCCTGCCAGGGTCATAAATGCAATACCAGAAGGGCACATTCCCAATGTAATTCCCATGGCCTGGAATCTGTGTGTTGCCCACTCGGCTACTGGAAGAAAAAACAGATAAGGCTTTGACTTCAAAGGTGGAGTTTCAATTTCAAAGTCACAGTTTGGAAAATGTGGATCCAAAGTGTTGGCTTACTTAACATAATAGTATTTGTTATGAGGCTCATTGCAGCAATCCCAGACAAGAAGCGTAGTGAGCAGTAAATGAGGAAGGTGGGAGCCAAGGCTGCACAGGTGCCAACAATGGCAACCTGGAGGTAACACCATCTGAGCACGAACCTTCTCCCAAACCTGAGAAACAGAAACAGGTTAGATAATGGGAACAATAACAACAAGTGGAAAAACTTAGCAAAGAGAAGGCACACTTTGAAACTTAAAAGATGTTTAACAAGTGAAACTTTGCATTTGAAGCCTTAAAGAATCAGTAATCAATGGCAGATCTCAGACACAATGTTCCCTGTTTCTAAATAAATACCAAGTAGATCAAAGCTTATTTTCCAATCTCTTAGCAGTATATTTTTGACACCAATTGAAACCACATAAGACAGGGTGGAATATTGGACATTTTAAAGTATCAGAAGTCCCTTGTACTAACACACAGCGTACTAATAACACAATGTGTCTCCCATGTACTTTAGCATAGTAGAGAGCCTGAGCAGGGCATAGCCTATAAGACATCTAAATCTAGATGTAGAAGTCTAGGACAGTGCAGGCTATGGGTATACTGATGTGAAAGGAACATCCATAGAACAATACATCAAAGTTGTTGAAGTGTTGCAGGGGAGGGCAAAAAAAAAAAGAAAAAAAAAAAGGAAAAAAAAGAAAAAGGGAATTTAGTGTTTTACTGTTTTCTGGGAAAGGAGTCCTCTCTGTAGACAACTGGAACAATATAGCCTGTGGTGAGGCAGGATTTCAGCTCTCACCAATGTCATTGGCATTGTATCAAAGGTTTTAGCTACTGCTAGAAAGAGATTAAAAGGAAAAAGTAGAACATTAGTGATTTGAACTATTCCACCTTGCAGATGATATGATCAAGTTGGGAAATTTTAAGGAATCCATAAATAGCTACTAGAACTAATAAATTTATCCTGTTGGCAGGATGTAAGTTTACTATGAAAAAGTTAATTATCTTTACATATATGTACATAATTTACATGTAAATTATCTTTACATATGAATTAGAAATAAATTAATAAAAAGTACATGACTTTTATCATAAACTATAAAATATTGCAAAGGGAAATTAAACAAAAGTCTACCTTAATTAAAAGCAATATTATATTTATAGATCAGAAAATTCAGTATTTAAAAAATGTCAGTCTTACCCAAACTGCTGTTTAGATTTAATGCAATTCCAATAGAAATCTAAAGGAAATTAGATTTCTCCCTTTTCTCACATCATAATGTAGTTCCTTGTTTTTGACTTTTACATTGGTGGAACACTATAGTATGTAATCTTTTTGTTGGTCTTGTGGTACCTAACCAAATGGTTTTGATGTTAATTCACCTTATTGCAGACAGTACTTTATTCATTCCCTTTGCTGTAAAAATTCATTATGTGAATATCTGCTTATTTATTAACCTATTATTAATGAAATTATAGATTATTTCCGATTTTAAGATATCATAAACAGTTGAGTGAGTTATTCCAAAACAATCAGTTTGATCATAGCCTACTCTGCATATAATCACATAATATTTCCTCTTAGGTTTGTGAGAAATACCAAAATCCTTAGGTTATCTTGTCCCTTCGTCTTTAGCTGATTCTCCACTGTCATCTCCTGCCTGGCATCTCCTACCCCTTCTTTTACCACCCTGTGATCTATTAAAATTGGTCTATCTGCATTTTCCCAGGACAGTATCACAGAGGACTGGGTGACTAACTATTGGAAATTAACCCTCTGACTCTTAGCTCATTCTACATTCCATTTCCTGTCGTACATTCAAGGTTCAAATTTTCAGGTGAGACACCAGAAGACATGATGTTGGTGGATGGCAAGTGGCACTTCAAGTCCCTCATCGCCATCAGGGGAGACATGGTTGGGTGAAGGTAATTGTTCCCTGCCATGTCAGGAGACATACAGCAAGGTGAATACCCCAAACTTCTCACACCACAGACTGAGATAGTATTATCCTTGGATTACTTACCTCACATGGTTCTAAAAAGCTGTTTTTGCAAAGACAATAATCAAGTTTCTACACATAATTTTTCAACACACCACCAATGATACCTTCAAATATACCCTACAGGTTTTAGAGGAATGCGTGTTCATCACACTTGGAACTATGATGTAATGACAATTCTCTGGGCACAAGCTATCAGCTCACAGTGTCCAGGTAGGACTGGACCTGGTACTCCTGGCCAAGGCTGAATCCTATGTGATGAAACGTCTTCCTTTCTATTCCCTTAGTTAACTCTTTCTCATATTTCTAAACCACATGTTGTGGTACCTTCTCTCTAAAACCTGTCTTGAAACACCCCCAGTTCACATGGAGATATCATTTCTGTGTCCTGCATACAGAGCTCAAATTTTAAAAATAGCACTCAAAACACGGACTAAAAATTTCCTTTTCTGTTTGGGGATCAGGGCAGCCTCAGGAGAATGTAATTTGCAGTAAGTAATTCTAGATGAAATAATGTTTCATAAGTTGATAAAAAATGCCCTTAAAGAGAGCTGTGTTCCATACACACTCACCTGTCTGATAAATGACCGCCTAGGATGCCTCCCACCATCATTCCAGCCATGAATACAAATTTAGCCACTGAAGTCAGTGATTGAGAGTCACATACCAGATCCCACTGGAAGAGAAGGAAGCCAGCACATCAATGCTTATTACCCCTCAGTGTAACTTGATCAAAACTTCTTAGCATGATCTGCAAGTTTCCTAATATTAAGTCTCTAACTTCCTCTGTGGCTTCCTTTCTCAGCATTACCTGACCTTTGTTATTCAGGTCTCAACTTAAACATAACTTTCTCTTGGAAGACTTTCCTAAACCTATAGGTTTTTATTTCATACTAAATGGTTCTCAAACATGACCACATGGTGCAATCACTTGAAGACCTTTAAAAACTTTTAGAAACCTAAATTTCCCTCTTAGACCTTCTCATATGATTGTTTTAGGGTATACTCTGGGCATGGAGGCTTTTCTCAATTTCCCAGATATTTCTAATTTGCAATGACAGGCTGAGCATCACTGACCTAGCAGAACATTTTAACATATTATATATAAATGCTTGTTTAAACTTTGGTCTCCCTGTGACTTAAAGCATTATAATAGCAGGATGCCTTCTACTTTGGAATTCATTACTCAAAATGTGTAGGTGTCAGACATTTAATAAAGAAGCAATTAGTATTTGCTGAAAGAATGAAGACTAAGGACCTACATGTGACTGAAGGCTGGAAGCATGATTATTACTTGTGTTATTCTAAACACCCAGGTCACATACTCATGAGACGAGAACAGAGCCTCTTACCTCAGTCACGATGGTGGATGAGAAGGAGATTCTGTCATACACCCAGCCATCCACACAGGGCTCCATGTCTGCGTCACTTGTGTTGGGGAAGGTCCCATTCAGGTGAAGGAGCTGCCACTGAGGATGAACAAAGCGACGACACTTCTCTGGCCTCATGTTTGAGTCCAGTGGGATGGAGATTCTCAAGAGTGCATCTTGGCTGAGGGCCCCAGTGTCATTGTCAGAGACAGTGTCATTGTCCAGGATGTGGACCCAGCAGCGATGGCCAGGTATGAATGCAGTGAAGTTCTCCAGCATAAAATGAAGGTATGTAGCAACAGCAAAGATTGAGAGAAAAACAGTCTGAAGGATCTGGAATCTCCACAGGTCACCAGCGTGACCCAGGAGGTCCTGAAAGGCCATTGAGGTTGAACAGTTGATCCTCAAGTAGAGGCAAAATGACTGTATCCAGAGAGGTTCAAAGAGGGAAAATGTTTTCTTTCCCTAAGTCACACTAAATGTGTTTTGATCCTGACCCCACTCTCTTCTTGACGACTGTGCTTCCCCTCTGCAGCAGGACCGTGGAAACAGTTTCCTCAAGTCGTTTTGGGGTCAGATAGGTAGCCGTTTTCTCTAAAGTCACGTAAGAAATAATTTGCTCAGATACTCCCAGTCGTTTACAATGAAATGTGTTTAAAATTCTACTTTTTCATGTCTTTAGTAGCTCCCAAAGTCAGCACTGGACTTTGGTCTACACTTTTCTGTAAACAAACTAAAATAAACCTGCTACATGGTATGCGGTCATTCCAGGAAGCATAATTTTGGCGACTCAAAGGTGAGGTGCTTTTTTTACTTCTCTGAAAACAACAGAAGGCAAGTTTTTCCTTGTTAAGTACCAATTTTTGATTAAGAGTTAATCTAAAAAAGTCGAAGTTAAACTAAAATAAGGGTACTGTGGTACAATCCTTTCATTTTGGTGACTGATGTTCTCCTTCATGTCAAATCACACCACAAATTCATGCTGGAAATACATTGCTTGAAATGTGGACAGAATAGATGGTGATGAAAAGCAGAGGAGTAAGCTCATATGGAGGTTTACTTTTACTGGCTTATTGATTTTTCAGATAGTATTTGTGAAGACCTTTTCCATGCTAGTTCCTAAAGTAACGTGTGTGACAAGTTCAAGGATCTTATAGTTGAGTAAGTAAGAGAGAGTACATAAACAATTGCACTCCAACATTATAAATATTATGTGAGATGCACTATGTGCTGTGGAAGAATTGGAGGCAAAATATGGGAGAAAATGTCACCTTGATTAGGACTAAAATTTCTATTAAAATTTAAACCTCCTTGAAGTATAATTCATTTACCATACAATTTACCCTTTTAAAGTATACAATTGAATGTGTTTTGATCATTCAAAGAGTTGTGCAATCATCACTACTATATCGTTACAGAGCATTTTAATCACCACATAGGAAACCATACCCATTAGCAGTAACTCTCCATTTTTATTCACACATCCCACTTAGCAACCGCTAATTTACTTTCTGATTCTAAGGATTTGCCTATTGTGGACATTTGATTTATACATTGAATCATAAAATACTTGACTTTGTATATCTGGCTTAATTCATTTAACATAATGTTTCTTTTTCTTTTTTTTAAATTATACTTCAAGTTTTAGGGTACATGTACACAACGTGCAGGTTTGTTACATATGTATACATGTGCCATATTGGTGTGCTGCACCCATTAACTCATCATTTAGCATTAGGTATATCTCCTAATGCTATCCCTCCCCCCTACCCCCACCTAACAACAGTCCCTGGTGTGTGATGTTCCCCTTCCTGTGTCCATGTGTTCTCATTGTTCAATTCCCACCTATGAGTGAGAACATGTGGTGTTTGGTTTTTTGTCCTTGCGATAGGTTGCTGAGAATGATGGTTTCCAGCTTCATCCATGTCCCTACAAAGGATGTGAACTCATCATTTTTTATGGCTGCATAGTATTCCATGGTATATATGTGCCACATTTTCTTTTTTTTAAAATTATACTTTAAGTTTTAGGGTACATGTGCACAACGTGCAGATTAGTTACATATGTATACATGTGCCATGTTGGTGTGCTGCACCCATTAATTCGTCATTTAACATTAGGTATATCTCCTAATGCTATCCCTCCCCTGTCTCCCCACCCCACAACTGGCCCCGGTGTGTGATGTTCCCCTTCCTGTGTCCATGTGTTCTCATTGTTCAATTCCAACCTATGAGTGAGAACATGCGGTGTTTGGTTTTTTGTCCTTGCAATAGTTTGCTGAGAATAATGGTTTCCAGCTTCATCCATGTCCCTACAAATGACACGAACTCATCCTTTTTTATGGCTGCATAGTATTCCATGGTGTATATGTGCCACATTTTCTTAATCCAGTCTATCATTGTTGGACATTTGGGTTGGTTCCAAGTCTTTGCTATTGTAAATAGTGCTGCAATAAGCATACATGTGCATGTGTTTTTATAGCAACATGATTTATAATCCTTTGGGTATATATTCAGTAATGGGATGGCTGGGACAAATGGTATTTCTAGTTCTAGATCCCTGAGGAATCACCACACTGACTTCCACAGTGGTTGAACTAGTTTACAGTCCCACCAACAGTGTAAAAGTGTTCCTATTTCTCCACATCCTCTCCAGCACCTATTGTTTCCTGACTTCTTAATGATGGCCATTCTAACTGGTGTGAGATGGTATCTCACTGTGGTTTTGATTTGCATTTCTCTGACGGCCAGTGATGATGAGCATTTTTTTCATGTGTCTTTTGGCTGCATAAATGTCTTCTTTTGAGAAGTGTCTGTTCATATCCTTCACCCACTTGTTGATGGGGTTATTTGTTTTTTTCTTGTAAATTTGTTTGAGTTCATTGTAGATTCTGGATATTAACCCTTTGTCAGATGAGTAGGTTGTGAAAATTTTCTCCCATTCTGTAGGTTGCCTGTTCACTCTGATGGTAATTTCTTTTGCTGTGCAGAAGCTCTTTAGTTTAATTAGATCCCATTTGTCAATTTTGGCTTTTGTTGCCATTGCTTTTGGTGTTTTAGACATGAAGTCCTTGCCCATGCGTATGTCCTGAATGGTATTGCCTAGGTTTTCTTCTAGGGTTTTTAAGGTTTTAGGTCTGACATGTAAGTCTTTAATCCATCTTGAATTGATTTTTGTATAAGGTGTAAGGAAGGGATCCAGTTTCAGCTTTCTACATATGGCTAGCCAGTTTTCCTAGCACCGTTTATTAAATAGGGAATCCTTTCCCCATTTCTTGTTTTTGTCAGGTTTGTCAAAGATCGGATAGTTGTAGATATGTGGCATTATTTCTGAGGGCTCTGTTCTGTTCCATTGGTCTATATCTCTGTTTTGGTACCAGTACCATGCTGTTTTGGTTACTGTAGCCTTGTAGTATAGTTTGAAGTCAGGTAACGTGTTGCCTCCAGCTTTGTTCTTTTGGCTTAGGATTGACTTGGCAATGCGGGCTCCTTTTTGGTTCCATATGAACTTTAAAGTAGTTTTTTCCAATTGTGTGAAGAAAGGCATTGGTAGCCTGATGGGGATGGCATGGAATCTGTAAATTACCTTGGGCAGTATGGCCATTTTCACGATGTTGATTTTTCCTACCCATGAGCATGGAATGTTCTTCCATTTCTTTGTATCCTCTTTGATTTCATTGAGCAGTGGTTTGTAGTTCTCCTTGAAGAGGTCCTCCACATCCCTTGTAAGTTGGATTCCTAGTATTTTATTCTCTTTGAAGCAATTGTGAATGGGGGTTCACTCATGATTTGGCTCTCTGTTTGTCTGTTATTGGTGTATAAGAATCCTTGTGATTTTTGCACATTGATTTTGTATCCTGAGACTTTGCTGAAGTTGCTTATCAGCTTCAGAAGATTTTGGGCTGAGGTGATGGGGTTTTCTAGATATAAAATCATGTCATCTGCAAACAGGGCAATTTGACTTCCTCTTTTCCTAATTGAATACCCTTTATTTCCTTCTCCTGCCTGATTGCCCTGGCCAGAACTTCCAACACTATGTTGAATAGGAGTGGTGAGAGAGGGCATCCCTGTCGTGTGTCAGTTTTCAAAGAGAATGCTTCCAGTTTTTGCCCATTCAGTATGATATTGGCTGTGGGTCTGTCACAGATAGCTCTTATTATTTTGAGACATGTCCCATCAACACGTAATTTATTGAGAGTTTTTAGCATGTAGGGCTGTTGAATTTTGTCAAATGCCTTTTCTGCATCTATTGAGATAATCATGTGGTTTTTGTCTTTGGTTCTGTTTATATGCTGGATTATGTTTATTGATTTGCGTATGTTGAACCAGCCTTGCATCCCAGGGATGAAGCCCACTTGATCATGGTGGACAAGCTTTTTGATGTGCTGCTGGATTCGGTTTGCCAGTATTTTATTGAGGATTTTTGCAAGAGAGTCAAGACCCATCAGCGTGCTGTATTCAGGAAACCCATCTCACATGCAGAGACACACATAGGCTCAAAATAAAGGGATGGAGGAAGATCTACCAAGCAAATGGAAAACAAAAAAAGGCAGGGGTTGCAATCCTAGTCTCTGATAAAACAGACTTTAAACCAACAAAGATCAAAAGAGACAAAGAAGGCCATTACATAATGGTAAAGGGATCAATTCAACAAGAAGAGCTAACTATCCTAAATATATATGCACCCAATACAGGAGGACCCAGATTCATAAAGCAAGTCCTTACAGACCTAGAAAGAGACTTAGACTCCCACACAATAATAATGGGAGACTTTAACACCCCACTGTCAACACTAGACACATCAATGAGACAGAAAGTTAACAAGGATATCCAGGAATTGAACTCAGCTCTGCACCAAGTGGACCTAATAGACATCTACAGAACTCTCCACCCCAAATCAACAGAATATACATTCTTCTCAGCAGCACACCGCACTTATTCCAAAATTGACCACATAGTTGGAAGTAAAGCACTCCTCAGCAAATGTAAAAGAACAGAAATTATAACAAACTGTCTCTCAGGCCACAGTTCAATCAAACTAGAACTCAGGATTAAGAAACTCACTCAAAACCACTCAACTACATGGAAACGGAACAACCTGCTCCTGAATAACTACTGGGTACATAACAAAATGAAGGCAGAAATAAAGATGGTCTTTGAAACCAACAAGAACAAAGACACAACATACCAGAATCTGTGGGACACATTGAAAGCAGTGTGTAGAGGGAAATTTATAGCACTAAATGCCCACAAGAGAAAGCAGGAAAGATCTAAAATTTATACCCTAACTTCACAATTAAAAGAACTAGAAAAGCAAGAGCAAACACATTCAAAAGCTAGCAGAAGGCAAGAAATAACTAAGATCAGAGCAGAACTGAAGGAGATAGAGACACAAAAAACCCTTCAAAAAAATCAATGAATCCAGGAGCTGGTTTTTTGAAAAGATCAACAAAATTGATAGACCACTAGCAAGACTAATAAAGAAGAAAAAAGAGAAGAATCAAATAGACACAATAAAGAATGATAAAGGGGATATCACCACCAATCCCACAGAAATACAAACTACCATCAGAGAATACTATAAACACCTGTACACAAATAAACTAGAAAATCTAGAAGAAATGGATAAATTCCTCGACACATACACCCTCCCCAGACTAAACCAGGAAGAAGTTGAATCTCTGAATAGACGAAACACAGGCTCTGAAATTGAGGCTATAATTAACAGCTTACCAACCAAAAAAAGTCCAGGACCAGATGGATTCACAGCTGAATTCTACCAGAGGTACAAGGAGGAGCTGGTACCATTCCTTCTGAAACTATTCCAATGAATAGAAAAAGAGGGAATTCTCCCTAACTCATTTTATGAGGCCAGCATCATCCTGATACCAAAGCCTGGCAGAGACACAACAAAAAAAGAGAATTTTAGACCAATATCCCTAATGGTGGTTTTCAGAAGCTGGAGGTAGGGGGAAATGGGAAATTGCTGTTCAATGGGTATAGAGTTTCAGTGATACAGGATAAAAATTGTAGAGACCTTCTGTACAACCTTGTACTTATAGTTAACAATATTGTATTGTGCACTTAAACATTTGTTAAGAGAGCAGGTGTCATTTTAACTGATTTAGATCAGAATAAAACATTTAAAGAAGCTATTACTTTTACTTTCTCTTATTAAGATAAAAGCTCCTTAAAACCTGGGACCCTGATTTATACTGTTATTCATGATCAAGCTTCATGCCTAGCCTACTATAATTTTTCAACACAGTTTAATATGTGCATAATATGATAAATGGTTTACTTTATGATCCACAGCAATATCTGTGTTTTCTCTTTTTTTTTCCATTTACTTCACCAAATCCCTTAATCTTTTTTTATTTTAATTTATTATTATTATACTTTAAGTTTTAGGGTACATGTGCACAATGTACACGTTAGTTACATATGTATACATGTGCCATGCTGGTGCACTGCACCCACTAACTCGTCATCTAGCATTAGGTATATCTCCTAATGCTATCCCTCCCCCCTCCCACCACCCCACAACAGTCCCCAGAGTGTGATGTTCCCCTTCCTGTGTCCATGTGTTCTCATTGTTCAATTCCCACCTATGAGTGAGAATATGCGGTGTTTGGTTTTCTGTTCTTGTGATAGTTTACTGAGAATGATGATTTCCAATTTCATCCATGTCCCTACAAAGGACATGAACTCATCATTTTTTATGGCTGCATAGTATTCCATGGTGTATATGTGCCACATTTTCTTAATCCAGTTTATTTAAGTCTTTAATCCATCTTGAATTAATTTTTGTATAAGGTGTGAGGAAGGGATCCAGTTTCAGCTTTCTACATATGGCTAGCCAGTTTTCCTAGCACCATTTATTAAATAGGGAATCCTTTCCCCATTGCTTGTTTTTATCAGGTTTTTCAAAGATCAGATAGTTGTAGGTATGTGGCATTATTTCTGAGGGCTCTGTTCTGTTCCATTCAGCTATATCTCTGTTTTGATACCAGTACCATGCTGTTTTGGTTACTGTAGCCTTGTAGTATAGTTTGAAGTCAGGTAGCGTGATGCCCCCAGCTTTGTTCTTTTGCCTTAGGATTGACTTGGTGATGCGGGCCCTTTTTTGGTGCCATGTGAACTTTGAAGTAGTTTTTTCCAATTGTATGAAGAAAGTCATTGGTAGCTTGATGGGGATGGCATTGAATCTATAAATTACCTTGGGCAGTATGGCCATTTTCATGATATTGATTTTTCCTACCCATGAGCATGGAATGTTCTTCCATTTGTTTATATCCTCTTTGATTTCATTGAGCAGTGGTTTGTAGTTCTCCTTGAAGAGGTCCTTCACGTCCCTTGTAAGTTGGAATATCTGTGTTTTCTATCTGTATGTAAAAAAAAGAGAAATCTTTCTCTGAGGTATTTCCACTTAGTCATGCCCTTAAATCTTGTAATAATAGAATTTACACTCCATACAACAGGGATTTTGACCTTTATGATTGTTGTGGTATTTCCAGGGATAGACCAGAACCTGACACACATGGGCACTCAGAAAATATACATGAATGAATGAGTGTGTGAGTGAATAAACAAATAAGTGAACCTCTTGGTGTTCTATTCTGCATGGTCACTAACCCTTCCTTCTGCTGGCTTATGCCCTGGAAAAAAGCCCAAAGAATATTAAGCCAGAAGGAATACTAAGTGCCCTCTGTCTCTACTAAGTAAAGTATCTGTGTCCATTTCTTTCAGTAACAACATATTCTCTTTCAACACTAAGCCAAACAATTGCAACACCCCTTGAGAACCAGGACAATGAGGTGAGATAAGAAGAGCCATATCAGACCTGTGTTCCCATGCTTTATGCACCTTGGACACTAGATAGTATGAATGCAAGTTATGTCTTCCTCACATCCTATATCCAGCTCCCATCCTGCTCACCTCCATGGTTAGGGTGTCTCCAGCATTCTTCATTCTATTCCAGCATGCAGCTTTTCTGAGTTCTTTTAAGCCCTCCTCTGGTTTGTTGTTGATGAGCAGACATTGAGCAGGTGCTTCCAGTCACCTGATTAAAGAAGAGGACGAAGGTCCAGTCAACTCTCACTTACTCATTTTTCACATAACCTTTATACTGTGATGCCTTTCCTCTCTCATCTAATGCCCAGCACTTGTTCAGTTATACCTGGAAATATAAATTTACATCCTCTTGTGCCATTACTGGGTCAATATGAAGATGACTTTCCATGCAGTATACCTTCACTGCAGGGAATGCAGACTAGGAGTCATATTGGCTCAGGGGAGGTTACTGGTTTTAGCAAATAACAATAGAGTGTGTCTAGTTAAATTTGAATTCAAACAAATAGTAAATAATTCTTTAGTAAACTATATCCCATGGAATATTTTGAACATATGTATATAAAAATTATTTGTTGAGGGAGGGGATCAAAAGAGGCAGACTAAAAGTGGCTAGTGTGTGCTGCTTTCATGGAGAGGAGACCAAGAGCGTAGTGAATACTGACCCTGCAAGTCTATAAACTAGGAATCCACAACAGGATCCATCATGGTAGCAAGGGGACACAGAGAATAGAGAAGAGAGAAAATGGGCAGCAGCCCATCTTGGATTGGTGTGGAGCCAGGACAAGTTTCCCACCATGGGGAAAGGGTGAGTGAGAACCCCTGGAAGATTCACACCTTCCACAGGGACCTTTGAAAGCTTTGAAATGGGAAAATCCTCCTACCCCCTAAGGCCTCTAGACTGTTAGAGAGAAACATCCAGAGGTTTTGCAGAGGCAACACTCAAGTTCACAGGTTTTGCAGAGGCAAACTCAAGTTTATAGCGACCTCTATAAAGCCTTGGACCCTGAAACAGTAGAGTACTGCCATAGCCCCAGTAGGCACCACAGATGCAGTGCCCAGGAGCAGTAAGACCGCCCCATCATCCCCTGCACATCTTCCAGCACAGTGGCTTCACTTCTGCCTGAACTCTGCAGGCAGGAGCAGCCCCATGTTCCCCTGGGAAACATCTGGCTGGCAGAGTGGGCTACTCCACCCACTCCTTCTGCTTGCTTGTAACTAGACAGACTTCCAGCACAGCAGACCTGCTTCTCCTGAACTCTGTGGGCGGTTGCAGCCCTGTTTTCCCCCAGGAAATATCTGGATGCAGGGTAGGTGACTTCACTGCTTGCTCACAGCCAGACAGGCCATGCTTGCTGGGGCTTCTAGCACAGCAGACCTTCTTCTGCCTGAACTCTGCTGGCAAGTGCAGCCCTGAATTCCCTAGGGAAGCACCCAGACAATGGATTGGGCCACCATGCCAACCCCCCCTCCTCCTACCTGGGCAGGATGCACCAGTTGGGGATTCCAACACAGAGGACCCACCTCTGCCTGAACTCTGCCAGTAGGTGCAGCTCTGTGTTCCTATGGGAAGCACCTGGACAGTGGATTGGGCAACTACACCCACTCCCACTGCTCTAGCCAAGCAGGACATATCAGCTTAGGCAGGACCCAAGCAGTGAGGAGCCCTCACTCTCAGAACACTGAGAGAGGTGAGCCACTTGGGAGGAGAAGGGTGTGACTCCCTCCATAGGGCTGGACTGAGAAAGGTATGGTCTCTCCCAGCGATCCCATTACTGGATATATACCCAAAGGATTATAAATCATGCTACTATAAAGACATTTGCACACGTATGTTTATTGTGGCACTATTCACAATAGCAAAGACTTGGAACCCACCCAAATGTCCATCAGTGATAGACTGGATTAAGAAAATGTGGCACATATGCACCATGGAATACTATGCAGCCATAAAAAAGGGATGAGTTCATGTACTTTGTAGGGACATGGATAAAGCTGGAAACCACCATTCTGAGCAAACTATCACAAGGACAGAAAACCAAACACTGCATGTTCTCACTCATAGGTGGGAATTGAACAATGAAAACACTTGGACACAGGGCGGGGAACGTCACACACTAGGGCCTGTCATGCAGTGGAGGGATGGGGGAGGGATAGCATCAGGAGAAATACCTAATGTAAATGACGACTTGATGGGTGCAGCAAACCAACATGGCACATACATACATATGTAACAAATCTGCACGTTGTGCACATGTACCCTAGAACCTAAAGTATAATAATAATTTAAAAAACCCAGAAGGGTATGGTCTCTCTGCCAACCATGGCCTCTGCCTGAGGGAGCCCTGTGGACCAGGAAGTCTAACAAAGGAAATGCAGACATGCAGCCAGTGAATGTAGAGGGCTCCTCCAAGACCCAGGAGTAGATCAGGTGAGGGCGTTATCCCTGTCCCCCACACCACAGAGCACTACTGCCAACTGCACCAAAATACAAAAAAGCTGTCTGACTAAGAGCTTATCTGCTAGTCAACACTCTTAAGTGCCACCAACTGGATTGCAGTCCAAAATACAACACCAAAATATTGTGCCAGTATATAGCACCTGCAAAACTAATGCAAAGATCCAGTCACAAATAAAGATTCTGCACAGAGTCCTGGCCTTCTGACAACACCTAGAAATGAAGCCAACTGACTATACTCAACTTACATCACAATTAAAGGCACACCAACCCTCAGACATGAGACAGAATCAATGTAAGAACTCTGGCAACTCAAAAAGCCAGTGTGCTCCCTTACCTCCAAAGAAACACACAAGGCTCCCAGGGATGGTTCTTAGCCAGATTGAGATGACTGAAATGACAGACATATAATTCAAAATCTGGATGGCAAGGAAGTTCACTGGGATTGAGCAGAAAGTTGAAACCTAAACCAAGGAATCGAGGGAGTATAGTAAAATAATCCAGGAGCTGAAAGATGAAATAGCCATTTTAAGAAAGAACCAAACTGAACTTCTGTAATTGAAGAATTCACTTCAATAATTTTACAATAAAAACAGAGGGAGCAACAGCAGAATACATTAAGTTGAAGAAAGAATCTCAGAGTTAGAAGATTGGTTCATCGAATCATCTCAGTGAGACCAAAAAAATGAAGAAAAAGATTTTTTAAAAAGGAATAAAATCTCTAAGAAATATGAGATTATGTAAAGACAACGAATCTACAACTCATTGGCATTCCTGAAAGAGGATAGAGAGTAAGCAACTTGGAAAACATAGTGATGATATAGTCCATAAATTTCCTCACTCTTGCTAGAGAAGAGGACATACAGTTTCAGGAAATACAGAGAACTCTTTGGAGATATGACATAAGATGACCATCTCCAAGAAACATAGTCATCAGATTCACTGTCAATGCAAAAGAAAAAAATCTTAAATTTAGGCAGCTAGACAGAAAGGTCAGGTCACCTACAAAGAGAAACCCATCAGGCTAGCAGCAGACCTCTCAGAAAAAAACTTACAAGCCAGAAGAGATTGAGGGATTATTTTCAGCATTTTTAAAGAAAAGAAATTCTAACCAAGAATATCATATTCTACCAAGCCAAGCTTCATAAGCAAAGGAGAAACAAAATCCCTCTCAGACAAGCAAGCATAAAGGGAATTCATTACCAGTAGACCACCCTTACAAGATGTCCTTAAGGTGGTGCTAACCATGGAAACAAAAGATTGAAACTTACTACCTCAAAAATACACTCAAGAACATAGTGTACAGACTACATAAAACAATCACACAATCAAGTCTACAAAGCAAACAGCCAGCAATGTGATAACAGGATCACAATCCCATATATCAATACTAGCCTTAAATATGAATGGTTTAAATGCCCCACCTAAAAGGCATAGAGTGGCAAGTGGGATAAAAAGACAAGACACAACTGTCATTTGTCCTCAAGAGATGCATCTCATGTGTAATGATAACCACAGGCTCAAAGTAAAGGAATGGAGAAAGATCCAGGCAAATGGAAAACAAAAAAGATTAAGAATCTCTATTCTTATATCAGATAAAGCAGATTTTAAACCAACAGTAATTAGAAAGGACAAAGGAGGGCAGGCAGTACATAATGATAAAGAGTTCAATGCAAAAAGAAGACTTAAGTATCCTAAATTTATAAAAATCCAAAAAAGGAGCATCAAGATTCATGAGACAGGTTTTTCTTGCCCTACAAAAATATTTAGGCAGCCACACAATAATAGTAGGGGACTTCAACACCCCACCGACAGTGTTAGACAAGTCATCAAGGCAGAAAACTAACAAAGAAATTCTGGACTAAAACTTGACACTTGACCAAATTGCACCTAATAGTCATCTGCAAAGAACTCCACCCAATAATCACAGAATATACATTCTTCTTATAAGCACACAGAACATATTTTAAGATTGCCCACATGCTCAACCATAAAGCAAGTCTCCATAAATTTTAAAAAGTTGAAATCATACAAAACACACTCTTGGACGATAGTGCACTAAAAATATAAATCAATACCAAAAAGATATCTCAAAACTATTAAAAAAATGGAAATTAAACAACTTGCTTCTGAATAAATCTTGGGTAAACAACAAAGCTAAGACAGAAATTTAAAAAATGCTTTGAAATTAATGAAAATAGAGACACAATTTTCCAAAACCTTTGGGATGCAGCTAAAGCAGTGTTAAGATTTATAGCACTAAACACCTTCATTAAGAGATTAAAAAGATCTCAAATTAATGACCTAACATGGCAATCAGAGGAACTAGAGAAAAAGAATACTCCCATACTAAAGCTAGTAGAAAAAAAGAAATAACTAAAATTAGAGAAGAACTGAAAGAAATTGAGCCCCAAAAGTCCATACAAAAGACTAATGAAACCAAGAGTTGGTTCTTCAAAAGAATAAACAAGATTCATAGGGCATTAGCAGGTTAACAAAGAAAAGAAAGAGAGAAGATCCAAATAAGCGTAATTAGAAATGGAAAGATTACTGATCCCTCAGAAATACAAAAGATCATCAGAGACTATTATGAATACCTCTGTACACACATATTAGAAAATCTAGAGGAAATGGATAAATTACTAGAAACACACAACCTCTCAAGACTGAATCATGAAGAGAGGGAAAACCTTAACAAACCAGCAATAAGTTTGGAAATTAAATCAGTAATAAAAAATCCTACCAAAAAAAAGTGTCCGGGACCTCATGGATTCTCAGCCAAATTCTACCAGATGTACAAAGAAGAATTGCTACCAATCCTACTGAAACTTTTCAAAAAAATTAAGAAGAGGCTTCTGTCTAACTCATTCTATGGAGGCAGCAGCATCCTGATACTAAAATCCAGCAGAGAACAATGGTAAAAGAAAACATCAAGCCTGTATCCTTGATGAACCTTGATGCAAAAATCTTCAATAAAATACTAGCAAACTGAATCCAGCAGCACATCAAAAAGCTAATTCACCACGATCAAGTAGGCTTTATTTCTGGGATGCAAATTTGGTTCAATATATGCAAATCAATTATATAATTCACACAAAAGGAATTAAAAACCCGTATGATCATCTCAATAGACACAGAAAAATCCTTTCATAAAATCCAATCCTTCTATGATTAAAACCAACATACTACGGATTGAAGCAACATACTTCAAAATAATAAGAGCCATCTATGATAAACACACAGCCAAACTTACTCTAAGTGGGCAAAACTCAAACCATTCCCCTTAACAACTGGAGCAAGACAAGGATGCCCACACCCAGCACATCTACTCAACTTAGTACTGAATGTCCTAGCCAGAGCCATCAGACAAGAGAAAGAAATAAAGACACCTAAGTAGGAAAATAAGTCAAACTAGCTCTCTTTTCCAGTGATGTGATTCTATACCTAGAAATCCCTAAATATTTTAACAAAAAGCTCCTGGAGCTGATAAATGAATTCAGTAAAGTTTCAGGATACAAAATAAAGGTATAAAAATGAGTAGCCTTTGTATACACTAATAACATTCTGACTGACAATCAAATCAAGAACACAGTCTCATTTACAATAGCCACAAAGAAAATGAAATATCTAGGATTTACTTAGCCAAGGAGGTGAACAATCTTTACAAGGAGAGTTACAAAACACTGCTGAAAAAAATCAGAGATGATGTAAATAAGTGGAATATACTCTCTGTTCACAGATTGGAAGAATCAATGTAGTTAAAATGGCCATACTGCCCTTAACGGTTTACAGATTCAATACTATCACTATCAAAAATACCAACATCATTTTTCACAAAATTAGAAAAATCTATTCTGAAATTCATTTAGAACAAAAAGAACTTGAATAACCAAAGCAACCCTATGCAAAAAGAGCAAAGCTGGAGGCATCACATTGCCTGACTTCAAACTACACTATAAGGTTACAATAATCAAAACAGCATAATACCGGTATAAAAACAGACACATAAATCAGTGAAACAAAATAAACAACCCAGAAATAAACTCAAACACCTACAATTATGTGATCTTTGACAAAATCAACAAAAATAAGCAATGGAGACAGCACTCCCTATTCAATAAATGTAGCTAAGATTACTAGCTAGCTATATGCAGAAGAATGAAACTGGACCACAACTTTTCACTGTATGAAAAAACCAACTCAAGATAGATTAAAGAATTAAATGTAAGACCTCAAACTATAAAAATTCTAGAAGAAAACCTAAGAAATACCTTTATTGACAGAGGTTTTGGCAAAGAATTTATGGCTAAGTCCCCAAAAGCAATTGTAATAAAAACAAAAATTGACTAATGGAACCTAATTAAACTAAAGAGCTTCTGCACTGCAAAAGAAACTATCACCAGAATATACATACAACCTACAGAATGGGAGAAATATTTGCAAACTGTGCATCCAGTAAAGGTCTAACATCCAGAATCTTTAAGGAACTTAAAAAATTAACAAGCAAAAAACAACCCCATTAAAAATTGGGCAAAGGACATAAATAGGAACTTTTCAAAAGAAGACATACATGTGGCCAACAAGCACATGAAAAAATGCTCAACCTCACTAATCACTAGATAAAAGCAAATCAAAACCACAATAAGATACCATCTTACACCTGTCAGAATGGCTGTTATTAATATTTAAAAGTAAAAAAATAACAGATACTAGTAAGATTGTTAAGAAAAGGGAATGCTTATTCACTGCTTGTGGGAATGTAAATTACTTTAGCCATTGTGGAACACAGCGTGGCAATCTCTTAAAGAACTTAAAACAGGATTATCATTCAACCCAGCAATCCCATTATTGGGTATCCAAATATATCCAAAGGAATGTAAATCATTCTATCATAAAGACACGTGAATGTTGATGTTCACTGTAGCACTATTCACAATAGCAAAGACATGAAATCAACCTAAATGCCCATCAATGGATACAGAAGATGTGATACATATCCATGGCACACGTTTACCTGTGTAACAAACCTGCACGTCCTACACATGTATCCCAGAACTTAAAATGAAACACATTTTTTTAAAAAAGAAAATGCGATACATATACATTATGGAATATTATGCAGCCATAAAAAAGAAGGAGATCACGTCCTTTGAAGGATCATGAACGGAATTGGAGGCCATTGCCCTTCGCAAACTACTGCAAGAATAGAAAACCAAATACCACATGTTCTCACTTACAAGTGGGAGCTAAATGATGAGAACACATGAACACATAGAGAGGAGCAACAGACTCGGGCTGGAAGGGTAAAGGATTGGAGGAAGGAGAGAATCAGGAAAAATAATGTACTAGGTTTAATACCTGGGTGATGAAATAATCTGTACGACAAACCTTCATGACAGGGGTTTGCCTATATTACAAACCTGCACGTCGGCCGGGCGCGGTGGCTCACGCCTGTAATCCCAGTACTTTGGGAGGCCGAGGCGGGCGGATCACGAGTTCAGGAGATCGAGACCATCCTGGCTAACACGGTGAAACCCCATCTCTGCCAAAAATGCAAAAAATTAGCCGGGCGCGGTGGCGGGTGCCTGTAGTCCCAGCTACTTGGGAGGCTGAGGCAGGAGAATGGCGTGAACCCAGGAGGCGAAGCTTGCGGTGAGTCCAGATCGCGCCACTGCACTCCAGCCTGGGGACAGAGCGAGACTCCGTCTCAGAAAAGAAAAGAAAAGAAAAGAAAAGAAAAACCTGCACGTGTACCCCTGAACTTAAAAAAAAATTAAAAGAAACAATGCCAAATGTCAGTGTCATTCACATGACTCTGAATTGGCATGCTGTTTACTGTGCAACTGACAAAAAATGCAAACAGGATTTTGACTTCAAATGAAGGTGGAATTTCAATGCCAAAGTCAGGGATTGGAAAAGTCAAGATCCAAAGCATTGACTTACTCAGCACACATTATTTGCTGGGATGGTCATGGTAGAAATCCCAGCCAAGAAACGTAAGGAGCAGTAAATGAGGAAAGTGGGAGAAAAGGCTGCACAGGTGTCAGAAATGGTGAGCTGGAGCTAACACCATCTGAACATTAACCTCCTCCCAAACCTGAGAAACAGAGACAGGTTAGATAATGGCAACAACAACCACTTGTGAAACTCAGAAAGGAGAAAGCATACTTTGAATCTCAGCCTGGCCATTATTGGTGTATATAAATGCTACTAATTTTTGTACAGTGATTTGGTATTCTGAAGCCTCACTAAAATCGTTTGTCAGTTCTAGTAGCCACTTGGCAGAGTCTTCAGGGTTTTCTAGGCATAGAATCATATTGTCAGTGAAGAGATAGTTTGACTTGTTCTTTTCCTATTTGGATGTCTTTTATTTCTTTCTCTTGCCTGATGGATCTGGCAGGACTTCCAGTGCTAAGTTGAATGGGAGTGGTGAGAATGGGCATCCTTGTCTTGCTCTGGTTTTCAAGGGAAATTCTTTTGGCTTTTGCCTATGATGTTGGCTGTGGGTTTGTCATACGTGGCTCTTATTAATTTGGAGGTATGTTCATTTAATGTCTAGTTTGTTGAGGGTTTTTTATATTATGAAGTGATGTTGGATTTTATTGAAGGCTTTGTCTGCATCTATTGAGATGATCATATGGTTTTTGTTTTTAATTCTGTTTACAAGGTGAATTGTAACAGATGCTGACAAGGCTTCAGAGAAAAATATAATAGGGTAAAATGTACTAATGTAAATTAGTTCAGCCACTGTGGAAAGCAGATTGGAGATTAATTGAGAACTTAAAACAGAGTTAGCATTTGACCCAGCAATTCCATTACTGGATATATATCCAAAGGAAAATAGATCATTATATAAGACAATACATGCACTCATATGTTCATTGCCACAGTATTCACAATAACAAAGACATAGAATCAATGTAGGTTCCCATCAATGTTGGATGGGATAAAGAAAATGTGGTGCTGTACACCATGGAATACTATGTAAGCCTTAAAAAATATTGAAATCATGTCCTTTGCAGGAATATAGATGGAACTGGAGTCCAAAATCCTAAGTGAATTAATGCAGAAACAGAAAACTAAATACCTCATGTTCTCACTTATAACTGGGAGCTAAACTTGAGCACCCATAGACTTAAACATGGGAACAATAGCCATGGCAAACTACTATAGGGTCAAGGGAGTGGGGCATGGGTCATAAAAGCATCTCTTGGGTATATGCTCACTACCTGAGTCCAATATACCCACGTAACAAACCTGCACATTACCCCCCCCATATCTAAAATAAAAGTCAAGGGTAGAAAAGCACACTTTGAAATTTAAGGGATGCTTTAACAAGTGAAACTTTGCATTTAAAACCTTAAAGCATCAACAGATAATCAATAGCAATTCTACTCAGAGGTCATGTTCCCTGTTTTTAACTAGATATTGAGTGCATCAAAGATTCTTCTTTAATCTGTTACAAATTGATCTTTGATATTAATTGAAACCATGTAAGACAGGCTACAATGTTGGAAAATTTTACACATCATAAATGTCCCTTGTACTAACACATGCACTTAGCATAAAGAGACTCAGTTTTACGCATCATAAATGTCCCTTGTACTAACACGTGTATTTAGTAGAGTGAAGAAAGACTCTGTTTAGTGTGCAGAATACAGGTGCTCTGCTATGGACAAAACTGTGTCCGCTGCAAATTTGTATGTTGATCCCTAACCTCCAGTGAGATTCTGTATGGAGATGGGGCTTTTCAGAAGTCATTAGCTTTAGATGATGTCATGAGGGTGGGGCCTTCATAATGGGATACGTTCCCTAATGGGAAGATACTCGAGAGAACTTGCTTGTGCATGCTTTTGCTCTCTCTCTCTCTTTCTCTCTTACCTCTATGGAAAGACAGCAGAAAGTGGCTGACTGCAGACCAGGAAGAGAATTAGCTAGTCCTTTGATCTTGAACTTCCCAGCATCCACAACTGTGAGAAAGTAAATTTCTTTTGTTTAAGCTACGCAAAAACACAAATTTTTGTTATGGTAGCCCCAGCTAATTAATACAGGATCTAAATCTGCATTTGGCATCCTAGGACCATGCAGGCCAAGGCTAAACTGATTTGAAAGGACAATCCATAGAAGAATATATCAAGCTGCTAATGGATTTCATAAAAGCGCCTCTCTGCCTAGTTTGATTGTAGGCCTTGCATAATGTATGTTTTCTACAACAGGATACCAGGGAGTCACAACTCAGACAGGGGAACTTATACATAGTTTGAAGAGGAAAGCATTAGATAAGATAAGCTGAGGAAACAGAGAATCAGAATCAGAGGGTTTAAAAAGCGAACAAAAAGGAATTTTCTGTTTCAAAGATTTTGGGGAGACAAAACGATGTGTGGTGATTCTATATGACCAATAATGTATACCACTGGGAAAATACTGGGATTGGGCAGATGCTCTGCAATCTTTGCTACTCTCACAGCATGTTTACATTATAATATGACTATTAAGTCATATATTCTGGATGTTTACACAATATATGCTCAATTTCTAAATGTGTACTTCATAATGGAATAGAATCTATGTAAAAAGTGTTACAATTAATAAAATAATGAAATAGGAATTATTGGAAAGCCTGGTCAGTCAAAAATTATGTGGTCAGACTCCCACACAATAATCATGGGAGATTTTTAGGACTCCACAAAGCAGATATATATTCAACATTTGAAAAATTAAGTATCTGAGCTATGCTAGATGTAATTCCATATGCACATCTGTGGCCATATGTGTGCGTGTGTGCGTGTGTGTGTGTAAGGTTGTTAAATGTGGTGATATTTCGGAGTGGCAAACCTTTGATGGCAACCTGGTTGTCCATTCCTGAGAAAGATATTAGGAAGACCATAATGGATCTCCACTGTGGAGCAAAGTGTAGCAGTTAGAAAAATGAACCAGAAGCACACAGAGGCATGTATGTGTATCTTAAAAACAGAATAGAGTGTCCATAAAAGAAAAATAATGAGATAAAACATTTACATGACATAAAAATTAAAAGATATGTAAACAGTGTCACTAATTTTGTAAAAAATATATATAAATTTAAAGAAATACAGGCAGTTAATACTATATACTGATTCCTATGTTATGAAGTAGAAAATCATATTAAGGCATGAAGAAAAAGAGAAACAGAGCCATACATACATAAAGGGAATTCATAGCCAAATTAATGAGGACACTCTTTCATACAATAAGGAGTATGATAATTGGGTTGTACTTGCTTAATGTCCCAAAGAAGAGAAATTTGTATTCCGCTAAGTGTAAAGACTATTGTTTCATTAATCATTAACTGTTGTGCAGTCTGGTTTGATAATCACCATTGATTTCCTTTTTTCTGAATGTAAGGAAGACCTATATGTCCTAGTCTCATATGATCATGCATCACTTAACAGGGATATGTTCTAAGAAATGCATTGTTAGGTAAATTTTTGTTGTATGAACATAATAGAATATACTTACACAAACCCAGATAGTATAGCCTACTACACACCTAAGCTAAATGGTATAGCATATTGCTCCTGTGTTATGAACCCATACAGCATGCTAGTGTAAGGAATACTATAGGCTACCGAAACACAATGGCATTTGTGTATCTAGGTATATGTAAATACAGAAAAGGTACAGTAAAAATATGGTATTATAAAAATTAGTGTTGGAGGGAGGAGCCAAGATGGCCAAATAGGAACAGCTCCGGTCTACAGCTCCCAGCGTGAGTGATGCAGAAGATGGGTGATTTCTGCATTTCCATCTGAGGTACCAGGTTCATCTCACTAGGGAGTGCCAGACAGTGGGTGCAGGTCAGTGGGTGCATACACCGTGCATGAGCCGAAGCAGGGTGAGGCATTGCCTCACTCGGGAAGTGCAAGGGGTCAGGGAGTTCCCTTTCCTAGTCAAAGAAAGGGGTGACAGACGGCACCTGGAAAATTGGGTCACTCCCACCCGAATACTGCGCTTTTCCGATGGGCTTAAAAAATGGCACACCAGGAGATTATATCCCACACCTGGCTCGGAGGGTCCTATGCCCATGGAGTCTCGCAGATTGCTAGCACAGCAGTCTGAGATCAAACTGCAAGGTGGCAGCAAGGCTGGGGGAGGGGCGCCCGCCATTGCCCAGGCTTGCTTATGTAAAGAAAGCAGCCAGGAAGCTCGAACTGGGTGGAGCCCACCACAGCTCAAGGAGGCCTGCCTGCCTCTGCAGGCTCCACCTCTGGGGGCAGGGCACAGACAAACAAAAAGACAGCAGTAACCTCTGCAGACTTAAATGTCCCTGTCTGACAGCTTTGAAGAGAGCAGTGGTTCTCCCAGCACACAGCTGGAGATCTGAGAATGGGCAGACTGCCTCCTCAAGTGGGTCCCTGACCCCTGACCCCCTGAGCAGCCTAACTGGGAGGCACCCCCCAGCAGGGGCAGACTGACACCTCACACGGCCAGGTACTCCAACAGACCTGCAGCTGAGGGTCCTGTCTGTTAGAAGGAAAACTGACAAACAGAAAGGACATCCACACCAAAAACCCATCTGTATATCACCATCATCAAAGACCAAAAGTAGATAAAACCACAAAGATGGGGAAAAGCAGAGCAGAAAAACTGGAAACTCTAAAAAGCAGAGCGCCTCTCCTCCTCCAAAGGAACGCAGTTCCTCACCAGCAATGGAACAAAGCTGGACGGAGAATGACTTTGACAAGCTGAGAGAAGAAGTCTTCAGACGATCAAATTACTCCGAGCTACGGGAGGACATTCAAACCAAAGGCAAAGAAGTTGAAAACTTTGAAAAACATTTAGAAGAATGTATAACTAGAAAAACCAATACAGAGAAGTGCTTAAAGGAGCTGATGGAGCTGAAAGCCAAGGCTCGAGAACTACGTGAAGAATGCAGAAGCCTCAGGAGCTGATGCGATCAACTGCAAGAAAGGGTATCAGTGATGGAAGATGAAATGAATGAAATGAAGTGAGAAGGGAAGTTTAGAGAAAAAAGAATAAAAAGAAATGAGCAAAGTCTCCAAGAAATATGGCACTATGTGAAAAGACCAAATCTACGTCTGACTGGTGTACCTGAAAGTGACGGGGAGAATGGAACCAAGTTGGAAAACACTCTGCAGGATATTATCCAGGAGAACTTCCCCAATCTAGCAAGGCAGGCCAACATTCAGATTCAGGAAATACAGAGAATGCCACAAAGATACTCCTCGAGAAGAGCAACACCAAGACACATAATTGTCAGATTCACCAAAGCTGAAATGAAGGAAAAAATGTTAAGGGCAGCCAGAGAGAAAGGTCGGGTTACCCACAAAGGGAAGCCCATCAGACTAACAGCAGATCTCTCGGCAGAAACTCTACAAGCCAGAAGAGAGTGGGAGCCAATATTCAACATTCTTAAAGAAAAGAATTTTCAACCCAGAATTGCATATCCAGCCAAACTAAGCTTCATAAGTGAAGGAGAAATAAAATACATTACAGACAAGCAAATGCTGAGAGATTTTGTCACCACCAGGCCTGCCCTAAAAGAGCTCCTGAAGGAAGCGCTAAACATGGAAAGGAACAACCGGTACCAGCCACTACAAAATCAAGCCAAAATGTAAAGACCATCGAGACTAGGAAGAAACTGCATCAACTAATGAGCAAAATAACCAGCTAACATCATAATGACAGGATCAAATTCACACATAACAATATTAACTTTAAATGTAAATGGACTAAATGCTCCAATTAAAAGACACAGAGTGGCAAATTGGATAAAAATTCAAGACCCATCAGTGTGCTGTATTCAGGAAAGCCATCTCATGGGCAGAGACACACATAGGCTCAAAATAAAAGGATGGAGGAAGATCTACCAAGCAAATGGAAAACAAAAAAAGGCAGGGGTTGCAATCCTAGTCTCTGATAAAACAGACTTTAAGCCAACAAAGATCAAAAGAGACAAAGAAGGCCATTACTTAATGGTAAAGGGATCAATTCAACAAGAAGAGCTAACTATCCTAAATATATATGCACCCCATACAGGAGCACCCAGATTCATAAAGCAAGTCCTGAGTGACCTACAGAGAGACTTAGACTCCCACACATTAATAATGGGAGACTTTAACACCCCACTGTCAACATTAGACAGATCAACAAGACAGAAAGTCAACAAGAATACCCAGGAATTGAACTCAGCTCTGCACCAAGCGGACCTAATAGACATCTACAGAACTCTCCACCCCAAATCAACAGAATATACATTCTTTTCAGCACCACACCACACCTATTCCAAAATTGACCACATACTTGGAAGTAAAGCTCTCCTCAGCAAATGTAAAAGAACAGAAATTATAACAAACTATCTCTCAGACCACAGTGCAATCAAAGTAGAATTCAGGATTAAGAAACTCACTCAAAACCGCTCAACTACATGGAAACTGAACAACCTGCTCCTGAATGACTACTGGGTACATAACAAAATGAAGGCAGAAATGAAGATGTTCTTTGAAACCAATGAGAACAAAGACACAACATACCAGAATCTCTGGGACGCATTCAAAGCAGTGTGTAGAGGGAAATTTATAGCACTAAATGCCCACAAGAGAAAGCAGGAAACATCCAAAATTGACACCCTAACATCACAATTAAAAGAACTAGAAAAGCAAGAGCAAACACATTCAAAAGCTAGCAGAAGGCAAGAAATAACTAAAATCAGAACAGAACTGAAGGAGATAGAGACACAAAAAACCCTTCAAAAAATTAACGAATCCAGGAGCTGGTTTTTTGAAAGAATCAACAAAATTGATAGACCGCTAGCAAGACTAATAAAGAAGAAAAGAGAGAAGAATCAAATAGATGCAATAAAAAAGGATAAAGGGGATATCACCACCGATCCCACAGAAATACAAACTACCATCAGAGAATACTACAAACACCTCTATGCAAGTAAACTAGAAAATCTACAAGAAATGGATAAATTCCTTGACACATACACTCTCCCAAGACTAAACCAGGAAGAAGTTGAATCTCTGAATAGACCAATAACAGGAGCTGAAATTGTGGCAATAATCAATAGCTTACCAACGAAAAAGAGTCCAGGACCAGATGGATTCACAGCCGAATTCTACCAGAGGTACAAGGAGGAAATGGTACCATTCCTTCTGAAACTATTCCCATCAATAGAAAAAGAGGGAATCATCCCTAACTTATTTTATGAGGCCAGCATCATCCTGATACCAAAGTCAGGCAGAGACACAACCAAAAAAGAGAATTTTAGACCAATATCCCTGATGAACATTGATGCAAAAATCCTCAAGAAAATACTGGCAAACCGAATCCAGCAGCACATGAAAAAGCTTATCCACCATGATCAAGTGGGCTTCATCCCTGGGATGCAAGGCTGGTTCCATGTATGCAAATCAATAAACGTAATCCAGCATATAAGCAGAACCAATGACAAAAACCACATGATTATCTCAATAGATGCAGAAAAGACCTTTGAGAAAATTCAACAACTCTTCATGCTAAAAAATCTTAATAAATTAGGTATTGATGGGAGGTATCTCAAAATAATAAGAGCTATCTATGACAAACCCACAGCCAATATCATACTGAATGGGCAAAAACTGGAAGCATTCCCTTTGAAAACTGGCACGAGGCAGGGATGCCCTCTCTCACCACTCCTATTGAACATAGTGTTGGAAGTTCAGGCCAGGTCAATCAGGCAGGAGAAGGAAATAAAGGGTATTCAATTAGGAAAAGAGGAAGTCAAATTGTCCCTGTTTGCAGATGACATGATTGTATATCTAGAAAACCCCATTGTCTCAGCCCCAAATCTCCTTAAGCTGATAAGCAACTTCAGCAAAGTCTCAGGATACAAAATCAATGTGCAAAAATCACAAGGATTCTTATACAGACAAACAGAGAGCCAAATCATGAGTGAACTCCCATTCACAATTGCTTCAAAGAGAATAAAATACCTAGGAATCCAACTTACAAGGGATGTGAAGGACCTCTTCAAGGAGAACTACAAACCAATGCTCAATGAAATAAAAGACGATACAAAGAAATGGAAGAACATTCCATGCTCATGGGTAGGAAGAATCAATATTGTGAAAATGGCCATACTGCCCAAGGTCATTTATAGATTCAATGCCATCCCCATCTAGCTACCAATGACTTTCTTCACAGAATTGGAAAAACTACTTTAAAGTTCATTTGGAACCAAAAAAGAGCCCACATCGCCAAGTCAATCCTGAACCAAAAGAACAAAGCTGGAGGCATCATGCTACCTGACTTCAAACTCTACTACAAGGCTACAGTCACCAAAACAGCATGGTACTGGTACCAAAACAGAGATATAGATCAATGGAACAGAACAGAGCCCTCAGAAATAATGCCGCATATCTACAACTATCTGATCTTTGAGAAACTTGAGAAAAACAAGCAATGGGGAAAGGATTCCCTATTTAATAAACGGTGCTGGGAAAACTGGCTAGCCATATGTAGAAAGCTGAAACTGGATCCCTTCCTTACACCTTATACAAAAATCAATTCAAGATGGATTAAAGACTTAAATGTTAGACCTAAAAGCATAAAAACCCTAGAAGAAAACCTAGGTATTACCATTCAGGACATAGGCATGGGCAAGGACTTCATGTCTAAAAGAGCAAAAGCAATGGCAACAAAAGCCAAAATTGACAAATGGGATCTAATTAAACTAAAGAGCCTCTGCACAGCAAAAGAAACTACCATCAGAGTGAACAGGCAACCTACAAAATGGGAGAAAATGTTTGCAATCTACTCATCTGACAAAGGGCTAATATCCAGAATCTACAATGAACTCAAACAAATTTACAAGAAAAAAACAACCCCATCAAAAAGTGGGCAAAGGACATGAACAGACACTTCTCAAAAGAAGACATTTATGCAGCCAAAAAACACATGAAAAAATGCTCATCATCACTGGCCATCAGAGAAATGCAAATCAAAACCACAATGAGATACCATCTCACACCAGTTAGAATGGCGATCATTAAAAAGTCAGGAAACAACAGGTGCTGGAGAGGATGTGGAGGAATAGGAACACTTTTCACTGTTGGTGGGACTGTAAACTAGTTCAACCATTGTGGAAGTCAGTGTGGTGATTCCTCAGGGATCTAGAACTAGAAATACCAATTGACCCAGCCATCCCATTACTGGGTATATACCCAAAGGACTATAAATCATGCTGCTATAAAGACACACGCACACGTATGTTTATTGCGGCATTATTCACAATAGCAAAGACTTGGAACCAACCCAAATGTCCAACAACGATAGACTGGATTGAGAAAATGTGGCACATATACACCATGGAATACTATGCAGCCATAAAAAATGATGAGTTCATGTCCTCTGTAGGGACATGGATGAAATTGGAAATCATCATTCTCAGTAAACTATCACAAGAACAAAAAACCAAACACCGCATATTCTCACTCACAGATGGGAATTGAACAATGAGAACACATGGACACAGGAAGGGGAACATCACACTCTGGGGACTGTTGTGGGGTGGGGGGAAGGGGGAGGGATAGCATTGGGAGATATACCTAATGCTAGATGACGAGTTAGTGGGTGCAGCGCACCAGCATGGCACATGTATACATATGTAACTAACCTGCACGTTGTGCACATGTACCCTAAATCTTTAAGTATAATAATAAAAAAAATTAGTGTTTATTTTATGTCAAAATTACTTCACAACAAAAACTCTCAGAAAGCTATAAATATAAGGAAACTTCTCAACCATTATTAAGGGCATCTAAAAATAATACTATACTTAACATCATATGTAATCATTAAAGCTTCACTTCTAACCTAAGATCAGAAAACAAGGTCAGGATATCAGATCTCACTACTTAAAATTAACATTTTACTAAAAGTCCTAGGTGCTTTTAGAAAAAGTAACAGAGGCAAAAGATAGGAAAATAATAAGCAAAACTATCCATACTTGCAGATGATATAATTGTGTAATTGAAGACTTTAAGGAATCCACAATAATGTACTAGAACTGATAAGTGAATTCATCACGGTGGCAGAATGTAAGATTAATATGTAAAAGTCAATTGCTATTTGTATGTAGTAGCAATGGCTAATCAAAAATTAAAATTACAAAAACCAACTTCAGAGCCTCAACTAGATTTATTAGGAATAAATTTAATGGAAAACACATGACTTTCTTTTTAACAAATAGAAAACATTGCATGGTAAATTAAAGAAAATTTAAATTTAGGAACAGCTCTATCATATTCAAAGATCAGAAAATTCAACATTTAAAAAATGGCAATTTTACCTAAACTGCTGTATACATTTAATGTAATTTTAATAAAAATCCTAAAGAGAACTCCTTTTCTAACGCCGAACACCATAACGTAGTTCCTTATTTTTGACCATAAGTGGAATGGTATAGTATACAATCATTTTTGTTGTTCTTATGCTGCTTAAAAAAATGATTTTTATACTCAACTATGTTAATGCACAGAGAGCTTATTTATTACCTTTTGTGTATAAAAATCCATTATGTGAATAATCTGTATCTTTTTTATCCATTCTATAATTAATGGAATTCTAGACTGCTGTTAGCTTTAGAATATTGTGAATAGTTAAGTATGTTACTTAAAAATATCAATTTGATTGTGGCCCTCTCATTCCATGTTTACCTTCAGTTTTCCAATGAAGTTCAAAATCCTTAGATTATCTTAACCACTCAGATTAATTTAGTTCTCTGCTGCCATCTCCTGCCCTAATCCTTCATTTCTATTACCTTATGATCCATCAAAATTGACCTATCAGCATTTTCTTATAACGCTCCCACAGAGTGCTAAGTTACTGAATTGCTAGAAATGAACACTATGACTCTGAACTCTTATAAATTACATTTACTGTCACACCTGTGGAGATCACAGTTTATGGCTGAGGCAACAGATAATGTGAGGCTAGCAGATGATAAGCACCTTAATTCTCCCATGTTGCTCGGGGATTATATGCTTGGATAATGGTAATCGTTGGCTGCCTATTTCCAAAGAGACATTGCTAGCCACAGGATACTCCAAATTTCTAACACAACTGTGACAGTAGTTTTCATATTGATTACCCTACATATTATAAAACTTAACTTTAAAAAGTTACTCTTTCAGAAACAAAAATTAAGAATATTAGCATCAATTTTTAACATATCATAAATGACACATTGCTATGATCCTACTGGTTTTGCAGTAATGTCTACCCATCACACTTGGGCAACTATAATGTGATGGTCATTCTCTGGCACCCACAAGCCTTCAGTTCACAGGGTTAAGGAAAGACTAAACATGGTACATCTGGCAAAGGTCTACAACACTGTTTTCCATATCTGCATCTTCAAACAGGCTGAATCCTATGTCATGAAACATCTTCTCAGTTCCTATAGGTAAATGCTATGGTTTGGATATACCCTCCAGACTCATGTTGAAATATAGTTACTATTGTGATTGTATTAAGAGGTAGGACCTTTAAGAGTAAGGACCTTTAAGAGGTAGGACCTCGTGAATAAATTAATAGAGTTATCCTGAAAGTGGGTTAGTAATCATGGGAGGGGCTCCTAACAAGAGAACGAAGTTGAGCCCCCATCCTTTCTCTGTCTTGTGCCATTGCTCGCCCTTCCACCTTCTTCCAGGGATGATACAACACAAAGTCCCTCACCAGATGCTGGCGCCATGCTCTTGGACCTTTCAGCCTCCAGAACCATTAGCCAAATAAACTTCTATTATTTTAATAAATTACCCAGTCTGTGACCTTCTGTTATAGGGGTAGAAAATAGACTAAGACAGTAACAATTCCTATCTTTCTAAACCACATGTTGTGGTAGTGCATTTCCAAACCCTGGCCTGAAATGCTTCCAGGTCTAATGGAGATGCCATTTCTGTGTCTTGTACATAGCATTCAGTGCTGACAAAATAGCCCTGACCCTACAGATTGTAATTCTCCACTTGTAATTCTAGATCCCTGAGGACCAGAGTATCCTTAGAACAGTGTGATTTACAATAAATATTTTTAAATTAATGAATGATTCATAAGCTAATGGAAATATGCACTAATAAAGAGATATGTGAAACAGAGATGCACACCTGTCTGATAAATGGCCATATAGGATGCCTCCCACAGTCATTCCAGCCATGAATAGGAATTTAGCCACTAAATTCAGTGACTGAGATCCACATACCAGGTTCCACAAGAAGAAATAGAAACTAGAATAGCATGGGGATTTCCTCTTTCAGGTGTTACTTTAAGGCTATCATGTCAAGGTCACCATTTGCAGAGCTTATAGCTTGCAGTGAATGCCAAGAATGATCAATTTCAGCTGAGTGGGGTGAGTAGCAGCTTTTTTCTTTTTAATTATATTTTAAGTTTTAGGGTACATGTGCACAACGTGCAGATTTGTTACATATCTATACATGTGCCATGTTGGTGTGCTGCACCCATTAACTCGTCATTTAATATTAGGTATATCTCCTAATGCTATCCCTCCTCCAACCCCCCACCCCACAACAGGCCCCAGTGTGTGATGTTCCCCTTCCTGTGTCCAAGTGTTCTCATTGTTCAATTCCCACCTATGAGTGAGAACATGTGGTGTTTGGTTTTTTGTACTTGCGATAATTTGCTGAGAATGATGGTTTCCAGCTTCATCCATGTCCCTACAAAGGACACGAACTCATCACTTTTTATGGCTGCATAGTATTCCATGGTGTATATGTGCCACATTTTCTTAATCCAGTCTATCATTGTTGGACATTTGGGTTGGTTCCAAGTCTTTCCTATTGTGAATAGTGCCGCAATAAACAAACGTGTGCATGTGTCTTTATGGCAGCATGATTTATAATCCTTTGGCTATATACCCAGTAATGGGATGGCTGGGTCAAATGGTAGTTCTAGTTCTAGATCCCTGAGGAATCACCACACTGACTTCCACAATGGTTGAACTAGTTTACAGTCCCACCAACAGTGTAAAAGTGTTCCTATTTCTCCACATCCTCTCCAGCACCTGTTGTTTCCTGACTTTTTAATGATCTCCATTCTAACTGGTGTGAGATGGTATCTCATTGTGGTTTTGATTTGCATTTCTCTGATGGCCAGTGGTGGTGAGCATTTTTTCATGTGTCTGTTGGCTGCATAAATGTCTTCTTTTGAGAAGTGTGTTCATATCCTTTGCCCACTTTTTGATGGGGTTATTTGTTTTTTTCTTGTAAATTTGTTTGTGTTCATTGTCTGAATAGATCAATAACAGGCTCTGAAATTGAGGCAATAATTAATAGCTTACCAGCCAAAAAAAGTCCAGGACCAGATGGATTCACAGCCAAATTCTACCAGAGGTACAAGGAGGAGCTGGTACCATTCCTTCTGAAACTATTCCCATCAATAGAAAAAGAGGGAATCCTCCCTAATTCATTTTATGAGGCCAGCATCATCCTGATACCAAAGCCTGGCAGAGACACAACAAAAAAGGAGAATTTTAGACCAATATCCCTGATGAGCATTGATGCAAAAATCCTCAAGAAAATACTGGCAAACTGAATCCATCAACACATCAAACAGCTTATCCGCCACGATCAAGTGTGCTTCATCCCTGGGATGCAAGGCTGGTTCAACACACGCAAATCAATAAACATAATCCAGCATATAAACAGAACCAATGAAAAAAACCACATGATTATCTCAATAGATGCAGAAAAGATCTTTGACAAAATTCAACAGCCCTTCATGCTAAAAACTCTCAATAAATCAGGTATTGATGAGACGTATCTCAAAATAATAAGAGCTGTGTATGACATACCCACAGCCAATATCATACTGAATGGGCAAAAACTGGAAGCATTCCCTTTGAAAACTGGCACAAGACAGGGATGCCTTCTCTCACCACTCCTATTCAACATAGTGTTGGAAGTTCTGGCCAGGGCAATCAGGCAGGAGAAGGAAATAAAGCGTATTCAATTAGAAAAAGAGGAAGTCAAATTGTCCCTGTTTGCAGATGACATGATTGTATATCTAGAAAATCCCATTGTCTCAGCCCAAAATCTCCTTAACCTGATAAGCAACTTCAGCAAAGTTTCAGGATACAAAATCAATGTGCAAAAATCACAAGCATTCTTATACACCAATAACAGACAAACAGAGAGCAAAATCATGAGTGAACTCCCATTCACAACTGCTTCAAAGAGAATAAAATACCTAGGAATCCAACTTACAAGGGATGTGAAGGACCTCTTCAAGGAGAACTACAAACCACTGCTCAATGAAATCAAAGAGGATACAAACAAATGGAAGAACCTTCCATGCTCATAGGTACGAAGAATCAATATCGTGAAAATGGCCATACTGCCCAAGGTCATTTATAGATTCAATGCCATCCCCATCAAGCTACCAATGACTTTCTTCACAGAATTGGAAAAAACTACTTTAAAGTTCATATGGAACCAACCAAGAGCCCGTATTGCCAAGTCAATTCTAAGCCAAAAGAACAAAGCTGGAGGCATCACGCTACCTGACTTCAAACTCTACTACAAGGCTACAGTCACCAAAACAGCATGATACTGCTACCAAAACAGAGATATAGACCAATGGAACAGAACAGAGCCCTCAGAAATAATGCCACATATCTACAACTATCTGATCTTTGAAAAACCTGAGCAAAACAAGGAATGGGGAAAGGATTCCCTATTTAATAAATGGTGCTGGGAAAACTGGCTAGCCATATGTAGAAAGCTGAAACTGGATCCCTTCCTTACACCTTATACAAAAATTAATTCAAGATGGATTAAAGACTTAAACCTTAGACCTAAAACCATAAAAACCCTAGAAGAAAACCTAGGCAATACCATTCAGGACATAGGCATGGGCAAGGACTTCATGTCTAAAACACCAAAAGCAATGGTAAGAAAAGCCAAAATTGACAAACAGGATCTGATTAAACTAAAGAACTTCTGTACAGCAAAAGAAACTACCATCAGAGTGAACAGGCAACCTACAGAATGGGAGAAAATTTTTACAATCTTCTCATCTGACAAAGGGCGAGGAGCAGCTTTTTTTTTTTTTTCCTTTATGCCAGATTCTATTTAAGAGCTTTTTTTACTTAAAGATTATTATTATTATTATTATTATTATCATTATTTTATTTTTATGCTTTAAGTTTTAGGGTACATGTGCACAATGTGCAGGTTAGTTACATATGTATACATGTGCCATGCTGGTGTGCTGCACCCATTAACTCATCATTTAGCATTAGGTATATCTCCTAATGCTATCCCTCCCCACTCCCCTCACCCCACAACAGTCCCCAGAGTGTGATGTTCCCCTTCCTGTGTCCATGTGTTCTCATTGTTCAATTCCCATCTATGAGTGAGAACATGCGGTGTTTGGTTTTTTGTCCTTGTGATAGTTTACTGAGAATGATGATTTACAATTTCATCCATGTCCCTACAAAGGACAAGAAATCATCATTTTTTATGGCTGCTTAGTATTCCATGGTGTATATGTGGCACATTTTCTTAATCCAGTCTATCATTGTTGGACATTTGGGTTGGTTCCAAGTCTTTGCTATTGTGAATAGTGCCGCAATAAACATATGTGTGCATGTGTCTTTATAGCAGCATGTTTTATAGTCCTTTGGGTATATACCCAGTAATGGGATGGCTGGGTCAAATGGTAGTTCTAGTTCTAGATCCCTGAGGAATCACCACACTGACTTCCACAATGGTTGAACTAGTTTACAGTCCCACCAACAGTGTAAAAGTGTTCCTATTTCTCCACATCCTCTCCAGCACCTGTTGTTTCCTGACTTTTTAATGATCGCCATTCTAACTGGTGTGAGATGGTATCTCATTGTGGTTTTGATTTGCATTTCTCTGATGGCCAGTGATGATGAACCTTTTTTCATGTGTCTTTTGGCTGCATAAATCTCTTCTTTTGAGAAGTGTCTGTTCATGTCCTTCACCCACTTTTTGATGGTGTTGTTTGTTTTTTTCTTGTAAATTTGTTTGAGTTCTTTGTAGATTCTGGATATTAGTCCTTTGTCAGATGAGTAGGTTGCAAAAATTTTCTCCCATTTTGTAGGTTGCCTGTTCACTCTACTGGTAGTTTCTTTTGCTGTGCAGAAGCTCTTTAGTTTAATTAGATCCCATTTGTCAATTTTGGCTTTTGTTGCCATTGCTTTTGGTGTTTTAGACATGAAGTCCTTGCCCATGCCTATTTCCTGAATGGTAATGCCTAGGTTTTCTTCTAGGGTTTTTATGGTTTTAGGTCTAATATGTAAGTCTTTAATCCATCTTGAATTAATTTTTGTATAAGGTGTAAGGAAGGGATCCAGTTTCAGCTTTCTACATATGGCTAGCAGCTTTTCTAAGAGAGTCCGCCCCAGCATACCTCTGCCAAGTATTTATTGAAAGGGCTTGTTAAACAACAAACATCTACTAGATGGCTTTTTTGACATCGAGTAGTGAGACACCTGTGGCCTTATAAAAGCACTCAAACTGCATTCTCAGGAGGCTGTTTTCAGCGTTCCTTATCATACTACACATTCCACTCCCTGTCCTGTTTTTAAGGTCAAGAATTTTCATTCTTATGCACAAATAACATACACACGGTGCCTCAGCATTTTTCCATGCCCCGACCTAAAATGCCGTGTACGTAAGCTTGAATATGTTGCCATGCACCCCCCACAGAATATTAGAGTTTCACAGCAGCTTACCACCCCTCAGTAGAACCTGATCAAAGCTCCTTAACATGACCTGATTTGTTTCATTATAGCAGGCTTCTAACTTCCTCTCTAGTTTCCATTTTTGTCATTACCTGACCTTTATCACTCAGGTCTCAGCTTAAACATAACTTTCCCTAAGAGGCTTCCCCTAGACCTGTAGGTAATATTAATAACCACTCTTACTCCATAGTAAGTGTGGTTCTCAAACTTGGCCATGGACTGTAAACATTTGTGATCTTGTAAAAGTTTACTGAATCCTGAATTCACTGCACTCCTTCTCCTATGACTGCTCTGCGGGTACAGTCTAGGCATGGAGGTTTTGATCAACCTTCCAGATGTTTTTAATTTGCGACCACAGGCTGAGACTTACTGACCTAGCATAACATTTATAACAGAGGCATGAATTACTTGCTTAAACTTTTGTCTGCCCAAGAATAAAAGCACTATTATAACAGGGTGCATTTCTACTTTTGAATTCATTAGCCTCATAAAATATGTATGTGTCTGGCATTTAATAGAGTAGCACTTAATATTTGCTGAAAGAATGAAGAATAAGTATCTACATGTGACCAAAGGCTGGAAGCATGGTTATTACGTGTGCTATTTATAAAAACCCAGGGCAGTGCTCATGAAAGGAAAACAAGGCCTCTTACCTCAGTCATGTTGGAGAAGGGAAAGGAGCTTCTGTCATACACCCAGCCATTTACACATGATTCCGTGTCTGTCTCACCTATGTTGAGAAATGTCCCATTCAGGTGAAAGAGCTGCCATGGGATGGATGAAGTGATGACACTTCTCTGGCCTCAGGTTTGAGTTGACTGAGATTCTTGGGAGGGCACTCTGGCTGAGGGTGAATTTTCATCATGACCAAGTGGGATTTATCAAAGGGACGCAAGAATGGTTTAACATATGCAAATCAATCAATGTGATACATCATACCAAGAGAATGAAGGGCAAAAACCATATGATCATTTCCACTGCTGCTAGAAAAGCATATGATAAAATTCAACATTCCTTTATGATAAAAAGTCCTCGGATGAACTGACAGATGTAGGCTTCAGACGGTGGCTAATAACAGACTTTCCTGAGGTAAAGTAGCATGTTCTAACCCAATGCAAAAAAGCTAAGAACCAGGATAATAGGTTACAGGATCTGCTAACTAGAATAACTAGTTTAGAAAGGAACATAAATGACCTGATGGAGCTGAAAAACACAGCACAAGAACTTCATGAAGTATAAACAAGAATCAATGGCTGAATCAATCAAGTGGAAGGAATAATATAAGAGTTTGAAGACCATCATTATAAAATAAGGCAGCAGACAAGATTAGAGAAAAAAGAACCAAAAAGAATGAACAAAACCTGCAAGAATTATGAAACTATGTGAAAAGACGGAACCTACAACTGACTGGAGTACCTGAAAGAGACGGGAAGAATGGGACAAAATTGGAGAACACACTTCAGGATATCATCCAGGAGAACTTCCCCAACCTAGCAAGACAGACCAACTTTCAAATTCAGGAAACACAGAGAACCCCACTAAGATACTCCACAAGAAGATCAACCCCAAGACACATAATCATCAGATTCTCCCAAGTTGAAATGAAGGAAAAAACACTAAAGGCAGCCAGAGAGAAAGGCCAGGTTACCTACAAAGGAAAGCACATCAGGCTAAGAGTGGATCTCTCAGCAGAAACCCTACAAGCCAGAAGAGAGTGTGTGTGTTGGGGGCAGAGTGGGCAATATTCAACATTCTTTAAAAAAGAATTTTCAACACAGAATCTCATATGCTAACAAACTAAGCTTCATGAGCAAAGGAGAAATAAAATCCTTTTCAGGTAAGCAAATGCTGAGGGAATTCATCACCACCAGGCCTGCCTTGCAAGAGCTCCTGAAGGAAGCACTAAATATGAAAAGGAAAAACTGGTACCAGCCACTGCAAAAGACATAAAAATATACAGACCAATGACGTTATGAAGAAATGACATCAACTAGCATGCAAAATAACCAACTAGCATCATGATGACAAGATCAAATTCAAACATTACAATATTAACCATAAATGTAAATGGACTAAATGCCCCAATTAAAAGACACAGACTAGCAAATTGGATAAGGAGTCAAGACTCATCGGTGTGTTGTATTCAAAAGACCCATCTTACATGCAAAGACACACAGGCTCAAAATAAACAGATTGAGGAAAATTTACCAAGCAAATGGAAAGCAGAAAAAAGCAGGGATTGCAATCCTAATTTCTGATAAAACCAGAACGTTACATAATGGCAAAGGGATCAATTCAGCAAGAAGAACTAACTATCCTAAATAGTTAGTTAATATACTAAATATATGCACCTAATACAGGAGCACCCAGATTTACAAAACAAGTTCTCAGAGACCTACAGACTTAGACTCATACACAATAAAAGTGGGAGATTTTAACACCCCATTATGAATATTAGACAGATCACTGAGACAGAAAATTAACAAGGATATTCAGGACTTGAACTCAGCTCTGGAGCAAGAGGACCTAAGAGATATCTACAGAACTCTCCACCCAAAAACAACAGAATATACATTCTTCTCAGTGCTACATGGAACTTACTCTAAAATCGACCACATAATAGGAAGTAAAACACTCCTCAGCAAATGCAAAATAACTGAAATCATAACAAACGGTCTTTCAGATCACAGTGGAATCAAATTGGAACTCAAGATTAAAAAACTCACTCAAAACCACACAAGTACATGGAAATTGAACAACAGGCTCCTGAATGACTGCTGGGTTAAAAATGAAATTAAAGCAGAAATCAAGAAGTTCTATGAAACCAACAACAACAACAAAGAGACAATGTACCAGAATCTCTGGGACACAGCTAAAGCAGTGTCATGAGGAAAATTTATGGCACTAAATGCCCACATCAGAAAGCTAGAAATACCTGAAATCAACATCCTAACATCACAATTAAAAGAACAAGAGAAGCAAGAGCAAACAAAGCCAAGAGCTAGGGGAATACAAGAAATAACTAAGATCAGAGCAGAACTGAAAGAGATAGAGACATGAAAACCCCTTCAAAAATCAGTGAATTGGAGGGTGGAGCCAAGATGGCCAAATAGGAACAGCTCCAGTCTACAGCTCCCAGCCTGAGCAACACAGAAGACGAGTGATTTCTGCATTTCCAACTGAGGTACTGGGTGCATCTCAGTGGGGATTATCAGACATTGGGTGCAGGATAGTGGGTGTAGTGCACCGAGGGTGAGCCAAAGCAGAGCAAGGCATCGCCTCAACCAGGATGCACAGGGAGTCAGGGAATTCCCTTTCCAAGCCAAAAACAGGGGTGACAGATGGCACCTGGAAAATCAGGTCACTCCCACCCTAATACTGGGCTTTTCTGATGGTCTTAGCAAATGGGACACCAGGAGATTGTATCCCACACATGGCTCAGAGGGTCCTACACCAATGAAGCCTCCCTTATTGTTAGCACAGCAGTCTCAGATCAAACTGCAAGGCGGCAGCAAGACTGGGGGAGGGGTGCCTGCCATTGCTGAGGCTTGAGTAGGTAACCAAAGCAGCTGGGAAGCTCGAACTCTGTGGAGCCCACCGCAGCTCAATGAGGCCTGCCTGCCTCTGTAGACTCCACCTCTGGGGGCAGGGCATAGCCAAACAGAAGGCAGCAGAAACCTCTGCAGACTTAAATGTCCCTGTCTAACAGCTTGGAAGAGAGTAGTGGTTCTCCCAGCATGCAGCCTGAGATCTGAGAACAGAGAGACTGCCTCCTCAAGTGGGTCCCTGAGCCCCAAGTAGCCTAACTGGGAGGCATCCCCCAGTAGGGGCAGACTGACACCTCACACGGCTGGGTACTCCTCTGAGACAAAACTTGCAGAGGAATGATCAGGCAGCAACATTTGCTGTTCACCAATATCCGCTGTTCTGCAGCCTCTGCTGCTGAAACCCAGGCAATCAGGTTCTGGAGTGGACCTCCAGCAAACTCCAACAGACCTGCAGCTGAGGGCCCTGACTGCTAGAAGGAAAACTAACAAACAGAAAGGACATCCACACCAAAACCCCATCTGTATGTCACCATCATCAAAGACCAAAGGTAGATAAAGCCACAAAGATGGGGAAAAGACAGAGAGAAAAACTGGAAACTCTGAAAATCAGAGCACCTCTTCCCCTCCAAAGGAAAGCAGCTCCTTGCCAGCAACAGAACAAAGCTGGATGGAGAGTGACTTTGACAAGTTGAGAGAAGAAAGCTTCAAATGATCAAACTTCTCTGAGCTAAAGGACGAAGTTCGATCCCATTGCAAAGAAGCTAAAAACCTTGAAAAAAGATTAGGTGAATGGCTAACTAGAATAATCAATGCAGAGAAGTCCTTAAAGGACCTGATGGAGCTGAAAACCATGGCACGACAACTACGTGACAAATGCACAAGCCTCAGTAGCCGATTCAATCAACTGGAAGAAAGGGTATCAGTGATGGAAGATCAAAAGAATGAAATGAAGTGAGAAGAGAACAAACCTGCACGTTGTGCACATGTACCCTAAAACTTAAAGTATAATAATAATAAAATTAAAAAAAAAGAATGAAAAGAAATGAATAAATTCTCTGAGAAATATGGGACTATGTGAAAAGACCAAATCTACGTCTGATTGGTGTACCTGAAAGTCACGGGGACAATGGAACCAACTTGGAAAACACTCTGCAGGATATTATCCAGGAGAACTTCCCCAATCTAGCAAGTCAGGTCAACATTGAGATTCAGGAAATACAGAGAACACCACAAAGATACTCCTTGAGAAGAGCAACTCCAAGACACATAATTGTCAGAATCATCAAAGTTGAAATGAAGGAAAAAATGTTAAGGGCAGCCAGAGAGAAAGGTCGGGTTACCCACAAAGGGAAGCCCATCAGACTAACAGCAGATCTCTCGGCAGAAACTCTACAAGCCAGAAGAGAGTGGGGGCCAATATTCAACATTCTTCAAGAAAAGAATTTTCAACCCAGAATTTCATATCCAGCCAAACTAAGCTTCATAAGTGAAGGAGAAATAAAATCCTTTACAGAAAAGCAAATGCTGAGAGATTTTGTTACCACCATGCCTGCCCTACAAGAACTGAAGGAAGCATTGAGCATGGAAAGGAAAAACTGGTACCAGACCCTGCAAAGATGCCAAATTGTAAAGACCGTCAAGGCTAGGAAGAAACTGCATTAACTAATGAGCAAAATAACCAGCTAACATCATAAAGACAGGATCAAATTCACACATAACAATATTAACCTTAAATGTAAATGGGCTAAATGTTCCAATTAAAAGTCACAGACTGGCAAATTGGATAAAGAGTCAAGAAGCATAAGTGTGCTGTATTCAGGAAACCCATCTCATATGCAGAGACACATATAGGCTTAAAATAAAGACATGGAGGAAGATCTACCAAGCAAATGGAAAACAAAAAAAGGCAGGGGTTGCAATCCTAGTCTCTGATAAAACAGACTTTAAACCAACAAAGATCAAAAGAGACAAAGAAGGCCATTACATATTGGTAAAGGGATCAATTCAACAAGAAGAGCTAACTATTCTAAATATATATGCACCCAATACCGGAGCACCCAGATTCATAAAGCAAGTCCTTACAGACCTAGAAAGAGACTTAGACTCCCACACAATAATAATGGGAGACTTTAACACCCAACTGTCAACATTAGACAGATCAACGAGACAGAAAATCAACAAGGATACCCAGGAATTGAACTCAGCTCTGCACCAAGTGGATCTAATAGACATCTACAGAACTCTCCACCCCAAATCAACAGAATATACATTCTTCTCAGCACCACACTGCACTTATTCCAAAATTGACCACATAGTTGGAAGTAAAGCACTCCTCAGCAAATGTAAAAGAACAGAAATTATAACAGTCTCTCAGACCACAGTGCAATCAAACTAGAACTCAGGATTAAGAAACTCACTCAAAACTGCTCATCTACATGGAAAATGAACAACCTGCTCCTGAATGACTACTGGGTACATAATGAAATGAAGGCAGAAATAAAGATGTTCTTTGAAAGCAATGAGAACAAAGACACAACATACCAGAATCTCTGGGACACATTCAAAGAAGTGTGTAGAGGGAAATTTATAGCACTAAATGCCCACAAGAGAAAGCAGGAAAGATCTAAAATTGACACCCTAGCATCACAATTAAAAGAACCAGAGAAGCAAGAAAAAACACATTCAAAAGCTAGCAGAAGGCAAGAAATAACTAAGTTCAGAGCAGAACTGAAGGATGTAGAGACACAAAAAACCCTTCAAAAAATCAATGAATCCAGGAGCTGGTTTTTTGAAAAGATCAACAAAATTGATAGACCGCTAGCAAGACTAATAAAGAAGAAAAGAGAGAAGAATCAAATAGACGCAATAAAAAATGATAAAGGGGATAACACCACCGATCCCACAGAAATACAAAGTACTATCAGAGAATACTATAAACACCTCTATGCAAATAAACTAGAAAATCTAGAAGAAATGGATAAATTCCTGGACACATATACCCTCCCAAGACTAAACCAGGAAGAAGTTGAGTCTCTGAATAGACCAATAACAGGCTCTGAAATTGAGGCTATAATTAATAGCTTACCAACCAAAAAAAGTCCAGGACCAGATGGATTCACAGCCGAATTCTACCAGAGGTACAAAGAAGAGCTGGTACCATTCCTTGTGAAACTATTCCAGTCAATAGAAAAAGTGGGAATCCTCCCTAACTCATTTTATGAGGCCAGCATCATCCTGATGCCAAAGACTGGCAGAGACACAACAAAAAAGAGAATTTTTGACCAATATCCCTGATGAATATCAGTGCAAAAATCCTCAATAAAATACTGGCAAACCGAATCCAGCAACACATCAAAAAACTTATCCACCATGATCAAATGGGCTTCATCCCTGGGATGCAAGGCTGGTTCAACACACGCAAATCAATAAACATAATCCAGCATATAAGCAGAACCAATGACAAAAACCACATGATTATCTCAATAGATGCAGAAAAGGCCTTTGACAAAATTCAACAGCCCTTCATGCTAAAAACTCAATAAATTAGGTATTGATGGGACATATCTCAAAATAATAAGAGCTATCTATGACAAACCCACAGCCAATATCGTATGAATGGGCAAAAACTGGAAGCATTCCCTTTGAAAACTGGCACAAGACAGGGATGCCTTCTCTCACCACTCCTATTCAACATAGTGTTGGAAGTTCCGGCCAGGGCAATCAGGCAGGAGAAGGAAATAAAGGGTATTCAATTAGAAAAAGAGGAAGTCAAATTGTCCCTCTTTGCAGATGACATGATTGTATATCTAGAAAACCTCATCGTCTCAGCCCCAAATCTCCTTAAGCTGATAAACAACTTCAGCAAAGTCTCAGGATACAAAATCAATGTGCAAAAATCACAAGTATTCTTATACACCAATAACAGACAAACAGCCAAATCATGAGTGAACTCCCATTCACAATTGCTTCAAAGAGAGTAAAATACCTAGGAATCCAACTTCCAAGGGATGTGAAGGACCTCGTCAATGAGAACTACAAACCACTGCTCAAGGAAATAAAAGAGGATACAAACAAATGGAAGAACATTCCATGCTCATGGGTAGGAAGAATCAATATCGTGAAAACGGCCATATTGCCCAAGGTCATTTATAGATTCAATGCCATCCCCATCAAGCTACCAATGACTTTCTCCACAGAATTGGAAAAAACTTCTTTAAAGTTCGCATGGAACCAAAAAAGAGCCCACATTGCCAAGTCAATCCTAAGCCAAAAGAACAAAGCTGGAGGAATCACGCTACCTGACTTCAAACTATACTACAAGGCTACAGTCACCAAAACAGTTTTGGTACTGCTACCAAAACAGAGATATAGACCAATGGAACAGAACAGAGCCCTCAGAAATAATGCCACACATGTACAAATATCTGATCTTTGACAAACCTGACAAAAATAGGAAATGGGGAAAGGATTCCCTATTTAATAAATGGTGCTGGGAAAACTGGCTAGCCATATGCAGAAAGCTGAAACTGGATCTCTTCCTTATACCTTATACAAAAATTAATTCAAGATGGATTAAAGACTTAAATGTTAGACCTAAAACCATAAAAACCCTAGAAGAAAACCTAGGCAATACCATTCAGGACATACGCATGGGCAAGGACTTCATATCTAAAACACCAAAAGCAATGGCAACAAAAGCCAAAATTGACAAATGGGATTTAATTAAACTAAAGAGCTTCTGCACAGCAAAAGAAACTACCATCAGAGTGAACAGGCAACCTACAGAATGGGAGAAAATTTTTGCAATCTACTCATCTGACAAAGGGCTAATATCCAGAATCTACAAAGAACTCAAACAAATTTACAAGAAAAAAACAATCAAACCCATCAACACGTGGGCGAAGGATATGAACAGACACTTCTCAAAAGAAGACATTTATGCAGCCAACAGACACATAGAAAAATGCTCATCATCACTGGCCATCAGAGAAATGCAAATCAAAATCACAATGCCATACCATCTCACACCAGTTAGAATGGCGATCATTAAAAAGTCAGGAAACAACAGGTGCTGCAGAGGATATGGAGAAATAGGAACACTTTTACACTGTTGGTGGGACTGTAAACTAGTTCAACCATTGTGGAAGTCAGTGTGGCGATTCCTCAGGCATCTAGAACTGGAACTACCATTTGACCCAGCCATCCCATTACTGGGTATATACCCAAAGGATTATAAAACATGCTGCTATAAAGACACATGCACACGTATGTTTATTGTGGCACTATTCACAATAGCAAAGACTTGGAACCAACCCAAGTGTGCAACAATGATAGACTGGGTTATGAAAATGTGGCACATATACACCATGGAATACTACACAGCCATAAAAATGATGAGTTCATGTCCTTTGTAGGGACATGGATGAAGCTGGAAACCATCATTCTCAGCAAACTATCGCAAGGACAAAAAACCAAACACTGCATGTTCTCACTTATAGGTGGGAACTGAACAATGAGAACACATGGACACAGGAGGGGAACATCACACACCGGGGCCTGTTGTGGGGTGTGGGGAAGGGGAAGGATAGCATTAGGAGATATGCCTAATGTAAATGACAAGTTAATGGGTGCAGCACACCAACATGGCATATGTATACATATGTAAGAAACCTGCACGTTGTGCACATGTACCCTAAAACTTAAAGTATAATAAAAAGAAATTAAATAAATAAATAAATGTGGTTAAAGTATAAAAAAATGAACAGTGCATTCTCAAAGGATGTCTCCTTATTTTTATGATAGAATATATATTGAGCAGAAAGTTTCTTAATTCAGTAAGACCCCTTGACAAGCTCATATGTATTGGTATTTCTATTGGTACTTTATAAAGTCACATTTTTATTTATATGTTAATAGTGTCCATTATTAGAATATCTAATTTATAATAAAATAATAGTTGGCAACATAAGAAAAAAAAATGAATGGTTCTCAAGAGACACAGGGCCAGAAATTAAAACTACTCAATCCCTCTAGGCCCAGGCACTATCATGGAAGATGTGGGCATGTGAGATTATAAGGGTCAATACTGAGTGATAAAATTACTTCAGAGTTTTTCTATAAATTAAACAGGAACATCAAAAGCACACTTATGCAAGGCCAGCATCTGGGCCCCTGTATCAGTTTAGCAAGGTTTTCATGGTGCATTGATCTGTTCTTTTATTTTTAAATTTTTATTGTAAAGCTTATTCATCTTTTGCTTTAATGTCAGTTTTTTTTTTGGTCTTCTTGTTTGCGAAGTTATATGTGTTTATCACAGAAACTCTAGAAATACAGAAAGAATGAATATCATATAATTCTGCCACCCAAAGAAAACCATGGTTAGCACATTGTTTGATCATTTTTAATGGTATATATATGTGGCATGACATTTCCTTTAGGAATGAAGGATCATAGTTGTACACACACAAACATTTAGTGACAGAGAGATGAACAAATGTTCTCTACTGTTAGGGAGTCTGTAGCTTGCTAAGTCAGAAACATGCAAGTTTATAAATATGTGCAATAAAGTGTTATAGTCTGTTGATAGAAGAATGTACAGGATAGAGTAGATGCCAAAGGAGGAGTGGTCATTTTTACCTGGGTGGGCCAGAAAATGCATCATCAAGGAGATGCCATGAGCTAAGCATGTGGGAAGAAGGGAGAACAAGCTCATCCAAAGGCCCCAGAGGCACCAAAATTTGTGGTGGTCAGAGAACTGAAAATTGTTTAATGCAGCCAGAATGTGGGTTGGTGGCAGGGGGAAGGTGAGGTACAATAAGAGAAAAGCCATGAAGCTGAGATATAAACTATCAGATGGTTTCAGGCTGGCCTCTTTTCCTAAATTGTTGTCTCTACCTTTCCTCAGGCACTTCTGTCTTGACAGTGTCATCTTGTGGCAATACTATCAGCCAGGGTAGACGGAACTCTTGAGGAAGTACAAACAAAACATAACACTTTGACAGTCTTTCTTCATTATGAGATAATGAGTTATTTTGTTTCCTTAACACTTGGCTGAAAAATCTGCTCCTGCTTTAGACTTCAACCAGGAAGAAATTACAGGATTTAGTTAGAAAAATGGATCCAAATGAGCTGCTAGATGAAGATGTGGAAGAGGTGGGGTTGTGGCCCCAAGAGCCAGGATATCATGGTGATTAAGGGCACAAATTTTATTTATTTGTTTATTTATTTTCTTTAAGTTCTGGGATACATGTGCCGAGCACGCATGTTTGTTACATAGGTACACATGTGCCATGGTGATTTGCTGCACCTATCAACCTGATATCTAGGTTTTAATCCCTGCATGCATTAACTATTTGTCCTGATGTTCGGCCTCCCCTTGACCCTCTCTGACAGGCCCTGGTTCGCATTGTTCCCCTCCTTGTGTCCATGTGTTCTCATTGTTCAACTCCCACTTATGAGTGAGAATATACAGTATTTGGTTCTCTGTTCCAGTGTTAGTTTGCTGAGGATAATGGCTTTCAGCTTCATCCATGTCCCTGCAAAGGACATGAACTCATTCCTTTTTATGGCTGCATAGTATTCTATGCAGTATATGTACACATTTTCTTTATCCAGTCTATCATTGATGGGCATTTGGGTTGGTTACATGTCTTTGCTATTGTGAATAGTGCCACAATAAACAAATGGGTGCATGTGTCTTTATTGTAGAGTGATTTATATTCCTTTGGGCATATACCAAGTAATGACATTGCTGGGTCAAATGGCATTTCTGGTTCTAGATCCTTGATAAATCACCAAACTGTCTTCCACAATGGGTGAACTAATTTACATTCTCACCAAGAGTGTAAAAGCATTCTTAGTTCTCCACAGCCTCACCAGCATCTGTTGTTTCTTGCCTTTTTAATAATCATCATTCTGTCTGGCATGAGATGATATCTAATTGTGGTTTTCATTTGCATTTTTCTAATGATCATTAATGTTGAGCTTTTTATCATATGTTTTTGGCCACATAAATATCTTCTTTTTTGAAGCATCCATTTATATCCTTTACCCACTTTTTCATAGGGTTGTTTGGTTTTTTCTTGTAAGTTTGTTTAAGCTCCTTGTATATCCTAGATATTAGACCTTTGTCAGGTGGGTAGTTGCAAAAATTTTCTCCCATTCTCTAGGTTGCCTGTTTGCTCTGATGGTAGTTTCTTTTGCTGTGCAGAAGCTCTTTAGTTTAATTTGATCCCATTTGTCAATTTTGGCTTTTGTTTCTATTGCTTTTGGTGTTTTAATCATGAAGTCTTTGCCCATGCCTTTGTCCTGAATGATATCACCTAGGTTTTCTTCTAGGGTTTTTATGGTTCTGGGTTTTATATTAAAGTCTTTAATCCATCTTGAGTTAACTTTTGTATAAGGTGTAAGGAAGTGGTCCAGTTTCAGTTTTCTGCATATGGCTAGCCAGTTTTCCCAGTACCAATTATCAAGTAGGGAATCCTTTCCCCATTGCTTGTTTTTGTCAGGTTTGTCAAAGATCAGACAGTTGTATATGTGTGGCCTTATTTCTGAGGTCTCTATTCTGTTCCATTGGTCTATATGTCTGTTTTTGTACCAGTACTGTGCTGTTTTGGTTATTGTAGCCTTGTAGTATAGTTTGAAGTCAAATAGCGTGATGCCTCTAGTTTTGTTCTTTTTGCTTAGAATTGTCTTGCTTATATGGGCTTTTTCTGGTTCCATGTAATTTTTAAAGTAGTTTTTTCTACTGCTGTGAAGAATGTCAATAGTAGTTTGGAGCAGTATTTATTCTATAAATTATTTTGGGAAGTACGGCCATTTTCGCAATATCGATTCTTTCTATCCATGAGGCTGGAATACTTTCCCATTTGTTTGTGTCCCCTCTTATTTCCTTGAGAAGTGGTTTGTAGTTCTCCTTGAAAATGTCCTTCACGTCCCTTGTTAGCTGCATTCCTAAGTATTTTATTCTCTTTGTAGCAATTGTGAATGGGAGTTCATTTACGATTTGGCTCTCTGCTTGTCTATTTTTTGTGTATAGAAATGCTTGTGATTTTTGCACATTGATTTTGTATCCTGAGACTTTGCTAACATTCCTTATTAGTTTAAGTTGTTTTTGGGGTGAGACAATGGGGTTTTCTAAATGTAGGATTATGTCATCTGCAAAGAGAGACAATTTGACTTCCTCTCTTCCTATTTGAATACTCTTTATTTCTTTCTCTTGCCCAATTGTCTTGACCAGAACTTCCTATACTACATTGAATAGGAGTGGTGAAAAAGGGCCTCCTTGTCTTGTGCTGGTTTTCAAAGGGAATGCTTCCAACTTTTGCCCATTCAGTATGATATTGGCTGTGGGTTTGTCATACATATCTGTTATTATTTTGAGAGGTGTTCCATAAATACCTAGTATATTGAATGATTTTAACAAGAAGGGATGTTGAATTTTATTGATGCTCTTTTCTGCCTCTATTGAGATAATCATGTGGTTTTTGCCATTGGTTCTGTTTATGTGATGGATTACATTTATTGATTTGTGTATGTTAAACCAGTCTTGTATCCCAGGGACAAAGCCAGTTTGATCATGGTGAATAAGCTTTTTGATGTTCTGCTGGATTTGGTTTGCCAGTGTTTTGTTGAGGATTTCCACATTAAGGTTCATCATGGATATTGGCCTGAAATTTTCTTTTTTTGTTGTGTCTTGCCAAGGTCTGGTATCAGGATGATGCTGGCCTCATAAAATGAGTTAGGGAGGATCCCCTCTTTTTCTATTGTTTACAATAGTTTCAGAAAGAATGGTACCAGCTCCTCTTTGTACCTCTGGTAGAATTTGGCTGTAAATCTGTCTGGTCCTTGGCTTTTTTGTTGTTGTTATTGTTGCTAGACTATTTATTACTGCCTCAATATCAGAACTCATTATTGGTCAATTCAGGGATTCAATTTCTTCCTGGTTTAGTCTTGGGAGGGTGCATGTGTCCAGGAATTTGCCCATTTCTTCTGAATTTCTAGTTTATTTTCATAGAGGTGTTTATAGTATTCTCTGATGGTTGTTTGTATTTCAATGGGGTCAGTGGTGATAGCCCCTTCATCATTTTTATTGTGTTTATTTACATCTTCTCTGTTCTACTTTATTAGTCTACCTAGTGTTGTATCTATTTTGTTAATTTTTTCAAAGAACCAGCTCTGGGATTTATTGATTTTTGAAGGGTTTTTCATGTCTCTATCTCCTTCGGTTCTGCTCTGATCTTAGTTATTTCTTGTCTCCTCCTAGCTTTTGACTTTGTTTGCTCTTGTTTCTCTAGTTCTTTTCATTGTGATGTTAGAGTGTCTATTTGAGATCTTTCCAGCTTTCTGGTGTGGGCATTTAGTGCTATAAATTTCCCTCTTAATACTGCTTAACTGCATCCCAGAGATTTGGTACATTGTCTCTTTGTTCTCATTGGTTTCAAAGAACTTCTTGAGTTATGCCTTAATTTCTTTTTTACCCAGGAGTCATTCAGAAGCAAGTTGTTCAATTTCCATGAGTTGTGTGGTTTTGAATGAGTTTCTTAACCCTGAGGTCTAATTTGATTGCACTGTAACCTGAGAGAAGGTTTTTTACGTTTTCAGTTCTTTTATATTTGCTGAGGAGTGTTTTACTTCCAATTATGTGGTTGATTTTAGAGTAATTGCCATGTGGCACTGATAAGAATGTATATTCTGTTGGTTTTGGGTGGAGAGTTCTGTAGATATCTATTAGGTCCACCTGATCCAGAGTTGAGTTAAAGTCCTGAATATTATTATTAATTTCCTGTTTCATTGATCTTTCTGATATTGACAGTGGGGTGTTAAAGTGTTCCACTATTATTGTGTGGGAGTCTAAGTCTCTTTGTAGGTTTCTAAGAACCTGCTTTATGAATCTGGGTGCTCCTGTATTGGATGCATATATATTTAGGAAAGTTAGCTTTTCTTGGTAAATTTTTCCTGCACTCTTTATTTTGAGTCTATGTGTGTCTTTGCACATGAGATGGGTCTCTTGAATACAGTACACTGATGGTTCTTGACTCTATCCAATTAGCCAGTCTGTGCCTTTTAATTGGGGCATTTAGCCTACTTACATTAAAGGTTAATATTGTTATGTGTGAATTTGATCGTGTCATCACGATGCTAGCTGGTTATTTTGCACACTAGTTGATGACATTCTTTATAATGTCATTGGTCTTTATATTTTCTTGTCTTTCGCTGTGGCTGGTACCAGGTTTTCCTTTTCGTATTTATTGCTTCCTTCAGGAGCTCTTACAAGACAGGCCTAGTGGTGATAAATTCCCTCAGCATGTGCTTATCTGAAAAGGATTTCATTTCTGCTTTGCTTATAAATCTTGGTTTGGCAATATATGAAATTCTGGGTTGAAAATTCTTTTTTTTAAGAATGTTGAATATTGGCCCTCCCTCTCTTCTGGCTTGTAAGGTTTCTGCTGAGAGATCTACTATTAGTCTGACGGGATGGGCTTTCCTTTGTAGGTAACCTGGCCTTTTTCTCTGGCTGCCATTAACATTTTTTCCTTCATTTTGACCTTGGAGAATCTGTTATTATGTGTCTTGGGATTGATCTTCTCATGGAGTATCTTAGTGGGCTTCTCTTGATAGGTTGGGAAAATTCTCCTGTATAATATGCTGAAGTTTGTTTTCCAACTTGGTTCCATTCTTCCAATCTCTTTCAGGCATGCCAATCAATCATAGTTTCAGTCTTTTTATATAGTTCCTTATTTCTCAGAGGTTTTGTTCATTCCTTTTCAATCTTTTTTGTCTAACCTTGTCTGCCTGCCTATTTCAGCAAGATAGTCTTCAGACTCTCATATTCCCTCTTCCACTTGATTGATTCAGGTATTAATACATGTGTATGACTCACAAAGTTCTTGTGTTGCATTTTTCAGCTCCATCTGGTCATTATGTTCCTCTCTAAACTGGTTATTCTAGTTAGCAGCTCCTCTAACTTTTTATCAAGGTTCTTAGCTTCTTTGCATTGAGTTAGAACATGCTCCTTTACCTCAGTCAAGTTTTTTATTACCCACTTTCTGAAGCCTACTTTTGTCAATTCATCCATTTCATCCTCTGTCCAGGTCTGCGCCCTTTCTGGAGAGGTGTTGCAATCATTTGGAAGTGAAGAGGCACACAGTCCTTTTCGGTTTTCAGCATTTTTTCATTGATTCTTTCTCATCTTCATGAATTTGTCTAGTTTTGATCTTTGAGGCTGCTGATTCTTGGATGAGGTTTTTGTGGAAACTTTTTTATTGATATTGTTGTTGCTTTCTGTTTGTTTTTCTTTCAGTAATCAGGTACCTCTTTTGTGGGACACCTATGGTTTGCTGGGGCTTCACTTCAGACTATATTCATCTGGTTTGTTCTTGTGCCGGGAGATGTCACTTGAGGAGGCTGGAGAACAGCAAAGATGGGTGCCTCCTCCTTCTTGAGATATCTGACCTCAAGGGGCACTGATCTCTTGCCAGTAGGAACATTTCTGTATAAGATGTCTGACAACCCCTTTTGGGGGGCCTGGGATTTCTGATCTCAAGGGGCACTGACCTGATGTCAGTAGAAACATTCTTGTATAGATATCTGACAACACTTGTTGGGGGTTCTCACCCAGTTGGGTGGCATGGAAATCAGGACCCATTTAATGAAGCACTTTTGGCTGTCCTCTGGTGGAGGAGGTGTTCTTCACTTGGGGGAATCCTACTCATCTAGACTGCCCCGATTCCTCAGAGCTAACGGAGGAAAGACTAAGTCTGCTGGTCTGCATAGACTACAGCCATACCTCCCCTTAGGGACTCAGGCCCCGGGAGATTAGAGTTCTGTCCCTGAGTCCCTGGCTAGAGTTGGAGTTCCTGCAGGGAGGCCCCAAAGCCACAGTGTTGACTGCCACCCCTCCCCCAAGGAGCTCAGCTGGATTACACAGGAGGCAGCCACAGCAGTGGCTATGGTAATAACAAAGTTGACTGAGCTAAAGGAGCATGTTCTAACCCAATGCAAAGAAGCTAAGAACGTTGATAAAAAGTTAGAGGAGCTGCTAACTAGAATAACCAGTTTAGAGAGGAACATAAATGACCAGATGGAGTTGAAAAATGAGCACAAGAACTTTGTGAGGCATACGCATGTATTAATACCTGAATCAATCAAGTGGAAGAGAGAATATCAGAGTTTGAAGACTATCTTGCTGACATAGGCAGGCAGACAAGGTTAGAGAGAAAAGATTGAAAAGGAATGAACAAAACCTCTGAGAAATATGGAGAGTTCAGAGTTCAGCCACCATAAACTCTGCAGGCTTAGGCTGATTCTAGCTGACTGGCTGTTGAGATTCTGCATGGCTCCTTGTTGGGACTCAAGGCCCTGGTGGTGTGGGCTCATGAGTGGAATCTTCCAATCCATGGGTTGCACAGTTTTGTGAAAAAAGCAGTTTTCCAGGCTGGATAACATGCTCACTCACCACCTCCCTTGGCTGGGGGTAGGGGTTCCCCTGCCCTGTGTGGCTCTCAGGTGGGCCATTGCACCACACTGCTCTTCCTTCCTTTCCGTGGATCATGCCAGGCACCTAGTCAGCCCTAATGACAAAACCTGGATACTTTGGTTGCTGGTGCAGGATTCGCATGCTGTTTTGGATCTTTCTGATGGGAGCCTCCAATCACCACTGCTTCTAGTCAGCCATCTTGGCTCCATCCCCCCAATCTGCTCTTCAACAGCAATTGTAAAAGGTCATTAAAAGTTTATGGAAATATTATGGTCAAACCAATTAAAATTAGATACAGTTGTTTATAAGGATTTATTAAAATTAGTTTTAACAATAATACACCATACAATAGTAAAATTTAGTTTTCTCTTTTTAAAACATTTTTAGGTAATATTAATAAGAGATGGTTCTGCTGTGATTTATCTTTGGTGGAAGTAGGAAACTGAAGAGAGAAATATTGTATTCCTGAAGAAAATTGTAGTATTAGATTAACCGTTGATTCCTGAGTGGCTAAGTGGTCACCCTTGGTGTGAAGTTGTCTATAATGCCCCTCCTTACCATGAAGCAGCCAGAAAGATCAATAACCAGATTCCCAATGATTGAGGAGCTGATAGATAAAATGGTCGGGGGGGGGGGACTGAAACTGGCCCAATTGTCCCATAGAACTGATGTTTATAGTTTCTTTGAATAAACGTAGAAATTGATCATCCCAGTTTTTTTTATGTTAAATGTAGAGTTTAATTGAGCCCAAAGCTTGAGGATGGCCACCCAGCAATACTGATTCAAGCTGCCCTGAATATGCACTCCTATTAGCAGCAGTTACAAGTGGGGTGGGTCTTTCTTTCTTTCTTTCTTTCTTTCTTTCTTATCACTCTTTCTCTCTCTCTCCCTCTCTTTCTTTCTTTCTTTCTTTCTTTCTTATCACTCTCTCTCTCTCTCCCTCTCCTTCTTTCTTTCTTTCTTTCTTTCTTTCTTTCTTTCTTTCTTTCTTTCTTTCTTTCTTTCTTTCTTTTTCTTTCCTTCTTTCTTTCTTTTCTTTTTCTTTTCGAGACAGATCTTGCTCTGTTGCCCAGGCTGGAGTGCAATGGTGCCTTCACACCTCACTGCGGCCTCGACATCCCTGGTTCAAGTGATCCTCCTTTTTCACTTCACCCTCCGGAGTAGCTGGGACTACAGGGGCACACCATCATGCCTGGTTATTTTTTTTAATTTTATTATTATTATACTTTAAGTTTTAGGGTACATGTGCACAATGTGCAGGTTTGTTACATATGTATACATGTGCCATGTTGGTGTGCTGCACCCATTAACTCATTTACATTAGGTATATCCCCTAATGCTATCCTTCCCCCTCCCCACAGCCCACAACAGTCTCTGGTGTGTGACATTCCCCTTCCTGTGTCCATGTGTTCTCATTGTTCAATTCCTATCTATGAGTGAGAACATGCGGTGTTTGGTTTTTTGTCCTTGTGATAGTTTACTGAGAATGATGATTTCCAATTTCATCCATGTCCCTACAAAGGACATGAACTCATCATTTTTTATGGCTGCATAGTATTCCATGGTGTATATGTGCCATATTTTCTTAATCCAGTCGATCATTGTTGGACATTTAGGTTGGTTCCAAGTCTTTGCTACTGTGAATAGTGCCACAATAAACATACGTGTGCATGTGTCTTTATAGCAGCATGTTTTATAATCCTTTGGGTATATACCCAGTAATAGGATGGCTGGGTCAAATGGTATTTCTAGTTCTAGATCCCTGAGGAATCGCCACACTGACTTCCAAAATGGTTGAACTAGTTTACAGTCCCACCAACAGTGTAAAAGTGTTCCTATTTCTCCACATCCTCTGCAGCACCTGTTGTTTCCAGACTTTTTAATGATCGCCTTTCTAACTGGTGTGAGATGGTATCTCATTGTGGTTTTGATTTGCATTTCTCTGATGGCCAGTGATGATGAGCATTTTTTCATGTGTTTTTTGGCTGCATAAATGTCTTCTTTTGAGAAGTGTCTGTTCATATCCTTCACCCACTTTTTGATGGGGTTGTTTGTTTTTTTCTTGTAAATTTGTTTGAGTTCATTGTAGATTCTGGATATTAGCCCTTTGTCAGATGAGGAGGTTGCAAGCATTTTCTCCCATTCTGTAGGTTGCCTGTTCACTCTAATGGTAGTTTCTTTTGCTGTGCGGAAGCTCTTTAGTTTAATTAGATCCCATTTGTCAATTTTGGCTTTTGTTGCCATTGCTTTTGCTCTTTTAGACATGAAGTCCTTACCCATGCCTATGTCCTGAATGGTATTGCCTAGGTTTTCTTCTAGGGTTTTTATGGTTTTAGGTCTAACATTTAAGTCTTCAATCCATCTTGAATTAATTTTTGTATAAGGTGTAAGGAAGGGATCCAGTTTCAGCTTTCTACATACAGCTAGCCAGTTTTCCCAGCACCATTTATTAAATAGGGAATCCTTTCCCCATTGCTTGTTTTTCTCAGGTATGTCAAAGATCAGATAGTTGTAGATACGTGGCATTATTCTGAGGGCTCTGTTCTGTTCCACCGGTCTATATCTCTGTTTTGATACCAGTACTATGCTGTTTGGTGACTGTAGCCTTGCAGTAGAGTTTGAAGTCAGGTAGCATGATACCTCCAGCTTTGTTCTTTTGGCTTAGGATTGACTTGGCAATGCAGGCTCTTTTTTGGTTCCATATGAACTTGAAAGTAGTTTTTTCCAATTGTGTGAAGAAAGTCATTGGTAGCTTGATGGGGATGGCATTGAATCCATAAATTACCTTGGGCAGTATGGCCATTTTCACGATATTGATTCTTCGTACCCATGAGCATGGAATATTCTTCCATTTGTTTGTATCCTCTTATTTCATTGAGCAGTGGTTTGTAGTTCTCCTTGAAGAGGTCCCTCACATCCCTTGTAAGTTGGATTCCTAGTATTTTATTCTCTTTGAAGCAATTGTGAATGGGAGTTCACTCATGATTTGGCTCTGTTTGTCTGTTATTGGTGTATAAGAATGCTTGTGATTTTTGTACATGATTTTGTATCCTGAAACTTTGCTGAAGCTGCTTATCAGCTTCAGAAGATTTTGGGCTGAGACAATGGGGTTTTCTAGATATACAATCATGCTGTCTGCAAACAGGGACAATTTGACTTCCTCTTTTCCTAATTGAATACCCTTTATTTCCTTCTCCTGTCTGATTGACCTGGCCAGAACTTCCAACACTATGTTGAATAGGAGTGGTGAGAGAGGGCATCCCTGTCTTGTGCCAGTTTTCAAAGGGAATGCTTCCAGTTTTTGCCCATTCAGTATGATATTGGCTGTGGGTTTGTCATAGATAGCTCTTATTATTTTGAGATACCTCCCATCAATACCTAATTTATTCAGAGTTTTTAGCATGAAGCATTGTTGAATTTTGTCAAAGGCCTTTTCTGCATCTATTGAGATAATCATGTGGTTTTTGTCATTGGTTCTGCTTATATGCTGGCTTATGTTTATTGATTTGCATACATGGAACCAGTCTTGCATCCCAGGGATGAGGCCCACTTGATCATGGTGGATAAGCTTTTTGATGTGCTGCTGGATTCGGTTTGCCAGTATTTTATTGAGGATTTTTGCATCGATGTTCATCAAGGATATTGGTCTAAAATTCTCTTTTTTGGTTGTGTCTCCACCACGCTTTGGTATCAGGATGATGGCTGGCCTCATAAAATTAGTTAGGGAGGATTCCCTCTTTTTCTATTGATGGGAATAGTTTCAGAAGGAATGGTACCAGTTCTACCTCTGGTAGAATTCGGCTGTGAATCCATCTGGTCCTGGACTCTTTTTGGTTGGTAAGCTATTGATTATTGCCACAATTTCAGAGCCTGTCATTGGTCTATTCAGAGATTCAACTTCTTCCTGGTTTAGTCTTGGGAGGCTCTATGTGTCGAGGAATTTATCCATTTCTTCTAGATTTTCTAGTTTATTTGCATAGAGGTGTTTGTAGTATTCTCTGATGGTACTTTGTATTTCTGTGGGATTGGTGGTGATATCCCCTTTATCATTTTTTATTGCATCTATTTGATTCTTCTCTCTTTTTTTCTTTATTAGTCTTGCTAGCGGTCTATCAATTTTGTTGATCCTTTCAAAAAACCAGCTCCTAGATTCATTAATTTTTTGAAGGGTTTTTTGTGTCTCTATTTCCTTCAGTTCTTCTTTGATTTTAGTTTTTTCTTGCCTTCTGCTAGCTTTTGAATGTGTTTGCTCTTGCTTTTCTAGTTATTTTAATTGTGATGTTAGGTTGTCTATTTTGGATCTTTCCTGCTTTCTCTTGTGGGCATTTAGTGCTATAAATTTCCCTCTACACACTGCTTTGAATGTGTCCCACAGATTCTGGTATGTTGTGTCTTTGTTCTCGTTGCTTTCAAAGAACATCTTTATTTCTGCCTTCATTTCATTATGTACCCAGTAGTCATTCAGGAGCAGGTTGTTCAGTTTCCATGTAGTTGAGCGGTTTTGAGTGAGTTTCTTAATCCTGAGTTCTAGTTTGATTGCACTGTGGTCTGAGAGACAATTTGTTATAATTTCTGTCCTTTTACATTTGCTGAGGATAGCTTTACTTCCAAGTATGTGGTCAATTTTGGAATAGGTGTGGTGTGGTGCTCAAAAGAATGTATATTCTGTTGATTTGGGGTGGAGAGTTCTGTAGATGTCTATTAGGTCTGCTTGGTGCAGAGCTGAGTTCAATTCCTGGATATCCTTGTTAACTTTCTGTCTCATTGATCTCTCTAATGTTGACAGTGGGGCGTTAAAGTCTCCCATTATTATTGTGTGGGAGTCTAAGTCTCTTTCTAGGTCACTCATGACTTGCTTTATGAATCTTGGTGCTCCTGTGTTGGGTGCATATATATTTAGTATAGTTAGTTAGCTCTTCTTGTTGAATTGATCCCTTTACCATTATGTAATGGCCTTCTTTGTCTCTTCTGATGTTTGTTGGTTTAAAGTCTGTTTCATCAGAGACTAGGATTGCAACCCCTGCCTTTTTTTGTTTTCCATTTGCTTGGTAGATCTTCCTCCGTCCTTTTATTTTGAGCCTATGTGTGTCTCTGCCCATGAGATGGGTTTCCTGAATATAGCACACTGATGGTTCTTGACTCTTTATCCAATTTGCCAGTCTGTGTCTTTTAATTGGAGCATTTAGTCCATTTACATTTAAAGTTAATATTGTTATGTGTGAATTTGTTCCTGTCATTATGATGTTAGCTGGTTATTTTGCTTGTTAGTTGTTGCAGTTTCTTCCTAGCCTGGATGGTCTTTATAATTTGGCATGATTTTGCAGTGGTTGGTATCGGTTGTTCCTTTCCATGTTTAGTGCTTCCTTCAGGAGCTCTTTTAGGGCAGGCCTGGTGGTGACAAAATCTCTCAGCATTTGCTTGTCTGTAAAGTATTTTATTTCTCCTTCACTTATGAAGCTTAGTTTGGCTGGATATGAAATACTGGGTTGAAAATTCTTGAAGAATGTTGAATATTGGCCCCCACTCTCTTCTGGCTTGTAGTGTTTTTGGCGACAGATCCACTGTTAGTCTGATGGGCTTCCCTTTGTGGGTAACCCGACCTTTCTCTCTGGCTGCCCTTAACATTTTTTCCTTCATTTCAACTTTGGTGAATCTGACAATTATGTGTCTTGGAGTTGCTGTTCTCGAGGGGTATCTTTGTGGCATTCTCTGTATTTCCTGAATCTGAATGTTGGCCTGCCTTGCTAGATTGGGGAAGTTCTCCTGGATAATATCCTGCAGAGTGTTTTCCAACTTGGTTCCATTCTCCCCGTCACTTTCAGGCACACCAATCAGACGTAGATTTGGTCTTTTCACATAGTCCCATGTTTCTTGGAGGCTTTGTTCATTTCTTTTTATTCTTTTTTCTCTAAACTTCCCTTCTCACTTCATTTCATTCATTTCATCTTCCATCACTGATACCCTTTCTTCCAGTTGATTGCATCAGCTTCTGAGGCTTCTGCATTCTTCACATAGTTCTTGAGCCTTGGCTTTCAGCTCCATCAGCTCCTTTAAGCACTTCTCTGTATTGGTTATTCTAGTTATACATTCATCTAAATTTTTTTCAAAGTTTTTAACTTCTTTGTCTTTGGTTTGAATTTCCTCCTGTAGCTCAGAGTAGTTTGTTCATCTGAAGCCACCTTCTCTGAACTCATCAAAGTCATACTCCATCCAGCTTTGTTCCGTTGCTGGTGAGGAACTGCGTTCCTTTGGAGGAGGAGAGGTGCTCTGCTTTCTAGAGTTTCCAGTTTTTCTGCTCTGTTTTTTCCCCATCTTTTTGGTCTTATCTACTTCTGGTCTTTGATGATGGTGATGTACAGATGGGTTTTTGGTGTGGATGTCCTTTCTGTTTGTTAATTTTCCTTCTAACAGACAGGACCCTCAGCTGCAGGTCTGTTGGAGTTTGCTAGAGGTCCACTCCAGATGCTGTTTGCCTGGGTATCAGCAGCGGTGGCTGCAGAACAGTGGATTTTCATCAACTGTGAATGCTGCTGTCTGATCGTTACTCTGGAAGTTTTGTCTCAGAGGAGTACCCAGCCATGTGAGGTGTCAGTCTGCCCCTACTGGGGGGTGCCTCCCAGTTAGGCTGCTCGGGGGTCAGGGTTCAGGGACCCACTTGAGGAGGCAGTCTGCCGGTTCTCAGATCTCCAGCTGCGTGCTGGGAGAACCACTGCTCTCTTCAAAACTGTCAGACAGGGACATTTCAGTCTGCAGAGGTTATTGCTGTCTTTTTGTTTGTCTGTGCCCTGTCCCCAGAGGTGGAGCCTACAAAGGCAGGCAGGCCTCCTTGAGCCGTGGTGGGCTCCACCCAGTTCGAGCTTCCTGTCTGCTTTGTTTACCTAAGCAAGCCTGGGCAATGGTGGGCACCCCATCCCCAGCCTCGCTGCTGCCTTGCAGTTTGATCTCAGACTGCTGTGCTAGCAATCAGTGAGATTCCGTGGGCGTGGGACCCTCTGAGCCATGTGCGGGATATAATCTCCTGGTGAGCTGTTTTTTAAGCCCATCGGAAAAGCGCAGTATTAGGGTGGGAGTGACCCAATTTTCCAGGCGCTGTCTGTCACCCATTTCTTTGACTAGGAAAGGGAACTCCCTGACCCCTTGTGCTTCCCAAGTGAGGCAGTGCCTCGCCCTGCTTCGGCTCACTCATGGTTTGCTGCACCCACTGTCCTGCGCCCACTGTCTGGCACTCCCTAGTGAGATGAACCCGGGACCTCAGATGGAAATGCAGAAATCACCCATCATCTGCGTCGCTCACGCTGGGAGCTGTAGACCGGAGCTGTTCGTATTCGGCCATCTTGGCGCTCTCTCTTTAATCTCTTAATCCTGTGATCACGTAAGCTGAGGAGGA